>NC_000014.9:65975349-66278379 GCF_000001405.40 Homo sapiens
GTCTCTATTAGCCTGATGTGAAAGAGCAGATGTCTGGGCTAAAAAATAACACTACAGAGCCCCGGTGTACTTCCAGCCACTAGCCCATGACACTGGCTGCTTTATTAAGTACTCAGCAGAGTTGCATGAACCCTCCAATATGCCTCCCATGTGGCAAGACAGAGCGACTGCTTGACAGTAAGGCTGCATGTCTGGGGATAGTGCCCCTGGGTGCTCAGGCCCCTTCACTCCTCTCTGCCTCACAGTTTTAGAGAAGCTACCTAGATGGCCTCATTTCATGTTGGCAATTCATAGCAACAGCGTTCTCTCCAGCCATCTCTTAGTACCCATTTCACTTCTGTATGAGGAAAATCAGGGAAAGTGTAGGTTATTATTTGAAGGTCAGGCATTGAATTTCATAAGGGCATGATTTGAGGATACGGTAGTTTCTAAGAGATTGTCCCAGGACCAATGTCCTTCCAGTGGGAAGAAATGAGAATGGAAGATACTGGTCCAAGAAATGGCAACAGCAATCTAGTTTTTAACTGTGTCCAAGCCAGGAGAAGGGAGGTGGGGCAAGAAGTGTTTGCTAACTATCCGTAATGTGGAAAGATACAGAGAAAGAGAGGAGAGGGAGGAGAAGGAGGGGGAGGAAGAGGAGAACGGGGAGGAGGAGAAGGGAAGCAGGAGAAGGAGGGAGGGAGGAGGAGGAGGAGAAGAAGGAGGGGAAGAGGAGAAGGGGGAAGGAGGAGGAGGAGGGGGAAGAAGAGGAGGAGAAGGAGGAAGGGAGAAGAGGGGGAGGAGAGGGAGAAGGAGGAGGAGAGAAAGGAATGGGATGCAGGAGCCAGGATCTTGGACTTCTTTATCTGTGGCAATGCGGCTCCTACAGCAGAAGGCCCCCCTCTGAGATGTCTGTCTATGCACAGGGGACAAGGCCAGCGAGAAGGCCACACCCGAGCACACCTGGCTGGTAGCCAGAGCTTTCTGCAGGTCCCTGCAACCCAGACACAGTACAGGAGTCCTTCTTTTATTTTTGTCCCTAGGCTCTAAGTCGGACCTGGATCTTCAGTCATCTCCAGGGGCTAGAAGCTGCAGTGCCCTTCTCCAGAAATGGACTGCAAGAGCCCTTGAACTCCCACTAAGGGCCAGAATGTGCCTGAACAGTGTGGAAAACACTGCCTTGTTTCCAGTCTTCTACCCACTGTGTGCTTTGTCTGGGCTCAACAGAAGGGCATGGGTTGAGATCTCGATTCTTAGTGCCTGGTCGTGGGGACGGAAGCACCCATGCTGGTGGGGAGGTCACCCACCGGCCACTGGAGAGGTCCGTGGTGGTAGGATGGCCTCTCCACCCAGGCGTACCACTAAGTGAGGCCCTGGGCCCCAGACAGGGCTTGGCCAGTGAGCGGGTATGCCTGTGTGGCAGCCTCTGCAGCACTGCTCCTAACAGTCATGTGAAAATAATAATATTATTGCATTATTACAAGGGGGGCACAAACATGTTGATGCAAATGCTCATTTCCGACAAGACCGAGAAAATGAAATGGCTCAGAAGGGAATGGGAAAGTGCCCAGGGAGTAATAACTGTTATGCTGTTGAAGAGCTTCAACAATGGATAACTCTGCTGTGATTTCATCAGCCGGAAACCAATTAACCCCTGTGGAGTCATCTACCACACTGTGGCTGGGTACTGGGGAATGCCGCCAGCATCTCCTACACCCCTTTCACCAGCTAAGCCTTAGAGCTGGGATGGTTCCAACGAGAGAAATGTCCACAAGTGTGCCTTTCATGGAGTTACAAAATCTGATAGGTGATGCCCCTGCAGGAGTCCAGTACCTACCAGTCCAGTCCTCCTCTCACAAGGACTGGGGTGGGCCAAGAGTCAGCCAGACTGTCTGACATCATCTAGCTTGGGTACTAGGAGATGAAGCACGTGTTTTCAACAGACTGGGCCCAGGATGTTTTCAAGGGAAACTGCCCCTCTGCAGCCCCTGCTGCTTAGGGGTCTGCATTTGACCAAATGGCTCTGTTCCCCTCCCTCTTCTGAGAAAACCAATGGGCCCAGATGAGGGCACCTGGCTCGAGCACAGCCAATCCATGAACCTGTTCAGACTGAGGCCTGGCAGGGAAAGTGACCAGAGCCTATCAGATTCCCTCTCCTGTTACCTTCACCTAGAGGATGTCAGAGCTGGGGCTATTGGCAGGTAGAGCTGAGGTCATGAGGTTGGAAAAGGCAAAGAAGGGTCAAGGCAGGGCAGAGTGGGGAAGAGTAGAAACCATGCACAGAGCATACAAGGAGGCAGCTGGGGCATGGAGCAGGAGAGGACAAAGCACAGGGATGCTTAGAGGCGAGAGCTGAGGCCAGCAGCTACTCCCTGTTCTCACCTCCCTGCTCAGCACTCATAGAAACACACTGTGATGGTTAATACTGAGTGTTAACTTGATTGGATTGAAGGATACAAAGTATTGATCCTGGGTGTGTCTGTGAGGGTGTTGCCAAAGGAGATTAACATTTGACTCAGTGGACTGGGAAAGGCAGACCCACCCTTAATCTGGGTGGGCACCATCTAATCAGCTGCCAGCATGGCTAGAATATAAACAGGCAGAAAAATGTGAAAAGAGAGACTGGCCTGGCATTCCAGGCTACATCTTTCTCCTGTACTGAATGCTTCCTGCCCTCGAACATCAGACTCTAAGTTTTTCAGTTTTGGAATTCGGACTGGCTCTCCTTACTCCTCAGCCTGCAGATGACCTATTGTGGGACCTTGAGATCATGTGAGCTAATAAGATATATATATACATGTATATATGTATATATGTGTGTGTATATATATATGTGTATATATATACACACATGTGTATATATATGTATGTATGCATATATATACATATACATATATATATATATATATATATTTTTTTCCATTAGTTCTGTCCCTCTAGAGAACTAATACATACACTCAGCTTCTCCCCACGAGTCACGGCAGTCCCCATCCCACCCCACCTTTTCTCCAGGTGATGCGAATGAGTCTCTTTCCTGCCACCAAAAATGCCTCAGTGGAAGAATGTGGCCAGGGGAGATGATGTGGTTTGGCTCTCTGTCCCCACCCAAATCTCATCTTGTAGCTCCCATAATTCCCACTTGTTGTGGGAGGGACCTGGTGGGAGATAACTGAATCATGAGGGCGGGTCTTTCCTGTGCTGTTCTCATGATAGTGAATAAGTCTCATGAGATCTGATGGTTTTACAAAGGGTAAATTTCCCTGCACAAGTGTTATTCTCTTATCTGCTGCCATATGAGATGTGCCTTTCAGCTTCCGCTGTGATTCCTCCCCAGCCATGTGGAACTGTAAGTCCAAAAAACCTCTTTCTTTTGTAAATTGCCCGGTCTTGGGTATGTCTTTATTAGCAGTGTGAAAATAGACTAATACAGTAAATTTGTACTGGTAGAGTGGGGTGCTGCTGAAAAGATACCTGAAAATGTGGAAGCCACTTTGGAACTGGGTAGCAGACAGGGGATGGAATAGTTTGGAGGGCTCAGAAGAAGACAGGAAAATGTGGGAAAGTTTGGAACTTCCTAGAGACTTGTTGAATGGTTTTACCCAAAATGCTGATAGTGATATGGACAATAAAGTCCAGGCTGAGGTGGTCTCAGATGGAGATGAGGAAGTTGTTGGGAACTGGAGCAAAGGTGACTCCTGTTATGTTGTAGCAAAGAGACTGGCAGCATTTTGCTCCTGCCCTAGAGATTTGTGGAACTTTGAACTTGACAGAGATGATTTAGAGTATCTGGTGGAAGAAATTTCTTAGTAGCAAATCATTCGAGAGGTGACCTGGGTGCTGTTAAAGGCATTCATTCAGCTTTATAAGGGAAGCAGAGCATAAACTTTAGAATATTTGCAGACTGACAATGCAATAAGAAAGAAAATCCCATTTTCTAAAGACAAATTCAAGCCAGCTGCAGAAATTTGCATAAGTAATGAGGAGCCAAATGTTAATCACCAACACAATGGGGAAAATGTCTCTCTCCAGTGTATGTCAGAGGTCTTCACAGCAGCCCTTCCCATCACAGGCCTAGGAGGAAAAAGTGGTTTCATGGGCCAGGCCCAGGGTTCCCATGCTGTGTGCTACCTAGGGACTTGGTGCCCTGCATCCCAGCTGCTCCAGCCTTGGCTGAAAGGGGCCAACATAGAGCTCAGGCCATGACTTCAGAGGTTGCAAGCCCCAAGCCTTGGCAGCTTCCATGTGGTCTTGAGCCTGCAAGTGCACAGAATTCAAGAACTGGGGTTTGGGAACCTCCGCCTAGATTTCAGAGGATGTATGGAAATGCCTGGATGCCCAGGCAGAAGTTTGCTGCAGGGGCAGGGCCCTCATGGAGAACCTCTGCTAGGGCAGTGTGGAAGGGAAATGTGGGGTCAGAGTCCCCACACAGAGTCCCTACTGAGGCACTACCTAGTGGAGCTGTGAGAAGAGGGCCACCATCCTCCAGACCCCAAAATGGTAGATCTATCAATAGCTTGTACCTTTCGCCTGGAAAAGCCACAGACACTCAACGCAAACCTGTGAAAGCAGCTGGGAGGGAGGCTGTACCCTGCAAAGCCACAGGGGTGGAGCTGCCCAAGACTGGGAACCCACCTCTTGCATCAGCATGACCTGGATGTGAGACCTGGAGTCAAAGGAGATCATTTTGGAGTTTTAAGATTTGACTGCCCCACTGAATTTCAGACTTGCATGGGGACTGTAGCCCCTTTGTTTTGGCCAATTTCTCCCATTTGGAATGGCTGTATTTACCCAATGCCTGTACCCCCATTGTACCTAGGAAGTAACTGACTTGCTTTTGATTTTACTCACTCATAGGCAGAAGGGACTTGCCTTGTCTCAGATGAGACTTCGGACTGTGGACTTTAGAGTTAATGCTGAAATGAGTTAAGACTTTGGGGGACTGTTGGGAAGGCATGATTGATTTTGAAATGTGAAGATATGAGATTTGGGAGGGGCCAGGTGTGGAATGATATGGTTTGGCTCATGTCTCCACCCAAATCTCATCTTGTAGCTCCCATAATTCCCGTGTGTTGTTTGAGGGACCTAGTGGGAGATAATTGAATCATGGGGGCGGGTCTTTCCCATGCCATTCTTGTGTTAGTGAGTAAGTCTCACAAGATCTGATTGTTTTGTAAAGGGGAGTTTCCCTGCATAATTGTTCTTTTCTTGTTTGCCGCCATGGGAGACATGACTTTCGCCTTCCACCATGACTGTGAGGCCTCCCCAGCCACGTGGAACTGTTAAGTCCAATAAACCTCTTTCTTTTGTAAATTGCTCAGTCTTGGGTATGTCTTTATCAGCAGTGTGAAAACAGACTAATATAAGAGGAAAGAACCACATACCAAATAAAGCCAGAGAAACCATGTTCAAACGTCAAGACCAAGCCTGTGGTCATGAGTGTGGAGAAGCTGGAGTTGGAAAGAACAGCGTCCAGAATAGGCCAGAAGGTTCTAGGACAGAAGTTCTCAAACAATCTGTGATGATGGCCCATGTTTTTTTCCTCCAATCCATTGCAAACCGATTTTCTAATCCTTAAGATGCAGTGGAAATGTGGCAATGTCAAATGGCAATAAAAACTTCTAGCCACTTACTCGGGTCTCATGGAAGATTGGTAACGTGTCCACAGACCACACTTGGGGCAGCACTGTCTATGAGGTTGTCACACTGAAGCTGAGGGTCTACGGCTTATTGTTCTTGGCTGTCAGCTACATGCTGGTAGCTGAATAAAGCTGGCTCAAGGCAGTGGCTCTCAACCTGGGGAGGCATGGCCCCCTCCTCCTACCAAAGATGCATGAAACAGAACTATCCTGCTGCAGTGCCAGAAGCACCCCTGTTGCAAAGCACTGATTTGAAGCTTCGAGATCAGAGTGAACCCCCATCCTCTGCAGGAAGCCCTTCAGCAACCCCCACCTAGATGGCCTATTTTAGCCAGAATTTCTGCCCAAGAACAATGAGACTCCTGGGCCCAGGACAGGGCAGACAAAAGGGTGTTGGAGAGGGAGCACTGGGCTCAGAGCCAAGCAGAGCCCGAAGTGCCCAGGGACAGAGAGATAATGTAACCTTCAACAAACTGCAGTGGCTTTAGAGTCGTCAGCTCAGACAGAGCTGCCTACATCCATTTAATTAGATTTTAATTTCTCTTTACACATTCAGTTTTCAAAGATTCTAAGAAGTAATTATTTCCAGTATCAATTGACTAGGAAGAACAATCCCCAACTTAGAATAAGCAGCTTAAGGAGGTTTGTCTCATCCCTGTTCAAACACGGTGCCTTCCAGAAGCTGCCTGGCTGCATCACAGTCCCGCTGAGACAGGGAGCTGGCAGAATGCAGACACCTGGCAGAAAGGAGGCAGGGGCGGAGGTGTGAGGAGGAGGACATCTCTTGTGCCTCTGTCACTTTTCAGAGTCTGAGGATCCCAAAAGAAGGGAAAGAAACTCAAAGTGGAGGCCTAAATGTGATCCCTCTTAGCACCTTGGGTGTAGAAACGTAAATAACAATGACTTCCTCATCATTTGGTGTTCAATAAAACTCTACGCTTGGATGAAAGGTGAGATCCCTCTTTCTCGGAATGATCTTTTGGAAGAAATCAGTCATCTTATAATGGAATCCTTACAAAGTATTTCACATGCTGGAACATATCCTCAGTTACCTTATTTTGAATCCAGAACACTGGAGAAACTGCCACAAACAACATCTTAGAGGTCACCTCTGATAGAATAATTTAAAAAAATAAAAAGAAGTAAGTAATCCTAGCACTTTGGGAGGCCAAGGCGGGCAATTACCTGAGGTCAGGAGTTCTAGACTGGCCTAGCCAACATGGTGAAACCCCATCTCTATTAAAAATACAAAAAATTAGCCGGGCATGGTGGCGGGCACCTGTAATCCCAGCTACTCGGGAGGCTGAGGCAGGAGAATCGCTTGAACCCAGGAGGCAGAGGTTGCAGTGAGCTGAGATTGCGCCACTGCACTCCGGCCTGGTCAACAAGAGTGAAACTCCATCTCAAAAAAAAAAAAAACATTCAATACAATCTTAGCAATCATTGCTGCGTGTGTGACGTCACACTTGCAAGCGTGGTTGTCGTAAATAAGCCATTTGAGGTTCACTTTAAAGGGCAATAAGGCAAGGGGTTGGTAAACTGTAAAAATCAAGAATATGATAGAAAGCAGTGGTAATATTTGAAATATCTAACAACTGATCAGAACAAAGTGTAGATCATCATAAGAGGGCTGGGGTAAACCTAGCCACTCAGGTGACTCCCGCCCTGCCCACAACACACACAAACAACCAACTGTCCTGATGTTATACAAATGCATATTTTTGTGACATGGGGATAAAATTTCCAGTGACCACATCACACATGTATTAAAGAACTGCTGATTTCAATCAATAAACAGCACTGTGGGTGATGTGTACCAGAAAACTTTGGAGATGACACCAAATATGGCTTCAGTGATGTGAAGAAACGAATGTGGTAGACACGTGTGAGAAGTTTGAATAAAACTGTTTTGTGGGGCTGGGCGCGTTGGTTCACGCCTGTGATCCTAGCACTTTGGGAGGCCAAGGCAGGCAATTACCTGAGGTCAGGAGTTCTAGACTGGCCTAGCCAACATGGTGAAACCCCATCTCTATTAAAAATACAAAAAATTAGCCGGGCATGGTGGCGGGCACCTGTAATCCCAGCTACTCGGGAGGCTGAGGCAGGAGAATCACTTGAACCCAGGAGGCAGAGGTTGCAGTGAGCTGAGATTGCGCCACTGCACTCTGGCCTGGGCAACAAGAGTGAAACTCTGTCTCAAAAAAAAAAAAAAAAAAAATCATTTTGTGGAATATGAGAATGGAAAAAGCAACACTTCTAAAATAAATCACTACTCTGTGTAATGTATGATTTTAAATGTATGTATATGTATAACTAAATTAATAAGTTAAATATAAGTAGATGTTTTGATTATATTGTCTATACTTCTAGAAGCTCATATGTCTACATTGGCTAAAACTCTGTGGCACCCTTTTCAGCGGTGGATTTAGTTTTCTTGTATGTTGGCACATATGACACTTGATGACCAAAGGGATGAAAGACAGAATGAATGCACTTTACATGGATGACCAAACAACTCCCAGTCCAATGCATTAGAATCCACAGGGTAGCTGTAAAAAATATCGACATTCAGATACCATTCTGGACCAAGGGGATCAGAATTTCTGGAGGCAGTGCCTGGCCACTGGTATATTGGAAAGCGGTTTAACTGATTCTAAAGTACAGCCAGGCTGAGAACCACCGCTCTACAGGGCGATTTCACATACCTCCAACCATATCCTTTTCCTTTTTGGGGAGGGCATTCAGTCAGGTTAGTGGTTAAGAGCAAAGACTCTGAAAACGTTCAAATCCTGACTCTTCCACTAACTAGCTGTGTGATCTTGTAAAAATCACTCTACTTTCCTGTGCCCTGGGTTTCTGATATGTAAAATGAGAAAAAAAAAAAAAAAGAGAGAGCACCAACTCAGTAAGTGGTTACTGTGAAGGTTAATAAGTTAATGCATACAAAGTACTTAGACTAGTGTCTGGCACCAAATGGGAGCTCAATTCACACTAGCTGGTGTGGTCTAATGGGTGAGTGGAGCAGGGTACTCCCCAATGCCAGCCTGCCCACCCATCCTGGTATCTGTGTACTCCATCCCGCCAGGCTTCATCTTCTGACATGGCATTTCTTACGTAGAGGAGATCATGAGTGGGAAATGGAGAAGGGATGGGGCCAGAGGGCCAGATATGTGGCTTCAGCACAAAGTTACATCCTAGTACTCACCGTGGCCTCTTGGCAGGGGGTGGAAAAGGAAGGGCCAGGTGGTATGTGCAGAGGAATAGACCCAGCTAAGGCTGCCACCCCAACCTCAAGACATGGTGGGGATGTTTCTTCAGAGCATCTGAGCCCCATACCCTTTACACACTTCCTGAGTGGTCACTCCTGTCATGTTCATCCTCTGGTCGGGGACACTATTTTACATGTGAGGTGGCTTCTTAGATGGAACCATGCAAGGTGAAAGGCGGGATGTGTCCTGGGACCTCAGCACAGCTCCGGGGAGAGGATTCCCCTCCTGTCCCTACAGCATAGCAGTGATAAAGCAGTGGTTTGGAACAAGCATGTGAAGCCAGTCTACTGGGGCTGGTTCACTCACTAATTAGCTGTGATTTCAGGCAAGATGTGTAACCCTTTTGCACTCAGTTTCCTCATCAGCAAAGGGGTTTTGTGAAGAGTAAATGAATTGATATATGTGGAACATTTAGAACAATGTCTGGCATGTAGTACGTGGTATATACATATTGGCTGTTGTTTTTATGATATTATGCTGTGAAGATGTCAGTTACCTGTAAGATAACTTTTTTTTTTAAATTAGATTTTCCTTTCTTTCCAAATACCACTAAATCTCAAAAGGAGAGGTCACTGTAGCATCTCGGGTCCATGTCAAGTCTTCTGTGTTTTAACAAAGAGCTTTTAAAACACAGCAGGGAGCCCACTTACGGTCCTGAGGGTCCCATAAAACTTTTTAAAAATCTTAAACTCCTTCGACAGAAATTTCAGGCATGTAACTGGCCCTAAAAAAATAAATAAACAACTTAACAATTAAAAAAATAGATTAAAACAATAGCTAAAAAAATTAAAATCATGGGCTATCTGGTGGTTCCTTATAAAAACTAAACATAACATCTTAACATATGTCCCTGAGTTGTTCTTCAAAAACCCAGACCCCTGCCAAACGGACCCGCTAACACATAGACATCAGATAAGGAGGTTTATGTGTTAGCAGGAAACTGAGGACTAAACCCTGAACTCCATTCTTTGTTCTAAATTTTTTCCTGAGGTGCCTAGAGAAAGTCACACCTATGAGCCACAGCTAACATTCTTTTCTGCTGACTCCAAATTTTAAACAAAACTTCTCTTCCTTAACCAACTACAATCAGAAAATATTTCAATCTACCGATGATCTGTAAGACCCTGCTTCAAGATATCCTGCCCTTTTTAAGCAGAACTAATGTGTAACCACCATATATTGATTTACAATTTTGCCTATAACTTCTGCTTTCCTAAAATTTACCCATGTCTTTTAAAGCTCTTACTTACAAGCCATCAGGGAGGTCAGGTGTTAAGCATGAGCTGCTGGATTCTCCTTGCTTGGTGGCCCACAAACAAATGACCTCCTTTTTTCCCACTACAAACCTCATTATAAACATTTGGCCTTATTCTGGGCAAGCGAACCCCAGTTTGGTTCAATAACACCTTTAGGAATATTATTATATCCCAGGGTGTTGCCATTCCTAGAGTGTTACCAACTCAATAAAATTGGAACAGAACCCACACTGTCCATTTCCAGTATGTTCTCCACACATCTATCATGGTGGATGGACCCCACAGTCCAGCTGTGGGGACAAGACAAGAATACAAGTGATATGAGTACAATCAGCCCAAGAGAGGTACAAACCATGAATGACGGGAGGTCAAAGAGGGTAGAGATCTCACCTGGTGGAAGAGCCGTGGTGGTGTTCAAGGGAGCCATGAAGAATGATAGATAGAATTTCATCCATTTGGGCTAGAGAAGTGGGGAAAAGAATTCTACACTTTTTAGGTAAAGTGGCATAAGCAGAAATATGAAGATGGAGAAGGGCCAGAAGTCATTTGATCTGATTGATATATAAGGTCCAGGAGGGAAGGATCAGGGGATAAGGTTGAGCAGGGCTTTGTCATAAAAGACCTTAAGTACGGGGTGAGCAATTTACACTTAATTTGTCAGTCAGTGGGGAGCCATTGGGGGTTTGGTAAAGGAATGTCTAATCACAGCTGTGCTTGTGGAAGAGAAATTATTCTCATAAGATGACTCAGAAGGGAGAAAGATGGGAGGGAGGGATACTGAAGAGTAAGTTGCCAGAATATTTCAGATGAGGATTAATGTGGGTTTAAACAAGAGTGGTTATGGAGAGAGAAGGTAATGGTATAATCTAGGGGACATGATAATTGATTGAGTGTTATGGGAAAAGGAACAATAAAAGATGAATCCAAGGTCACCAGCCTGAGGGGACAGAACACTGATGTAGCAATTAAGCAAAACAGTAAAGCAAGTGGAGGGACAGTTCCGGGAGGCTGGTGAATTAGGGTTGAGGTGCCAGATAGAGCTGTAGGTAATATGGAGCTGGAGGACTGGAAACTGAAACTAAATATTCCACTAGCCCTATAGCTGTGTCACTGTGGCATCTAACTCTATGCTTCATATACAGCAGGTGTGCAATCAATGAATGATCTCAATTGGAGAGTCATCTCCACGAGTGTGACAGGTGAAACCTAGGAGAGGCTTTGCACAAAAAGAGCAAAGTTTGAGGGCAGAACTATAGGGAGCATATGTATGCATTTAGGGATGAGACATCTAGAGATGTGAGTCAGAGAGGAGAAAAGAACAGAGTAATCGCAAAGAGAGATAATGCTGGGGTAAGGAGGTCAAGATGAAGGCGAGTTTTGATAAAGGAGCAGTAAGTAGAAAAGGTTGAAAATGCAAAATGAGGACTTGTATTAGTTTCCCAGGGCTGCCTTCAAAAAGTGTCATAAACTGGATGGCTTAAAGCAACAGAAATTTATTCTCTCAGAGTTCTGCAAGCTGGAAGTCCAATATCAAGGTGTTGGCAGGACCACATTCCCTCCAAAACCTCTAGGAAAGGAGATTCCATTGCCTCTTCCTGGCTTCTGGTGATTCCAGGTGTTCCTTGGCTGTAACAGCCAGCAGAACTCCAATCCCTTCACACGAGTCTTCTCCCCATGTGTTTCCACGTCTTTACATGTTCTCTTATAAGGACATCAGTCATACTGGATTAAGGGCCCACCATACTCAAGTATGACCTCATCTTAACTAACTACATCTGCAAATAAGGTCACATTCTGAGGTACTACGGGTTAGAACTTCAACATTTCTTTTTGGAGCACACGACTCAACCCATATAACAAGGACCTAGTACAGATGGTTGTGTTTAGCAGTCAAGAGGTGACTGGTAAGGTTTGCAAGAACGCCATTTGGCTCAAAACATGGGAATGGAAACCAGATGGCCTGGGGGTAAAGAGTGAAGTATGGGCAGGGGATAGAGTTGGGGACAAAAAGCATTGCAAAGAGTGGGAGGAGGGCTCTTCCCGCGTGTGATTGATTTTTTCTCTTCTGCAGGTGCAGGCATGGTTGTGCACTCTGCAGAAGGTTATACTTTGAAGCCACCAAGATTCATTCCATGACTCCATCATCCTTCCACAGGAGTATATGCTGCTGGCCTGGTAGGACTGTGGCTCTTGACATCAGAGTTTGTTTTCTCAGGATTTTAGTGGCTGAAATGGGTTTCCATTTTGGTTCAAATGACTTCTTTTTTTTTTTTTTTTTTTCAAACCAGACTACTGGCTGTTTATGCAGGTATTTGAAGTTGGAGTTCTTTTCTCTCTGGAGCCCAGCTCCCAAAATGGAGACAAGACCATCTGTCTGACTTGGTCCTGTCTCAAGTGGAAAAAATGCTTAGTATTAACAAGGTATTGGAGAACATAATAACAATGAATATGTAATACTGGATGAGTTAAACACAAAATGATAAACAAGTGTGAGTCTGCAAATATCTTCATTCATTCACGAAGATCAGCAGTTGAAATTATGACCCACTCCAGACAACAATGATGCCATGTTGGTAACACAGATATTCCTCAAAGTTCCAGGAATCCCAGCTCTCTGTGTATCCACACACATAATAGGAGCTTCAGCTATGTGCCAACTAGTGTGAGAACACCAGACTCTGGTGATCTACTGAATCAGAGTCCCCAGGAGACTCAAGAAGCTGCTCATTTTAGTTCATAAATACATACCTTTAGCTTTCTGACAATCTAATTGCGTGCTTGGTATGTTATTAAGAACTAGCCAATATTCATACACAAAAATGAAAGCCTATAGAACTGTGCATCATTTCTCATCAGAATTGCCAAGAGCACTCATATTTTCCCATCTCTTTGCCATCCTCATAGTCCACCACTTGACTGGACCATCCTTGACCATGAACCATACTTTGAGAAACATGGCTCTAGAAGACAGGCCAGGTGTAGTTAGGAAACTCCTCCCAGGCCCACAGGACTAGGCAGCCTCTCACAGCAAACAGCCATTGGCTCAGTGGCCTGTGCAGTATATTGAAAAGACTCCTCACCCAGGAGTAAAAAGACCTGATCTGGCTGGCACCATGACCTGGAGCACCTCGCTTTTCTTCTCCCAGGGCCTGGTTCCTCACCTGCAAAATGAGAGGATCAGATTAGTTCAGTGGCCCCCATGGAGGAATAAAGGGGGGTGAAGCAGGCTTCAGGTTTTTTATTTTTTATTTTTTTAATATACTGAGGTTCCACTTAAAACTTATTAGAAAAATAATAAAGGCGCTACTTTTTTTTTTTTTTTTTGAGACTGAGTTTTGTTCTTGTTGCCCAGGCTGGAGTGCAATGGTGTGATCTTGGCTCACTGCAATCTCTGCCTCTTGGGTTCAAGTGATTCTCCTGCCTCAGCCTCCCAAGTAGCTGGGATTACAGGCACCTGCCACCATGCCCAGCTACTTTTTTGTATTTTTAGTAGAGACAGGGTTTCACTATGTTGGCCAGGCTGGTGTCGAATTCCTGACCTCAGGCAGTCTACCTGCCTCAGCATCCCAAAATCCCCTGAAATAAAGAATGCGTAAGCTTCTTCCAGTTAGGTGGTTCTAAGCATGTTTGTTTGTTTTCATGGCCCCAATTTCCCTGGGAATTACTCTCCCGTAAGAATTAGTGGTATTGCAGTAAGACACTAACCTAGATTTCACGGGTCTTGCCTCACCTGCTTACGCAGGGCCTCCACTCTGTAAGTGGTCCCCAGATTCCTTTAGGGGGCTGGGGTGCTTCTCATAGGCTTGTTAACCAGTCTGTTCCTGAAAGGCATTGCTGCCACTCCATCTTCTCAGGCCAGCCATTTGCTGGGCAACATCCTGGCTTTCAGCCTCTTTCTTCTCCTATCTCACCTGGAGCACTTGTGAATTCAAGGCTGCCTGAGGCTCTGTGGGAAAGTTGAGAAAGTCTTGCATCCCTCTTGCGTTACACTCTGTCTTACTATTTTTGGCAAATAATATGGTAGAAAGAGCACTGATCTTGGAACCAGGCAGAGGTGAGTTCAAATCCCAGCTCTACTTCTTAGTAGGAAGGAGGGCTCCTCTGTAATGCCAGCCCTGCAACCCAAGCCAGTCACTATACCTCCAAACACCTCCACTAGTATCAGTGTCTTATCTTTAAGAAGGACCTACCTGGTTGCAGTGAGCCGAGATGGCGCCATTGCACTCCAGCCTGGGAGACAGAGCGAGACTGCATCTCAAAAAAAAAAAAAAGAACAACTATATACGGTTGTTAGAAGGATTAAGTCACATAAAGTATTGAAAGCATGTAGTATAGTGACTGAAATCTAACTTGTTCAGCAAATGGTTCTTATTCTCATTATCAGACTGACATGAGTTCAACAGGGCTGGCTGGAAAACAAAAATCGAGTGGTGAGTTCTAAGATCAACTCTTCTGACCACCAAGGTTTTCTTGGAGAATTAAGCTAGTTAATGCTGGCTCTTTTATTCACTAGAATGAATGATCTCCCAGGACACTTCTTAACAGACTTCTGAGAAGCAGTCTACATGAATTAGGCATGGCTTAACCTCAGGCCTTCCCAGCTGTGCTTCCAGTGGATGAGGAATCTTCTGAAGAGTCAGGGTACAGAACAGGCAGGGGGAGGTAAGGAAATTAGAGAGTATAGGAATCTGCTGCCTCAGCAAATGCTACTCAATGGCCTGGCATCTGAGAATCTTCCCCCTGTCTTGCAAAGGTGACTTCCCTGAGAGAAGCTATATGTGGAGTCATCTAGATGAATTGGGTGTTACTAAGTGAGACAGCTATTTTTCTAGATAGCCCCTTTGGTAAAGCAAAGAGGAGGTTACCCTTTGAAAACATTCCCCAGTGGATCTTTTGGAAGATGAAGAGATGGTTGAACCCTCAGCCTAAAGAAAAACGGAATTGCTACCTGGACAATCACTCCATTTTTCTTCCTTTCCTCTCCATATCTCTTGGGCCCTTTAATGCCTTGTGAAGCCAAATTTGTTCTAATTATAAAGGCAGTGACCAGTGAGAATTATTCCAGGGTATGCATAATCTATGACCCAATCATGGCAGCCCCAGGGCCCAGATGGATTTATTCCAATGCTCCTTTTCCTCCCCTACAATTGGATTCATTCTGAAAAGAACCCCTCATCCCCTGAAATTCACCAAAGCTGTACAAGCTCTGTGGAAGACAACTGAGATTCTTCAATTCACCTGGGAGTATGGAGGAAATAGATCTTTACTTTTGAGTTTGAGAAAGCCAGCCAGGTAGCCAACCAGTAAACACGTTTGTTGGGTGCAGATGCTTTCTTTGCCTCCAGCTTGTTTAGTTTGCATCTGGAATCTGTTTTGCTGCATCAGAAAGAACTCTACAAACAACTTATTTTTGGTCCACTTTTCTGGCCCAACATACTAGGTGAGGTGGAATACAAGAATCACAGTGGTCTGTTAGCTTCACACAGGATCCTCTTCCTACCTCCTATTGGTCTCAAACAAATCATCTGTGCATTTCCTCTCGCACTGTTAGAAGACCTTGTGTTTAGGCTGGTTTTGCCCTGTTAGTGATTAGCTGTTTGGGGCCATTGATGTGCTAGTGTGTTTGTAAGTCCTGAGCCATTTCTGGAAGATGGCAGCTCCTTCTTGGAGGTGTTGCCTATGATCATTAGAATATCTCTGTGTCATGGTAACAGGGCCATACGTGATGTGAGCCCATATTGGATGAGAGTCCCAGAACCACTACAGCAAAGATTGAATATCTATGTGCTCTTCCACGCTGCCACACCCTTGGGCAGAGCCAGCTGTTACTAGGCTGTGAGTGGAAGTGACATATGTCATACCTAAGCCAGGGCATTTAAAAACTAGTGCTTGACCTTCAGTTTATCTGTTATGCTTGCTGCAAAGACCTTGGAAGCCTGACAAAAACAATGAAGCTTTTGTCAGCTTGGATCTTTGTGTGTGAACTTCCTTGGACAGTCCCAAGAACAATAGTGGATTTTATATGAAAGAGAAATAAACTTTACGTTTTAAGTCACTAGAATTCTCAGTTTTTGTTACTGTCACATAGCCTAGACTATCCTAACTAACAGATCCACTAAAGGTTTAGAGTTTGAAGAACCTTAGAGATTGGTCTAAACTTACCAATTCATAGATAAGGAAATGAAGGCACAGAAAAATGAGGTGCTAGAAAGAGAAAGAGAAAGAGAGAGAGAGAGAGAGAGAGAGGCAACACTCAAACTGGAACTTCCAATTTAGCTGTCTCTACCATCACAGAGTATATTTTGTGCTGATTTATATATAACCTGGATTTAATATTTTCAACCTCACTTCACAGTTAGCCACAATTCTTGATTAACTGAAAAGTGGACACTACTAGACCAAGGGCTCTTCTCTTGTTTTTTGACAAAACCACTCTTTCATCAATGATCTTAGCTGTTGTATTAGTCTATTCTTGCATTGCTCTAAAGAACTACCCGAGACTGGGTAATTTATAAAGAAAAGAGGTGCAATTGACTCACACTTCCACAGGCTGTACAGGATGCATGGCTGGGGAAGTCTTAGAAAACTTACCATCATGGCAGAAAGCAAAGAGGAAGGAGGCACATCTTCACATGGCCAGAGCAGGAGGAAGAGAGGAAAGGGGAAGTGCTACACACTTTTAAACAACCAGATCTTGTGAGAACTCACTCACTATCATGAGAACAGCAAGGGGGGAGATCTGCCCCTGTGATTCACTCACCTCCTACCAGGCCCTCCTCCAACACTGGGGATTACAATTTGATATGAGATTTGGGTGGGGACACAAATTCAAACCATATCAGCTGTCCTGCTCTAACTTCAGAGAAAACAAGATGGTACTACTAGATTCTATACTCATGTAATTTCCTCATAATGTATAAACTGATATGAACCCTAGGGTGAGGGTACTTAAGATGTCTGGGAAGTTTAGATTCTGAATATATCTCAATATCTTTTTATTCTCACTAGCTACTTATCCATCTAATCCATTCATACCCAATCCCTGGTGTGTGTGTGTGTGTATGTGTGTGTGTGTAGAGGTATTACTTACCTAGAGTCTTGATGAGTGGTAGCAAAAACCAAATTCTAGATGAAATATGAATGGGAATAGTGGCTCAAGTCAGGCTACTATATCGACAGCAAGTCATCAAATCATGAGCATGTAAAATAAAAATTGGAGGCAGAGAGACAACCAGATAGAGGCTTCAAAAGCAGGGAGAACTAGTGTGGATCAGAACAAGTGAGACAACAGTGGTTGCTGTCTAGGAGTCATCCTAGAGCTATGGCCAACATTCCAAGCTTACATTTTACATGTTTATAGCATGTGATTTTGTAGACAGCCCAGATTCATGAGAGTGACCTAGGCGATAGACCCTGACTAATAAACTGGGATTAAGACTACTCTAATCCACTCCTGCTTACACTCGGTCCCCTGTAAATGATATCAACATCTAACCTTGCCTTTTCCTCGTTAACTTGGCCCAGTTTTTCTGAAGTGCTGCCAGATACCACAGTAAATCATGAGAGTACCAGGTATTTCCTAGGTCTATTCTGTAATGATTACCTGCAGAGGTAGGTGGATGCGTGCCCAAAATTTGGTTTGGATATTGAAACTGATGATGCCACACAAAACAAGGGGGTTTGAAAAGGTTTGGACAACATAACTGAGGTCTCTGAGGAGAGCAGGGCAGTCCTCTCACGCAGGTCTGAAATAGCTTGAGGGAGCCAGGAAAGGGTTTTTATTGTGGTTAGTGGGTGGGGCTGGCTTGAAAGTTCCCAGGCAGGGATGAGAGTGCTTGGTCTGAATCTTTTACCCTCACCAAAGGAGGGCACGCCCAGGCCTTCTTATGTAGGCATATGGGGAAGAGGGAGGGGTGGCTTAAAAGCTGTCAGGTGCCAAACATCAAAAAATGGAGTCAGACACCTCAAGACACATTCCTTTGCCATAACAATGATCTCTCCACTGGTATGAGATGGTAGGCCAGCTTTCTGCCTTGACGTGTGACTCAGATGTCCTTTACCTTCCCAACCCAGTGCCCCACTGCCACCCAGCAAATCTTGCCTCCTTAGGGTCTTCTCCTCACATTCAACTCCAGTCTCTTCCCCATCTCACAGCCTGAAGCACCGCTGCCTTCACTCCTGATGCATCACTAACATGGTACCCAACGTGCTGAACTTTGGAGACTGTGGTTAAATTGGAGGAGAGCCCTCCCTGTTAATCTTAAGTTAGTAGTGATTAGGAGGAAGTAAGAGAAATGTATTTTTGAAGATTCAAAAAAATAAAAAACCGAAAAAGTAGAAAGCAAATGAGGAATACAGAAGGGAAGGTAAGTGGCTGTATAAATGGAGACTGAATTGGGCTGTGTCTTTCTAACTGCCTGGATCATCCAACATCTTTGCCAGTACCTGGATAATTCTGCTGCCTGCTTCCCATGGCTATTCTATCTGGCACCCTCATGGCAGAGGCCTGGAGGAAGATGGCAGAGGACAAGCTGATGGATGTTGAATTCTGACCCCGCCCTTCTATTTTCTTATCTCTGTGACTCTAGTTTGGTTCCTTGTCTAAAGAAAGCTGGTCAATGGCCAGGCTGTTTTGCTCCTGACAGAAACAAGCTCACAGAACTCTCTCTCATTCAGGGCGTTAATTGGCCTTTTCTTTTGTGATACGTGTGAAGACATTCTTCTGCCTTCTTTGTAAATACTTTCTTTTCTCTAGAGTAGAGAGATGGCCTCCAGCTTTATAATGGATTTTACATGCAGAGAAGGAAAAGAAAATGAGTTTGCAAGACTCTTTTCTGTTAGCTTGCAACACAAAGAAACATTATCCTCAGCCCGAGCGCCTTAGCAAGCTAAAATTGGCTGCTTCATCAAATGAAGGAGTGATGAGGTCAAAGACATAGACAGAGATGCTAAAGTCATTAGGTCCCTGGCTGATTTTCTCATTTTAAAAGTTTCCTTTCCTTTGTACTTGATCTTTTTCTGTCACCTTTTCTACTTCTGTGGGATTTACTCCTCCCTACGTGTCCACTTCAGTTTCACTATTTTTATGTCCAGAATAGCTGAGCTGCATTCACCTGTTTTCAGATCTTATGTTCCCATTTGGATTCTGATAAACTGGTGAGAGGGTTTAGGGAATAATCCCTACATTGGCATAATTAGAGCATGCCATGGTGCTCTTAAAATACGTGTACACACCCAATTCTTTAAGACTTGACTCTGGCTGAAAATGCATCTGAATATCAGTTGATAGTTATAGGGATGACAGGCATGAGTAGTCTTAGAGGTCAGAGAGAGATTTGGAATTAAAATGGTATTAAAGAAAGAGTTTTGCCCAGAGAATCCAGGAATACTTGAAGCCTGCCCGCGTTAATGACTTCTCCCTGCAGAGGAGGTCTCCAAGGGAGATATATGCGTAGGACAATGGTGGGCCAAGCAGAGTGATACTTCATGACAGCTGGGGCTTCTACCTAGGACCCAGGCAGAACTTGAGTAGGTCCTGGACTACCTTGCTTTTCTAGGCAAGAGAATTCAGTGTCCTTGTTATTCTCCAGAACCACTTCCATCAGCACCAGAGAAAATGGAATCAGAGACAGAACAAAGAAATGCCAAATCAATGCCCTGGAATCTGGCCAGTCGGGCCCATGGACTCCTCCCCAGTCTAAACTATAACTAAAGAGAAGTTGAAAGTGGCCTCAGATGCATTCTCTGTGGAGATCAGAAAAGAGACATCTGGAAGACCTGGTGTTACTAAAGAAACAAACTTGTCACTCTTCATCAACACCCTCAGCCACTTCTTGTCCTCCCTCTGTCCCCTCCCACAATCTAACTCTGAAGTTGGGCTTCAAATCTAACATCTACTCAAGCCCTCTTATTCACCAAATACAGTGAATTAGAATAATTCACTATATTAATTGCTTCCAGACCCACCCTCATGTTCCCTCTTATTGTCCTGCTATGTCCTCCCTTCATTTCAAAGAGAGTATTTTCTCTAAGAAACCTCCCCAAATCTACCAAGAGGTATCTGTATCCTTCTTGTCCCCCCATTTATATGTGAAGAGTCCTCCAGGATGTATATATGTTGAGACATTTTCACAACTAATGACATTCATGGCTGTTTCGTGCCATAACCCCCCATGTGGGACCTGCTCTGTGTTCTGCAGCCCTGTCTCCATGTCTCACATGTTTGCCAGTTTTCACTAGGCTACACTGTGGTAACAAATATCCCCAACATCTCAGTGGCTTATAACAACCAATGCTTATTTTTCACTCCTATACATGTCAGCTGTAGCCCCTGCTGTGTCTTCCTCATTCTTGGACCCAGGAGTCCAGGGAGAAGGAATCTTATGGTAGAGAGAAAAGAGCAACAAAGGAAACCGGGTGATGGCCCTTGGAACTTCTGGTTGGAAGTGGCATGTAGCATGTTGCATCTGCTCATATTCTATTGGCCAAAAAAAGTCATATGGGGTAGAAACTATAATCCTTTCATAGGGAGAGGAGAGTGGATAATTGGGAACGATAATGCTGTCTACCTCAGTTCCTGACTAGGGTTGAACAGTCAGGTGCCTTTTGAGTGACACCTGACTGGTAAGCTCAGTAATTGGCATCAATGAGACATTAATTATTTCTCATAGGAAGATTTGTCTATAGCTTACTTCTTAGAATTGGAGATAAGTTTTTGTTTAAGAGTCTCTACAATGTGTAATACTGCATTGGACTGAACGTTTGTGTCCCCCACAGATTCATATGTTGAAATCCTAACTGCCAAGGTAATGGTATCAGGAAGTGGGATCTGGGGGAGAAACTTAGGTCATGAGGTGGAGCCCTCATGAATGGGATAAATGTCCCTATAAATGTTACTCCAAAGAACTCTCTCACCCTCTTTCCACCATGTGAGGATATAATGAGCAGTCAGCAGTCTGTAACATGGAAAAGACCCCTCACCAGATTCCCACCATTCTGGCACCCTGGTCTTAGACTTTCCAGCCTTCAGAACTAAGAGAAATAAAATTGCTGGTGTTTATAAGCCACCCAGTCTATGATACTGTGTTACAGCAGTCTGAACTGACTAAGATAAACACATTTCCTGGTCCTCTTAAACAAATGCTCCTACACCCAGTGTAACTTTTTTTAGAGACTCGGGGTCACAATTATGACCATCAACTTGGGCTTTGTTGTAACAGTTAATACTCCTATAGACTACTTGTAGGTATAGGGCTACACGCCTCTTCTTTAAGTGGCTCCCAGGCCACTCTACTTTTGGAGAGCAAGAGGACAATTCATAGTTTTTCCTGTCTCTTCCCAAAATGACAGGCTCTCAGCCGTTCTATCTTGATGATGAGAGCAAGTCTTCCTTTAGCCCTTGTTATTCAGTAGCGTCCGCATCACCCGGGAGCCCATTAGAGACGGAGAATCGAGGCCCCCTCCCAGGCCTTCTCAATCAGATTCTGCATTTTAATTACTTTCCTAGGTGTTAAATATGCACAATAATGTTGGAGAAGCAGCCCAGTGATTTTCTTTCTTTTTTTTTTTTTTTGAGACAGAGTCTCACTCTGTCGCCCAGGCTGGAGTGCAGTGGCGCAATCTCGGCTCACTGCAAGCTCCGCCTCCCGGGTTCACGCCATTCTCCTGCCTCAGTCAGCCTCCCGAGTAGCTGGGACTACAGGCGCCCGCCACCGCGCCCAGCTAATTTTTTTTTTTTTTTTTTTTTTTTTTGTATTTTTAGTAGAGACGGGGTTTCAGGGTGTTAGCCAGGATGGTCTCCATCTCCTGACCTCGTGATCTGCCCACCTTGGCCTCCCAAAGTGCTGGGATTACAGGCGTGAGCCACTGCCCCTGGCCACAGCCCAGTGATTTTCAACCTTGACTGCACGTTGGTATTGGCCAGGGAACATTAAAAATACTGATTCCTGGGCCCAACCCCTCCTTCTTCATAGCCCTGACATGATTAATCTGGGGTGTGGTGAGGGCATTAGAGCTTAAGCATTCCCTAGGTGATTCTAATGTGCATACAGGGTTTAGAACCACTGCTGTCTGGTGACTTTCTTTTACTGGCTTGAACTTGCTGGTTCAGTGTTTAGAGAACAAGCTTATTCACAATTGTGCAACTGTGTTCCTGACTGCTAGCGTCAAATAGGCTCCCAACAAGGGCCAGAGGAGCCTGGCCTATACAGAAATAATAATACCCCTGGTTATGAAGGAGCTTCTGTGGGCCAGGAATGTTATCTCTAATCTTCACCATACCCTGTTACCCTAATTTGAATTTAGGAAACTGAGTCTCAAAGAAAGTGAGTGACCTTTCAAAGGTCACACAACTCCAAAGTGGTAAAACTAAAATTTGAAATTATGTCTGGTTTCAAAGCCATGAACTTTTTCTTCCTTCCAAACCCAGGGAACTTTTGTTCCCAATCTATGTGAGCTGTGATGATTGGACCTTCTAACACCTACTGCTCATAGGCCTTTGTCACTTTCTTCCAGAGTCTGGGTTGGGTTCTGGCTGGGAAAGGTTACCAGGTAAGGAATCAAGTCCCCAGATAAGTGATTATATATAACTCCTAAAGTTCCTTAAAGTATGCAACTTTACAGAGGGGTAAAGTGGGTCATGATGAGGTCAGTTACATAGTTCTAGAAATCACATGGCAGAAATTAATTAGTGCAGAGAAACTACATGACACCCTGGGAGAGGGAGAAATTGTGCACGATTGAAGCTGCTTCTCTAGTATCAACCTAATAATTTTGAGGACATCAGTTATAGTGCCAAACATACAAGGGACATTATCTCATGTGACCTTCACTACAATCCTATTAATGTTAATTTTGCTTATTTTGTAGATGTGAAAATGGAGACTGGGAAGTAAATTTGCCCACATTTGATTAGACAGGTAATAAAGAACAGAGCTAGCATGGAAATACAGGGTTCAGAGCCTGTGCTGTTTCATCTACATTTCATGACTTCTTAATTTTTTAAGCGCACAGTCCTGCCAGTTGAGTACCTCCCAGTCATTATTAGCAATGTAACAGGCTTGTGAAAAATTGCTCAGCATTGCTTGACATGGGTTAGGGAATAGCTTTTTGCAGGAAATAAAAGAGCTTCAGGTCAACAAAAGAAGAGAAATGACAGGCCCCCATCAACCATCAATCCATGAGAGACGTGTTGGTGCCAAGGCACCCTGCCCTCTGCTATTTCAGCCTTTTCATAGATCAAGGGTGAGAAATGGCCTTGTAACTTGGGGAACAAACAAACAGCCTGGGTTTGGGGTATAGCTCTTTGCAGGAGTTGTCTAGGAAACCAAATGCCTAGCACCTGAAAACCTGGTACTGTTGGGATATCACAGAACCCCTTTTGGGGCAAGGAAGCCCATCATCCTATGGGAAGCTGAGCTGAGGGTTGGCACCTATCCCAGCATAGTTAGCTCATCACCTGGGCTAACAAGAGGAAGCTCCCAGGGTCAATTCCAGCCATGGTACCCATGAGAATACCTGAGAACAGAGTTATAAACAGTGACGTGGGCAAGCAGCATGGACCTGCCCTCCAATCAACAGAGGTAACTGGTTGTGAGGAAAGAAAAGGAAGGAAAGGATACAGGTCTGAGGCACAGCAAGTTCTATCTCCTCCTTACTTTGGGTCTCCCATTTCAACCATCTCTTCTGCCTGGCTGATGGGAGTGGCAAGGGGAAAGTCTGGCAGAACTAAGCTGATCTCAGGATAGACAGGTGAAGGGAAAGGGGCCACGTTTGCTGAGAGTGGAGGGGGGATTTGAAACAGGTAAAATATTTAAACATCACTATCTCATACTTTTGCTCCCTTAAATTTCAGGATCCTGGGCAAAGTTCCCATTTCTTTGAACAACCAGATCTCAGCTGGGTTATTTCCTCTCCTCCCTCTTTCTTAGGCATCCACCAATAAATATGTACCCATAATTTACTCATTTCATTATCCTTTCTTACACACCTCCCCTCTCTAGCCTGGGGAATATTATTTATTTCATCTGTGACATGAATCCTATCTTATTTCCTAAGGCCTACACATTTAAAGTTCAAAAGTTTAGAAGAGTCCTGGTGTTTTTTCCCCCATCTTCCTGCTTTCTGCTATTAATTCTCTTTCCCAAGAAAATGAGTGTTGAATGGCCTGGCTGCCTGAAAGTCGGGTGGGATAGAGTCAACTGGGTGGTAAGAGATGGGGGAAAATATCATCCATTAATATTTAAACAGTGTTACTTCTATACAACTTGAAAAAACTAAATTCACTCTTTCCTTGATCCCAGGTACTATCAAATGCCACATATGTGACGTTAGTGTGGGTAAAGAGACAAGTCAACTAAGTGAGGACCCTTCTGTTACAGTGAGGTGGGAAATTAAAGAAAGAAAAAAATTAAAGAGAAATAAGCTTTCCTGTATTAGGCTGACTTATCCCAGAGGCAGCAACAGGCACAGCCCAGACCCAGGAAAAGCCTTGATAAACACCATCTAAGAAGCTAGGACACAAAGGAATGTGGGTCTGAGTGCACTCAGTAAAGATCCTCCTGTATACACCCCAAGGTCTCTCTGGTCCTCCTGTTTCCTACAACAGCAGATCAGCGAAAATCAGCATGAACCATACTGAGGCCTTGATCTTGAGGAAAAGACTAGCAATGTATAATTTTCCACCTGGATTCTCATTTCCTAGGCATTGGTCAAAGCCCTAAAGGAGCCTATTCAAGGCAATGACTCCATGGGAGTGAGGAGAAATGGCTCCAAGAGGGAAAGTAACCCTTCCCAGTGTCAGGGGACAGTTGGAGAGATTGCCTCTTTGCAGCATAGTTCCCAAAGCCCTGGAAAGAACAGCTTCCTGAGATGCCTTTCTTGAATTTAAGAGAATCTGTCTCATCCTTGCTGACTGTTCCAAGAGAAACAGACTTGAAAAGGACCATGCTTTCTATTTTGTAGATGCATTTCCTAATTGCTCTTGCATGAGGCTGTGGCAGTATACTCCTCCTTTTCTTTCTTTTCCTTTTGGAATTCCTCCTGACTTCTAGGGGTGAGGAGGTGGCATAGGGAAGAGAAAAGAGGAAAGGATTGTGTTCATGTAGCAAAGGCTGCATGATGCCTTGGAAAGCTGGTGAGGCTTCAAACACACATGTCTTCTCAGCTACTAGGGGAGTGGAATATTTACATACAAAGAACATTCACATTTGCCTGTTCTTCAGTTTGCTTTTGGGTGGGGGCTGATGGAAAAAAGGGACAGAAATGGGAGTGAGGTATGGCATGTTTGTCCACCAAAAATGGAATGCTTCTCAACTCTGGAACTCCAGAGCTATTTTCTTATGTGTAAAAGTCAACTTGTAATATCCCCAAACATCAACTCCTCTTCCTGTATTTCAGATTTTGATTCATGGCACAGAGATCTACACAAGTGCCCAAGGTTTCCTTTCTTCTCTCTCCCTCACTACTCACACATCCGGTTGGACAACAAATCATGTTGACACTAGCTCCTCAGCTGAACCTCAAGAATCATTTCCCTCCAGTTCAGACTCCCTGACCCTGTCTTAATTTTGAAGAGGTAATTTCTCCTGACAACTTCTAGTATATCTATATTATTATATATGCTAGTATATGTTTAGTATATTAGTTCCTTGCCTTAAAACTTCTCTTGCTTCCAAGCCATATTGTCACACTTATCTTTCCAAAACACATATATTCATTGTCACTCCTTTGCTTACAAACTTTTGCCACATCCCCATTCTCTGCAAGATAAAGTCCTAATCCCTTAATATGGTGCATGCTGCTTTCCTGTTCCCAGATGTTGACTTCCTGGCCTCATGCCCCTGCCACTCCTTTCTTCTTTCCACTTTTCCACCAAATCTTATGTGCTCCAGCCACAAGAAATGCCTGCCTTTCCCTGATTGTACCCCCATGGTTTTCTTATGCTGTTTCCTCACCTGAAAACCTTTTTCACTCCTTGTCAACTAGGTAAAATCCTTGCAGACCCAGTTCTAATATGAGTTCCTGGAGTGCTTCTCCTTCAACGTGTTCAGGTTGGCTCTGGGCTCCCAGAGCAGTTTACACAAGCCTTTCTTCTTTCTTGCGTCATAATGTTTAGTTAAATGTATTTGAGAGCATAAACTCTCAAGAGCAGGGACTGTGCAGATTCATAGTAGATATTCAGTTAAGTTTGAATGATTGAGTCTATATCACAATTCAAATTCCAAAGACACAGGGAATTTTTTTCCCCTATGTATATCTTTTTTTTTTTTTTTTTTCCTTTTGAGATGGGTAGTTTGTGCTTAGGCAGCTCCTAATGCTTCTTTTCTTACTTTCCCTATTTTCTAATTTCTCTACCCTTTCCTTTAGCTGTTAATCACTCCCCTCACCTCTTGCCATGATTTTCTCGCTTCCTGGCCATTAAGACAACACTCTTCTCTGGGAGAGCTCCCCATGGTCTCCTTTCTAGAGGGAATGTCAGGAAGACAAAGCAGGGCACACCCCAAGAGGGGAGGGCGGTCCTGCATCAATGGTCTATTTGCAGCCAAACCTAAATGCAAACCATGCTGCCAACGGGGAGGCTGGAATCCACTCAAGTGGAATCAGATCTAGAGACACAGACATGCCTAGAGAAAGGAGAAAGAGACATCAGTGTCAAAACCAGAGGCCTCAAGGCCAGGCCTGGGCGTAGAGGTTTCTCCTCACCTTTTTCACATAGGTGGAGAAGAGAAGGTCATTATGGTATCACTGAAAGACAAGACTGGACATGGGTGGAGAGATGGATGGGAGGAGCGGCAGGGGAACAATACATTGGACATTTTCTAGCCCAAGCACAGGCTGTGTAGTCCAGGAGGCAGTCAAGAGATACTTCTGGGATGGACTGGGTTGACTGGCTGGGGATCTGGTTGTAACTATTAATGATGCCAGGATCCCACTTTTCAGCAGTTGTGATTCTTTGGGTTGCTGAGGCAAATTAAAACGAGACCCAAGCACCATCTTGTGGAATCTTAGGGCGGATTTATGAAGGGAATGGCACCTGTCATACCAAGGGAGCTAGTATGGAAATTTCCCTTGTAGCTTCAGAAAGGACATTGTGTGAACAAAGCTTACAGAATAAGATAGAAAGTCCCCACCTTCATGTTCACAGGCAGTGCAGCTGCCGACTGCTCCATCTCTGCTATGACAGGGAAGGGAGAACCATAGCAGGAGAGATGGGGTGAGTCAGTTACCACTGAGACCCTCATTCTGCTAGCAGAGATGTTTGCCAGGGAGGTCCCCTGATGAGCTCTTGGCATCTCATTACCATTTTCAAATGAGCATGGAGGAATCTGGGCTTTACCAGACATGTTGGTTGTGGGTTTTCCCATATCCAGGAGTGTTGAGTCAGCTCCTTAGTGCCTGGAATTCTACAGACTCTGAATGTCAACTAGGGAAAAGGCGAATGCTCTACCATAAGCAGAGCGCAGCTTGTCACTGGTAATTAAGAGATAAGGTAATTTGAGAGAGAAGGTAATTCACGGTACCAAGGGGCAAAAACACTGCTAATTCTCAGACTCCAAAAGCTTAGGTGGGGAGGCCAGAATCCCCTCCTCTCTACTCAGTTCCTACTAAGGCTGCTGTAGGTGTATGTACCCTACATCATTTTACAAGTGGATAGATGTAAAAATTCATTCCATTCTGAACCCTAAAATCCCAACTCAATATACCTCAGTGCTCAGCTCCCCTGGAGTCTCGAAGACACGGTCAGGTTTCAGCACAATTCTGTGCCCTGGGGCAGGCTTCCGCTGTGTCATCAGGTTCACAAACAAACCAGACACAGTGGTTTTCAAGGGCTTTTCCCACATCCAGTTCTCCTGCTGGAAATTGCTCTTACTGAGCACTAGCTCTGTTCAGAAACATGGCCCTGCTCGATTTCCATGGTTGCCACAAGCTTCCTTATAGAGTTTTCTCCAGAGCAGAAAAGCATTTTCTGCAGGTGATTTTCCCCTTTCTGTTGTAATTCCAAGTCTCTCTTCCACCCCGCCCCCAACTCTTCATTTTCCGGTAACTGCCAAGAAAAACCTCTCTCTGATCCTGCTGTTACCACACCTCATGGAGCCGGCTTTGGCCAGCAATTGTGATGCTCCTGACAGCGTTTCCATTGTCAGCTCTTTTAAATCCCAGCATCTGCAGCCCGTTTTCTCTCTGCGGTATGGTTTTGCTTCCCTGACATGCTGCCTCTGCTAACAACTGCTCCAGTTTCTCTACTGCTGGTGCTGTGGCTTCTCCTGTCTGTCTGGGCCCAGTCACTCCTGGTGGGGGACAGGGGTTGGTTGAACAAGTAGAATAGTGGAATGGGTTCAAGTCACCACCTGTCACTTCCTAGCTGGGATACACTGGGAAGTTAATTCACCTCACTAAACCCCAGTCTCCTTATCTGTAAGAAGAGGGTTGTTGTAAAGGTGGAATGAGATAATCCAGTGCTTAACACAGGGTCCAGCCAGAGTAGATAAATAATCTATTTATATGAGGTAGGGTAGGTTGCCTGAGGGCTAGCATCCCTGCATCCCACATCTGTAAAGGTCAGATAAAACCTCTTAGAAATCAAAACATTAAATCCCAAGAAAACCTTTCTGTTTTCAAGGAATCCTAACAAGTATCTTCTGATATAGTTTGGATATTTGTCCCCACTCAAATCTCATGTTGAATTGTAATCCCCAGTGGAAGTAGGGCCTGCTGGGAGGTGTTTGGATCATGGGGGCAGATCCCCCACGATTTGGTGCTGTTTTCCCCAATAATGAGTTCTTGCAAGATCTGGTCATTTAAAAGGGCGTGGTATCTCCCCCACCTCTCTTGCTCTCTCACTCTCATGCTCTCTCTCTCTCTCTCCCCCTTCCTCTCCCTCCTTTCTCTCTCTCCCTCTTCCTCTCTCTCCCCAACTCCCTTTCTCTCTCCTGCTTTGCCATGTGACATGCCTGCTCCTTCTTTACCTTCTGCCATGATTGTGAGCTTCCTGAGGCCTCCCTAGAAGCCTAGCAGATGCCAGCACCGAGCATCCTGTAAAGACCACAAAAACCATGATCCAGTTAACCCACATGCCCCTTCGCAGTGAATCTCTGCTCTGTCCCTCCACAGATCAGCTACACAGTTCTGATTTCTGAACACCATAGATCACTGCCTGTTTTGGTTTACATCCTCTCTGTGCCTGGCTTCTTTGGCTGAGCAAAGTGCTTTTGAAAGTCATTCATGTTGTTGATGGATCAGTTGTTTGTCCCTTTTTATCTCAGAATATGTTATTGTATAAATATACAGTTGGCCCTTTTTATCTGTGGGTTCCACATTCACGGATTCAACCAACCACGGTAGAAAATATCTGAAAAAAATTACATCTGTATGGAACATATACAGACTTTTTTGGTCGTGATTCCCTAAATGATACAGTATAACCACTATTTATGTAGCATTTATATTAGGTACTGTAAGCATTAGCTATTATAAGTAATCTAGAGATGGTTTAAATTATATGAGAGGATGTGCATAGGTTATATGCAAATATGATGCCACTTTATATCAGGGACTTGGGCATCTGTGGATTTTGGTATCTGCAGGAGGCCCTGGAACAAATCCCTCATGGATACTGAGGTACAACTATATTGCATTTTGCTTATTCATTCTCCTTTTGATAGAGATTTAGGTTGTTACTAATTTAGAGCTATGAATAAATTGCTATGAACACTTTATAGTTCTTTTTGTGGATATATGTTTTAATTTCCCTTATGTAAATACCTAGAAGAAGAATTTCTGGGTCATATAATTGATAGGTGCTTAATTAGAAACTGTCAGCAGTTTTCCAAAGTGATTGAACCATTTTAGATTCCCACCAATAATGTTTGAGAGTTCTAGTTGCTTCATATCTTTGCCATCATTTGGTGGTGTTAGCCTTTTAAATTTTAGCCATTCTGGTGAGTGTGAAGTAGTATCTCATTGGGGTTTTAATTTATATTGCCTTGATAATGAAGGATGTTGGACACACTTTCATGTTGTTATTGAATATCTTCATTTCTGAAGTGTCTATTTGCATCTTTTGTCCATTTATAAAAAACTGGGTTGTCTCTTTATTGTTGAGTTGCAAGAGTTCTTCATGTATTTTGGGCAAAAGCTCATTATCAAACATACGTATTGTGAATATTTTATCCCAATCTATGCTTTGCTTTTAAGTTATCATAATGGTATTTTACATGAACATAAACTTTATATTGAAGTTTTTAATTCTGATGAAATTCATATGGTCGTTGTTTTCTGTATGTAGAAAAGATTTGCTCATCCCAAGTCAAGATGTTCTCCCATGTTTTTTCTTAGCAGCTTTATGATCTGAGTTTTTCTGTTTATGTTAGTGATCCATTTAGGATGGTTTTTATATGTGATGTTGTAGGAAAGAAAAAATATATGTATTGTTAACCCTCATATGTTCTTAGCTGAGACATTCTTCTGAAAACAAAAGTCAGATTAACAAGAGAAAAACCTGCAGAAGTCTATTGACACATGCTGTGCTCGTCATGCAGGACAAGCCTCAGTTCAAAAGTATCCCTGCCAAGGCAGCATCTCAGGAGCCTTGCCTAAACAGTATTTTAACAAACAGTCATAAATTCTGCAGTGACAAGACAAAGGAGAGGACAGTTTCCGTCTTTAAAAGGCAGGAAAATGTGGGAAGTAAAATCTGTTCCCAGATTTATCTGGTGCCTGCTGGTATCTTCTCTGGGCTGATAAGCAAGTGCAGCCTTCAGCAAGGAAGGATTTCCCTTCTGCCATCAGGCAAGTACAGGCTAAGGCAGAGTGTTCCCTCTGTGTTTACAGTGTCTTTAACTTAACAATCCTCCCCATTTTGGGGAGAAATATTTTGGTTTCCTTTAATGTGAAATAGAGGCCAAGACATTCATTTTTCCACATGAAAATCTAGTTGTTGCATTTCCATTTGTTAAAGAAAACTTTGTTTCTCCTCACTGAATAGCTGTGACATATTTTTAAAAAATCAATTGCCTATATAAGTGTGAATTTATCTCTGGACCCTTTAGTGTGTTTTATTGATATATTTATTTATTTATCCTATGCGAATACCACACCTACTTGATTATTGTAACTTTACACTACATTTTGAAATCAAGTTTTATAAAATTCTCTACTCTTGTTTTTTTTTTTTTTTTAGCAAGATTTATCCTTTTCCAGACTTTTGTAATTCCATATAAATTTTAGAATGGGCTTATCAATTTCTAAAAAACAAATGCCTGGTAGAATTTTGACTGAGATTGTGTTGAATGTAGAGATCAATTTGGGGAAAATATGAACATTGTATAACTCTCTGTTTAGGTCTTCTTTAGTTTCTCTCAGCAACGTTTGTTCAGTTTTATACCTGTTTAAGGCAGGAGGGTAAGACCGATACCCATTACTCCATCATGACCATAGCCAGAAACAAATTGCTGATTCTTATACTTTAAACTCTACTCTTGGATTTACCTCTCATAATGGCTTCATCAGTGTCTACAAAAATGCAACCTGCTTGCAAAGGGAGTTTCATTCAGAGAAGTGAGGCTTTCAGGGGCCTTAGAAAACCTTGCTCTACTCAGACAGAAGGTTAGATTCTATTAGTTCAACTTCAATGTTGCAACAACAGTTGCTATGAGCCATGTATCCTAGCTATAGTAAACCGCAGAGTGATCATTTCTCAATGAGAACACTCTATCCAGCCCCAGACAATGTATCCATCCCATTTGGACAAGTATTTTGGTTGGAATCCTGGTGTTTCTCTCTCAATATTTTAGATTCTCAAAGTTTCTCTCTGAATGTGACATACCCAAGTAAACTTTTAAAATATAAATCAGATCATGTCATTCCTAGGATTAAAATTCTCTTATGGTTCCTGTTTGTTATCTATTGCTGTATTACAAACCATCCCCAAACTTAGATGCTTGAAACAGCCAATTATTATTTATCATAATTCTGTGGATCAGCAATATAGATTGGGCTTAGCTGGGCAGTTCTTCCATGTGGTCACTTACTATTTAGTAGTTCAGTTGGGGATTTCTTACATAATGGCAGAAGTGTTTCAAGAGGTGAAGGTAGAAGCTATAGGAACTCTTGAGGCTGAGCCTTTGGAATTAACATATTGCTTTTGACATTCTGAGGTCAAAGCTAGCCACAAGCCTAGTCCAGATGGCAGAGCTGGGAAAATAGAGTCCAGCTCTTGAAGGGAAAAGCTGCAAAATATTGTGCCATTTTTTTTCCATTTCTCACAGCTTTCCATTGTCCTTAGAATAAAGTTTAATAATAAATTTAAAATTAATGATCAAAATTTTGAAATAAAGTTCAAAATGGCCCTACATAGTCTAGCACCTGCCTCTCTATCTGAATTGACCTGTTATCAATCTCTCATTGGCTCACTAAAAATAAACAGTTGCACTCCGTTTGGGACCTTCTTATTTTCTGTTCCCTCTGCTTGGAATGCTCTTCTCTCAGATCTTTGCAAAGTTCAATTCCATTTTGTAATTTAGTCCAAATGTCAGCTCCTCAAAGAGATCTTCTTCCCTGAGCCCTTCTCCCAGTCACTCCTTACCAGCTTACCCTGTTTTGTTTTCATATAGCACTTAACAACATCAGAAATTATTTTATTAATCCACTCATTCATTGCCCATTTTCTTACCAGAATTTGGATACTATGAGAGCATGGTCATCAACTTTTTAGGCCATCTCTGTATCCCCAGTGCCTATAATAGTGCCTGACACTAAGTAGATGCTCTGTAATGATTTGTTGAATCAGTTAACATTGCAGTCTTCATCTTTATAGCTTTTGAAAATCCATATCGTCTTAGAAAATAGGACAAGAGTGGGTGGAAATATGAATCTCTGTATACAAAACTAGGATTAAAAAAACCTGTAGGCTCTTTTCCTGCAATCAGTATGCATTGCCACCAAATGGCAGTAAGTGCCCTGTTGGGCATTCTATCAGGAAAGATTTTTTCCTGAGATTCACATTTTGTTATTTTCCCAAGTCCATGCTAACAAATTTATAATTAATTATTAATTACACAACATACTTTAAAAATTGCTGACTTGAAAGAACAATAAACAATAAAGCTGTTTATTCGTTAAAAATAAACACTTAGAGAAACATTTTGTTAACTCCTTACATATTTGTTACTAATCATCATTAAATCTAAATCCTCCCACATAGCCATATTCTGATTTAAATGTTCTTTCTAATTTGACGTGAAGGCCTCGAGGCTGATGTGGGGAGCTGGACCTTCAGGCTAGATTTATATTGCAAAGCTTTGTGGCTTCTCTCAGCTGTTAGCTCTAGCCTCATTTAGAGCCTGCTGATGACTTAGTTCCTCCTGGGTTTCAACTCCTTTTCCTCAACAGTAGCTCTTTTACTTCTCTTCCCTAAATCAAAATTAGAAACAGAGAGAAAAAACACCTATTTCTTTATTCTGAAAGCATAGGTCTGCCTCAGATTCTTTCTAATACAAAGAAAGCAATTTCTACTTCTCCTTAAATAAGAGCCAAATATCTCCCTTCATTCAGTTTTCTCATTGGGAATTCTTTAAACTACTGATTGTATACAATAGGACTTATCTTAGCGAAACCACAGCAATGGTTTCACAAGAGGCAGCTTATACGAACTGTTTTCATGCTAAGAATTCCTCAGAAACTCTTTTTCTAAAGGAAAAGATAAGCTCTTAAGCAGAAAAATGAAGCAACATTTATACATATCTTCTGATTGGGCATTTCAGCTTTTCTGCACAGCTCTGCTGAAGAATGCCAGCTCCAGAGGGTGGACCTCATGAGTCAGCAGTAGGGATCCAGCTGTGAATCATGTTAAGATCTTAAGATCTCCAGGAACAAATCCTTTCCTTGGCTCACACTTTTTCACCAGGCTTGTCAGGGATGCAATAAATGCTACAGGGATGATCCAGACTCTTGGCATTCCATGGCACAGCTGCTTGATCCAACCTAAAGGATAACTTTTTTCTTCTTTCTGTGAGAATAGCCCATTCATATTTTTTGCATATTGCTAATAAAATCCAATCACCCTTAAATATCTTTTAGAATATAAATGCAATCAATACGTATTAAGCTAATGTTTTTGTGTAGTGAATATTCATTGAATGAATGAAAATTGCCACACATGTAATCCCAGCACTTTGGGAGGCCGAGGTGGGCGGATCACGAGGTCAGGAGATCGAGATCATCCTGGCTAACATGGTGAAATCCGGTCTGTACTAAAAATAGAAAAAAGTTAGCCAGACGTGGTGGTGGGCGCCTATAGTCTGAGCTGCTGGGGAGGCTGAGGCAGGAGAATCGCATGAACCTGGGAGGCAGAGCTTGCAGTGAGCCGAGATCACACCACTGCACTCCAGCATATGTGACAGAGCAAGGCTCCATCTCAAAAAAAAAAAAAAGGAAGAAAATAGCCACACAGAGTTTACAGTCTATAAATGTGTTAATTTACATCAGTGTCTTCTGCTCTTTTTGGGTTACACGACACATATGTTAAAAAAGGTAAACAACCCCCTAAAATATATGTGTATTTGCATAGGTTATTCAGATGTATCAATGTTTTATATATGTGAAAATATACACAAAAATGTAAATTATAAAGGATAAGATAAAAAAGAAACAATGCTTTTTAAGTAATTGTGTTATTAATGATAAAACGTTATTCTCACTAAACCCTTTTTACACATTATTAATATTCGTGAGAACAATGCACTTGTAAATACTTTATGTTTTCAAATCTTGCTTTAGGACTTTGTAGTATACTCATTGGAGGGTCCAGTTCTAAGTTGGGTTTGTTCGCTTGCTTGATTTTAATTTCCATCAGAGGGAAAAAAGATCCTTCATAGATTCATATGGAAGGCATGCACCATTGGTCTCTCTTACTAAATTATAGTATTCACTATTGTCATGCTCAGGGTCAGGTTCCAGCCCATGCTGAAGTTTGAGGGAGTGCGTAGATGAGCAGAAAGAACACTTAGGTGGCCATAGGCGGGTGAAAGATGATTTTATTCAGCAGCAGCTGTCATCAACAGCTTTCTCACTCTGTCCATCCTGTTTCAGCTGCTTAGTCCGGTGGCTCCCACACACACAGCTGCATGGCTGGCTCTCCCTTGCCTTCAGGGTCAGCAGCTTAACTCTTTCTCTGGGCACAAGCGAGCTGAGCTGTGTCCTGGCCTCTGCTCTGTCTGTCTGCAAAGATGGACAGCTCTGATTGTCTCTCTCTTTCTCTGGGTGCCAGTGCACATGTACAGTGTCAGCAGGGCAATTATACCTTTTACAGACAATAGTGACTTAGAGCCAAGAGATGGCTTTCCTCTGTTATGGCTACATGGCTGTGATAACAAGTGGAGTTATACACCTGTGCTCTAAACTCGCTGAGTCACTCTGGATGTTTACCTCGGCCTGTCCTTGACCAAAGCACAGCCATGTTCCTTACAATTATTCAATCTTATTCACCAATTATGCAAAAGTATTTGTGAAAATTCAGCTAACATTTTCTGTATTCTCTGATACCAAATTAGTTTTCTTGCAAAGAAATTAGAAGTTGATGTTTTTACATTTTTAGCAAATGTGTTCAAAGTTCACTATGTAAATGACTTAAATATTAGGAAATTCAGTCTCCAAGATTTTTAGTGTGAAAATATGAAAGTTTTTGTGGGTGGTGCTTTGTCATTTCAACAAAAACTCATCATAATGAAAACATCTGTTTTCACAATGCTCTCAATAGCACAAAGCTTTTGGAAGAGCAGTTACTTTCCCATTCATTGTTAAATTGCCTCTTTTACATAAAGAAATAGATGAGATGTATTTATTTATTTCCTGCTAGATAGAATTCTACCAACAACTATTTGTCATTATTTAAAAGGTCAGAAATTGGAAAATATTGTATTTTTGTGAAAGCAAAATTAGCAGCACATCTTCTTATATGACAGCTCTTTAGGACGTGGACACAAGATGACCAGCAAAGCTCTCTGTGAAAATGCTTTGCATGATCCATACCAAATAACCTGAAGATTTTATTATATTGTCAATGATCTTATTCTTATAAAGTGAATACCAACCCTAACATTTTGTATTTCTTTATGTTGTCACTATTCCAAGTGCAGTTCATGGACCAGCGGTGTCGGCATCGCCTGGGAACTTGTTAGAAATGCAGAATCCCAGGACAGGCCAGCCCTCCTGAATGACAATCTGCATTTTAACAAGATCCCCAGGTGAAACATATGCACTTTCAGGTTTGCGAGTACTGCCCTATGAAATTCTGCCTTCTACTTCTTTGCCACAGTAGCTTGTTAAGGAAAAATGAACTAAATGAATTTCACACATGGGATAACTCTGCAGCCTGACTTTGGAATCCTTTTTTTTCTCCAATCAAACCACCTGCTCCACTGGAGGTAATATTCAGTTTTCAAGATGTCATTTTCTGTGGAAAATATGTCTTCTTTCATGCCTCTTTTTTTTTTTTATTGACTCACGAAGTCAGTTCTTCTACAGTCATTATGGAAACAGAACCTAGCAATACCATTCATTTAGATAACATCTTTTCATCCCCAAGTCTTACAAACCTCCCACTCTTGTTCTAGACGCATTTCTTCTAACCTTCAACAATGTTTTCTATGCATCTTTTAATATCGTTGGCTGACAAAGTAATTCATTTCTGTGTGCAGCCATATTCTTTTCCACATCTGATTTCAGTTATTTTCACAATAGAAGGAAGAACTAGAAAAAAGATGTGTGGCCTTTTGCTTCTTCCAAGTAAGAAGGCTTTAAAGATGCTTCTTTATTGTAGTTTAGTAGCATTTTTAAAAACACTGGATTGGGTACCACATGACCTAGACTATTGCTGAGGCAATTGCAGAAGTTTGTATCTGGGTTCTGAATGCTTAAAGTTTTTTTTTTGTTTTGTTTTGTTTTGTTTTTAAGACCTTTATTAACAGGTGCTTGCAGTTTGTTGACTTTTTTGAAAAAATCAAGTTGTAAACTTTTATTACAAATTAAAAAGGAAGTTCTTAAAAATCTCAACTTGACCAGATATGAAACAATTTAAAAACCTTTAAAGGCGTATTCAGAAAAACCAGGCTTTTTTAAAAAACACGTTTGTTATTACCAAAAAGAGACGTCTTTAGGTAAAAATAATAAAAACCCCATGCTGCATAGATAATGCAGATCTATTTATCTGGTCAACGGGCAAAATGCAAGCATTTAAGGTCTTCAGCTCCAATCTTTTGTTCATTTCTTATTGCTGGAATTTCATTATTTCTTCTTGTTGGATGACTAAACCGGATGATGGTAGAGATGGTAAGCCGGCATTTACTCAAGCCCCGCCCTGCTCAGCCTCGGGAGCGGACGAATTCTCAGCTGGTGGATTGGCTGCTTTTGTCTCTTTGCCATCTTGTGGTTTAGGGTTTTCTGGGCGTCGGCGTCGGTAATTGAAGTTGCGGCGGTACCGACGTTGAGGTGGCTGCTGACCTTGGGTCTCATCTCCTTGATTTTCTTTATCTTCTTCATTGCCGTCCTCTCTAGGCTGTCTTTGGAGAGGAGGGCCTCTGCGGAATCGTGGTCTATATCCCCGATACATATTCTGCCTCACTGGTCTACCTTGTTCTCCTGCACCCTGGTTGTCAGCACCCTCCATCACTTCTCCCTGCACAGGAGGGTTGGAATACTGTGGTCGACGCCCATAGGGTCTCCGCATGTAGTAAGGTGGGAACCTTCGCCTGCGGTAGGGCCGGCGTTGTTGGGCCTGGCCTTCGGGAGCACTCTCCGATCCCTCGTTCTTTTCCCCACTCTCACTATTCTGGTAATTTTGCTGGTAATTGCGTGGAGGACCCCTAGGACGTGGATAGCGTCTATAATGGTTACGGTCTGCTGCATATTTACTGCCTTGAACTGGAACACCACCAGGACCTGTAACATTTGCTGCCTTCGCACCCTTTTCTCCTTCAACAACATCAAACTCCACAGTCTCTCCATCTCCTACACTGCGAAGGTACTTCCTGGGGTTATTCTTCTTCATGGCAGTGTGGTGTACAAATACATCTTCCTTGGTGTCGTTCCTGTGGATGAAACCATATCCGTTCCTTACATTGAACCATTTTACCGTTCCCAAAACCTTCGTTGCGATGACCTTTTTGTGCCCGCCGGCAGGCGCCGCCGATGTGAGGCCGCCCGGGCCACCGCTCCCTGCGCCGCTGCCGGTAGTGCCGGGCTTGGTGTCGGCGGCGCTGAGGGCGGGGGCGGCGGGCGGCTGCTGGGTCTCGGCCTCGCTGCTCATGGTTGCGGTGATGGTGACTGCGGCCGGCTGCGGCAGCTGCGGCTCCTCCCGGGGTGTGACGGTAACTAGGCCGGCGGCGGCGGTGGGGCTGCTCAGGGCTCTCTGGGGTCCGCTCTCCGCTCCCGCTACCGATCGAACTGAATGCTTAAAGTTTTTATGTCCTACCGGTTATGACAACTTCAGGTACAACGTGCACTTGGGACAGTTTAAAGATAGTTAATGATAGTGGATATAAATACGTATTTTAAATAGTAATCGTCTTCATCATTTCAATTTTTTCCCCTTTTAGCTGACTTCTCTGGAGGGATCACATCACCTCACCACTGTGTCACTTTGCAGTGTGGCTGACCAAGAGCTTGTTCTTGTGGTGGGCTGCTCATCAGCCCAGCCATTTCCCTGTTGTTTTTGGTCAGTGGGAGATTAGCAGACATGACACAAGAAGATGCTGCAGATGGGCTTGGGCATTGGAGCTTGTCCTCTTGCACCTATGCCATCACCATGAGGAAAACAAGCCTGGGCAAGTCTACCAATCCCAGGATGAGGCTGAGGGTCCTGTGTAGCAGATGAGCTGACAGCTGCTGGAGTCCCAGGTAAGCTGACCGCTGTGGAGTCCCAGACAGGTGAGTCCAGCCAAGATCAGTGGAGCCCCTTAGCCAACCCTCAGTTGATTCCAGTGGTGGGAGCAACAACATGTATCGGTGTACTTGCCTGGGTCTTTGTGGTTGTTAACTGGCACTAGGTCTGTTCTCCTGTCCTAGGCCAGCAAATCTCCCAACTGCTGTTTCTTTACAGGAAACTTTTAAAGCCATGTGTTAATTTTCTGACAGTTTAGTTAAAATTAGACACTATATTCCATCAATGCCCCTGAGGGGGAATACATCACACTACACTGAATTGAAAGAAGGGGGAGCAACTCATCTAGACCCCTGATTTATGTAAGCTCAAGATCCACAGGTGATAACCATGGACACCTTTGTACACTGAAGGTTTATAATTCGCAGTGCCGTGCTTTGGTGTTTCAGAAGCAGAGAGAGGTGTTTATAGAATGGTTCTGCCTGAAAATAGAGAGGAGGGAGAAGGGCAGGTGATGATAACTTTGGGGAATGTCTGAAGCGTATGGGGAAAGCACTCCCCATCACAGAATCACCATTCTGCTCCTTACCTTTGTGGTTTAGCCCTTGGAAACCTGGCTTCATTGTTCCACAAGCTCATTTCTTGCCCTTCCAAGTGTAATATGGATGTAAGCCAGAGCTGTCTTTTCCTCACTTTTGCAGACACTCCTGTCTCCCCACCCTGCTCTTTAAATTAAACTCTTTCACAGTCCAATAATCTTCTCTCATAAACAAGCTTTGGAGAGAACATTTTTTTTCTTTTGCCCAGGAGCAGATTCCACCAACTTCATGGAGGTGGTGAAGGGCTTTCCCCCTTTCAACAAAAGCAATAAAGCTGACTTTGCTGTCGTTAAGTTTTATAAGGTAATGCTGACCCTATCATGAAGTGTTCTCATCTAGGCTGACTTTGCTCATTAACCACAGTTGAGTGTTAACCTTTCTGGACATAAATAATACGGCAGCACCTTGATCTGCACGAAAGAGGAGTGAATGGCTAGGCCTTTGTCTTTTTCCCTTGGATTCTTACAAACTGCTTTTTCTTCTTGTGTTTGACAAAATGTCAAAGCTGTATTTCTCTTTATCTGTGTTAAGATATCTGTGACCTCATGCTCTCTGCCATTTAACTTTGCAATGTGTGGGTGGACTGACCTGACACTGGGCTCAGCCACATGATTTGCTTTGGCCAGTGGGAGATTAGCAGGCATGACACAAGAAGAGGCGGCAGATGGGCTTGGAAATTGTAGCTTGCTCTATTGCATCTCTGCCATTGCCATGAGAAAAAACAAGTCCAGGCAAGTCTACCCATCCCAGGATGAAGCTGAGGGTCTTGTGGAGATGAGGCTCATCCAGATCAGATGACAGCTGTGGAGTCCTATAGAGTTTAGTACAGCCAAGATCAGTGGAGCCAGTTAGCTGATTGTCAGTTGATTCCAGATGTGAGAGCATCAACACGTATTGGTGTACCTTCCTGGGGTTTTGCGGTTGTTTTTTAACTGGCACCAGGTCTGTCCTCCTGACAGGGTCAGTACCTCTCTCTGCACCCAGGACCCAGGCAAGCCCCCCATCTCACCTTCTCACATATGCCCCTCTAATCATCACCCCTTCTTCCTCCCATCTCATGAAACTTTGCCTCTCTATTGGCTAATTCTCATGAGCATTTGAATCACTTCAAGTCTCTTCTATCATTTAGTTTCTAATAATTTAGTTTCAAAATAATTGCCTTATATCCTGTCATTCTCCTCTGGCACTTATTGCCTCCTCTCCCCATGTCCTTCACATATGGAATCTTGAAAAAGTTGTTCGTACTCTAAATTTCACGTTTTCACCTTCCATTCACTCTGCAACTCACTGCAGCTGTATTTCCTCTTCCATTGTGCCACTGAAACTGCTTTTACCCAGGCCACCAATGATTTGTTTGCCATTGATGATAGTGGACACCTCCAGTAATTCTTTTAAAATTCCTCTTTCATTTTGTATGACCTCTTTGTAACATTTGACTCTGTTGACAAACCATTTGTTCCCAAAGCCTCTCTTCCCATGGCACCTCTGACAACACACTCTCCTAGGTCTTCTACTCCACTGATCCTCAGGCTGCCTCATGGGCTCCTCACCCTCATCCTATCTCTTTGATATTGGTTAGTTCCCTAGGGCTCTGTTCTAGGATCTCTTCTCCCCGTACCAAGGGTAATTTCATCCATACTTCATTGCCTACATTACCAAGAATAAGATGATAACTCCCAAATCTCTAAGTCCTGCCAGTTCCCTGTCCTGGGCTCCAGATACATATATCTAAGAGTTTATTGGATATCCCAAAGGCAAACATGAAATATCTAAAATTTAGTTCACCATTGTTTCCCTTAAACTCCCTCTTCCCCTTTTGTTCACTATCTCAGTAAGTGGTACCATTTCCCACCCAGTGGTATAACCCCAAATCCCTTTAGCTTCTTTCTTTCCTCCTCTTCCACATTCAACCCATGTCTGTGTCCTAATTTTACCTTCCTAGCATATCTTCAGTCTGTTCACTTCTTTCTATCCCATGTCAGGTACCTTAGTTCAGGCCACTCATATCCTTTGGCTTGATTATTTATTGCTTTATCAGACTCCCAACTTGCCTCCCGTGTCCACCTTTCCCTGTTCCAATCCATTTTGCACACTGCAGCCTATACCATCTGATATGGTTTGACTGTGTCTCCACCCATATCTCATCCTGAGTTGTAGTTCCCATCACCCCCATGTGTCATGGGAGGGACCTGGTGGGAGGTAATTGAATCATAGGGATAGTTACCTCCATGCTGTTCTCATGATAGTGAGTTCTCACAAGATCTGATGGTTTTATAAGGCCTTTCCCCCCTTTGGCTTGGGACTTCTCCTCGCTGCCGCCATGTAAAGAAGGACTTGTTTGCTTTCCCTTCCACCATGATTGTAAGTTTCCTGAGGCCTCCCCAGCCATGCTAAACTGTGAGCCAATTAAACCGCTTTCTTTTATAAATTATCCAGTCTCGGGTATGTTTTTATTTGCAGTGTGAGAACAGACAAATACACCATCTTTCTAAAATGGATATCTGATCACATCATCCCCCTGCTTAGAACCTTTTAAGGGTTTTCCATTTTCAAGAATCATACAAGGTTCTTTCTGATCTGGATCCCTGCTTACTTCTCCAGCTTTTACCTCTTGACATTCCCTTCCTTGAACTAATGGAAGCCATAAATAGCTGCTAGGAAGTTGCTGAAGGACACCCCATTTTCTCTCTCCTTGCAGATTTTTGTACCTCTAGCTCTATCTGCCTGGAACAACCCACACCCCAGCCTTGCCCTAGCAGGTCAGGTAGGAAGCGTTCCTGGTGCACTGGCACAATACCCCCTGCCTCCCTTTCCACTTATTCCATCCCTTTGTACTCAGTGGCCTCTTTCCTAGTCTATCATCTATGTGTGAGGTCCTCCAGGCAGGGATTGTGCCTTGGTTATCACTGCATTTTCAGGAGTCACCACATTTGGGAACATAGTAGGTGCTCAATAAACACTGGTTAACTGAGTGACTGAGAAAGGTAAATACATTAATGAATATGCACATGAACCATAGACTTGTCACCTGAAAGCTTCTCTACTTTGTATACTGTAGAGCTAAGACCTTTTAGTTTCTCAAAGATTTCCTCCTCTTGCTTATCACTTACAAATGGATTTTGTCCTTACTTTATTGGCACTATCTTTAGGTCCTATAAAACTGTCTTCAATTCTTTTTACTAGCTATCTCAGAGTAATAAGCTTCTCAAGTTTCCCCTGTCTCTAATGACTGCCATATGGGGACATGATACGCTAATGCTCACTTCAATAAGCTGAAGTTCTTGTTAAACAAACTGAACTACCTCCAGCTCACCTTCCATTTTAAAGGGCCCACTAAAATTGATTATGTGAAATAGGCTTTTAAAAAATATCCTCCTTAAGTAGAAAACATAAACAGGGGAGGACTGTTAGCTCAGAAAATGTAAGCCTATTTGGAGACCCAGTTTATTTCACTTGACTGAACAGGAGGTAATAGTGCCCATTGGCACAGTGCAGTCTGGACCTTTTTTTGTCCACATTAATGGATTCAGAGTTCTCGAAGATTCTGATAAAAAAAAATGGTTCCAGCTTCAGCTTTGAATGTCTTTGGGAGTGAGTGACTCACCTATGACATGGCACATTCATATGTCTATGTGATGGAGGTAACAGTGCACACAAGCACTGTAGCATGAAATGTTTTGTTCATTTGTGCCATGTTTCCTTAATACTAATAAACCAGAGTATCACAATTCTACATCTAAAGACTTATTTATGACTGCATAAAAGCTGTTGCTATCACAAGGATTGTATCAATTTACACAGACACAGACAGATACACACATACTTATATAATATTTATCATGTGAGTCTTCTGTGTACTATCTTCTAAGGCTATAAACAGTAAATAGCCTTAGACTGAGCATTTTTCTACACCCCCATTTGGGGTCATTTTAGGAAATGAGAGACCTGGGATCATAATCAAAAAAGAATCCAAGGCTGCAGTTCAGTTTCAAAATGGGGAAGACAGCTCTGATTCTCTAGCTTTTGTTAATAGACTTCTTGAACTGTGGTCATTCAGCCAGGCGGCTTCCTTGAACCTCGTTCACTGTGTCCACTGTCAGGATGAAATGCACTCTCTGAGGCCTGAAAACATAACCCAGACAGGGAATGCAGACAGATAGGCAGAGGAACATGGCATCACAGATTGCTGAAAGGGTGGTGGGGGGCTCACAGCAAATACAGCCCTAGGCAAGGTATCTGGAGGACAACCCAGGTGAGCTTCAACTGGCGATTTGGGGCCAGAAGCTGTCAACTGTTTTTGAAAGTTTTGATAGGTTTTTTTTTTTTTTTTGTGCCAGTTCTCTATTTTTTTTCTTTAAACAGAGAAACTAAACTATTATGGTATCAATAGGGTGAATCAAAGCTGTAGAAAAGCTTGTTAGGTAGCAGAGAGAAATGCCGAAATGAAAAATCATGGGCTACAGAAGAGAAGCGAAAATGAGTCTTAGAGCATGGGTCAGTTAGACTCAACCAAAGTCTCCTAACCTGCAGCCCAGCAAGTACATTACCTGCCTACCCACCTCCGCCCTGAGGTACAGGATCTGTCTGCGTAACCCTGCCAGACCTTTTGTTTTTAGTCTGAAGAAGCAGAGTTCAGTGTGCACAAAGCTCTGAATATTTTCTTTCCAACCCTAAAACTCATAAAAACATAGACAATGGGCTTTAAAAGGCAGTGGAGGCTGGGTATGGTGGCACATGCCTGTAATCCCAGCACTTTGGGAGGCTGAGGCAGGTGAATCACTTGAGGTCAGGAGTTCCAGACCAGCCTGGCCAACATGGTGAAACCCTGTCTCTACTAAAAATAGAAAAATTAGCTGGGTGTGGTGGCGGGCACCTGTAACCCCAGCTACTAGGGAAGCTGATGAAGAAGAATTGCTTGAACCTGGGAAGCAGAGGTTGCAGTGAGCTGAGATCGCACCACTGTACTCCAGCTTGGGTGACAGAGCAAGACTCTGTCTCAAAAAAAAGGCAGTGGAGTCTCCAAACTCTCATGATTCCATATCCCTATCAGTTAAAAATTGTATTTTTATTTATTAATACATTATAAGAATATACTAATATACTAACATAAGGTGCACATGATAAAGCATATATATAAAAATAGAGGCTAAGCAATGTATGAGATACAACATACAAAAGGAGGTATTTTCTTCCCATACGATAGGAGAGTGCTGGGAACAAAGGGAATATCAAGAGAGTGAGAAGCTGATAAATTCTTCCAAGAGGTGATTATAAATACAGAAGGTGAAAAATACAGTGGACTAGAAATCCTGAAAACTTTCCCATTCTAAAATAAACAGGCAAACAATAACAACTTAAAATGCGGAACAAAATGTTTTAAGAATTCAGAACTTTTGAGACAGTAGAGAAAGGCTCAGAATATGAAAATAAAGTGGCTGTGGAAGCCAACAGCTGCCCTCCAGGGGTTCCTTGGCCCCATCATCTTTTCTAGAGCCGTGGGTTTTTATGGCCATGGTGGGGCAGGTGTCCAGACAATGGCTCACCACCAGGTAGGGAATTGGAAGGGCAGGAATTCCCTACATGCTACACCCACTGGGAAAAAAAAAACACTAGGAAAAAATTCTGCTTCACAAGGGCACAAACAAAAAAATGTGGCTATTTTTGCTTTGGCCTTTGGAAGATGAAAAATCTCTTTTAAATATTTGTAACCACAAGCCTGTGCCCATACAGGTTTGGAGCTTAAACACTACCTATGTATACCAGAAAAACCCAGAGATATTAGTTAATGAGAAATTAATTCAAAGCAACCCAGTGTTGGAAGCACCCCTAGCATGTGGCAGAAGCAAATGCAAATCCTCTCTGGAGGAAAATCCTTCAACCAGACTCTTGGGATTCCCACAGATAAAAACCTGAGAAACAAGAAGATATGAAGGGCAGAGAAGTCAAACATGCGTCTAAGGGGAGTTCCAGAGAGAGAATATAGAAAATGGGGAGAAGCAATGTTTGAAGAATAAAGGCCAAGAATTTTCCAGATTTGGAACTGCAACAAATTCCAAGCACGATAATAAAAATAAATTTATACTGTTAACCAAAAATAAAATTCTAAGTCTCCCCACTGACTGAATGGAATCTCCTTGGCCAAGAGAGGCCATGATGGGAAGGGGGGCCTAGACATACCTCATTATACCCTCTTCCCTTAGGAGTTTAGGCACAACTGACCAGCACTAACATTAAAAGGGGGATCATAAGACTGAAAAAACAGATTCTTTGTGGCAATAAGATACCCAGCTCCAACCTAACTCTGGCGTAGCATCATATGACACATAGCAGGCCCTGAAGGAAATCAAAATATTTTACCCCAAAATACATTTCTTTGACATATTTTGAAATGGCCCTGCAAAGTTATCTCTTGTGGAGGAAATTTGCATACTGTAGAGAATCTCCTATACTTTCTTGGTCTTTTCCAAAGAGTCTGACACTTTAAGGTCCAGTAAGAGACATTTACCATCTATTCTCTCTGAAGTCTGTTGCTTAGAGGTGTCATCTATATAACAAGAACCTTGGCTTCCATAACCCCCTGCCCCATCTTAACTCAAGCATTTATTGATACTGACTTCAACTCTTCAGGCAAAGCTTAACTCTCTCAACCAATTGCCAATCAGGAAGCCCTCACTCTTCAAGATGTTCCACCTTTCTGGGCCGAACCAATGTCTATTTTACATGTATCGATTTATGTTTTTGCCAGTAACTTCTGTCTCCCTAAACTGTATAAAACCAAGCTATAACCCAATTGCTTTGGGCGCATGTTCTCAGAACCTCCGGAGGCTGTGTCATGGACCATGGTTCACATATGTGGCTCAGAATAAACCTCTTCAAGTATTTTACAGAGTTTAGCTTTTTCCATCAACAACATTTTGCCACATTGTAGTGAAACCTCTTTAATACCAAAGGCAAAGAGACGATCTTAAAAACAGCCAGAGAGGAAATTCAGATCCCAGCAACAGCAATTGACTGACTTTAGCCTCCTCAACAGCAGTAATGGAAGCCAGCAGGTGGAGGGATTCTATCTCCAAAGGCTGAGAGAAAATAACCACCCATCAAGAATCGTATACCCTGCAAAAATGTCTTTTGGAAATACAGGAAAAAAATATTGTTCAGGGAAACGTCAGTGGAGTTTGCCACCAACAGAACCTTCTTGAATAACCTTTTTATCTTGAGAGATCCCTCTTTCTTCTCAAAGAACAGTTCTTAATCACAATGATAGTCATAGAAACGTTAGAAATAATTCCTAATGAGGAGCATGTCCCTCCCCTGCTCCTCCCCTCATGCTTCCTTTCTATGTTAGTCCCCATCTTCTCAGAGCTACCTGGAGGGGATAGCTGTATTTCTTCTCTCTCCATTCTCTTATCTCCTTGCTGGAATGGCATTAAGGAGCTACTGACAGGTTGTTCTTTGCATTTCCTGAATGGGCTGTCTGCACCGGTTGTTAGAAATTAGACCCCACGGAGACATAAGTGAATCTCAGATATAAGCCCCCTTCCTGGGCCCCCAAGGAGGCAAGGCAAGACTTGCTCAGCTGACACTGAAAGAGAAGACTAATGTCCTTTGTTTTCCAACCAGTTTGATAGTCATCCACATTTACAGTAATTCAATTTACTTGTTACCATTTGGCATTTGGGAGCCACTAGTAGCGCTGTCAGGTAAAGTGAAAGAAAAGCGATGGGGAACGCCAGGAGGCATAATTAAAATGGAGTGCTAATGACTCTGCCCATCAAAAGGCCCCTGTCACTGTGCTCTGAGTGCAGCTCATTAAGCAGACCTGCCAGCTGGAGAGGAGCCGGAGCTCCTGCCCTCCTCACGGCCCAGCTGCCTGGGTAGCTCCCAGGCCCAGCGTGCCCAGTTTGTTGAGCGTTTTGTGGAGCCTGAGCTCTCGGCTGGTCCTCAGTGTCCCATCCTGAGCAGGTGTGGGGGTTCTGAAGTGAATCTGCCCAGGATGAAACCCTGCAGCATTCTGGAGGCTGTGGAGGTTGGACTGGCTTTTCTCAGGAGTCTTGAGCATCTGTGAAGGCAAACACTTAACCTCAGGATGGAGGAGGGGAGCTGACAGAGGTTCTAGCTTCAGCAAACAAGGAAGGCAAACCCAAGGTGACTTAGTAATTTTATGACTTTCAAATAATAGAGCCATTCCAATTTCCTTCACAGAGCATAGAAGGTCAGGCATGAAGGCTGCCTCATTTTCTTCTTAGAACACACCTGATGAGGCAGAGATTATTGGCATCCTTGCTTTATAGATGGGAGACACCGAGGGAGGAAGTCAAGGGACCAAGTTCCTGTGGCTAGTAAGCTCAAAGCCTTAGTCCTTTCTATGCAAAGACAGAGTTTCATCCAACAAACATGGTGCTTCTGGCCTGCAATATTGTCCAACAATATAAAAAATAGCATCAGTTACTATTTACTGAGCTCAACCCCTGTGCCAGGAATGGCTCTAAGGGTTTTACGTGCTAACTCATTTAATCCACACTGCAACCCCAGGGAGTAGGTACTATTTTTATTCCTATCCTATAAATTGGGAAGCTAAGGCCCTGAAAGGTGATGTTTCTTGCCCGAAACCTAGAGCTGGTAAAGTGGCTGGGATCAAACTCTCCAGAGTCTTTGCTCTTAATCCCTTTGGTAAGCATAGTATTCTTTCTCCCTTCCTTCTTCTCTCCTCCATCTTCCTTCTCCTCTGTCTCTAAATAAGGACCTGCTAAGTTCTGAAATTCTAAATACATATAAAAATGTAAATTGTTTCTTTTAATGTGCAGTGCTGCCATATAGTAGGCTGTCAATCTAGATTGGGTCTTTTACTTGTTTTTCTGTAGAGAGAAGGATCAGCACTGAGGCATCTGTATCCTAAACCTGTCGCTCCCTAAAGCCAATAGCATGAAGCTTTGCAGGTATTTTGTGACTATGGATAAAAAGATATCTGATGGTTGGGACATAACCTGGTGCTTGGCAGTATCAGCTGGGGCTGGAACTAATGAGCCACAGCCCCATTTCTGTGACCCAACCCAGGGTACTCTATTCTAGGGTGGGCATTTCCAAATATACCCAGGTGCGGAGCTCCTGCTGGCATCCCCATGGCCTGGACCAGTTTTAGTTCTGAAAGGGCCTGCCCAAATCTTTCCTCACCACACCTCCCAGAAAAGCAGGTGCACAAGTTGGCCAGCTGGCAGCCAAGGTGACTGTCCCCATGGTGTCACATGTGGGTTTTATTAAACTGCAGAGCACCAATGCTTTGTGACTAGCCAGACCTCAACAGCCTGCCTTTGTCACCTGTGTCACCAACTGTGTTTCACTTCCACAGCTTTATTAGGATGCGATGGCATCTTGCAATTGCTCCTTTGTTTGGGCCCATGGACTGGACCACATGTCTGAGGAGTCTCAGTCGATAGGTCTATCATATATTAACTACATGGAAACTGCCTTCCTTTTTAGCATTCAGCAAAGAAGAATGCAGGAGAAAGGAGATGCAACTCCCAATTCAACTTTGTTGTAGAGAATCAGGTCCAGGCACTGGTAGATTGCCTGGGCCAACAGAGCACAAGACAGAGGAGAGGAGAGAATGAGGAAAACAGAGATGTTTAGTGTGACTCTGGAATTCATCAAGAAAGGAATCAAAGCTGCCATTTGGGCAGGGGGAGGTAATAAAGTAATGAACTAAAATAGCTTTCATTCATCCCACTATCCAGACTCACTGTTGTCAATAGGTGGGGTCATCCCTGTGTTGGTTATTCTCTATTTGTTCCCCACCTCCACCCATGCCATTGCTTCCATCCGTGCTCTGCCCTTTTCTATACTACTGTTCCCCTAAAAGCTGCTCCTATAGACCCCATCACCCAGATCCCCTTGCACTCTGGCCTACAGTTGGTTTGGGACAATGGAAGCACCAGCAGGAGATCAGAAGATAGAAGGGGAGGAGGAGACCAGGGCATTTCTTGGTTGTCCCCTCCTTGCATCAGTGTCACCCCTCTAGCAGGGGCCGAGTGAGCCTGCCTCAGCGGCTACAGCTCTCATTGGGCTCTGGTAATGGCCTGGGGTGGCGATGGCTTTCCACTGTTAGTAGTTATTGGGTATCTCAACATGCAAAGGACTGTCAGCCTGTCCCACAAGACTTCTCAGGAGAGGAAGACATGAAGAAAATAGGAAAGACAAAGGGACGTACAGAGAGAAACTGGGAAACAGAGAGCAAGACAGAGCAGGAGAGAAACATACCTGATGGCATGATATGAGACCTCTCCTAGCTGCCCATTCTAGTCACATTTCTGAAAGATCTTTGAGACAGAACCTCCTATGCAAGGCTGATGGTTTTAAAAAGCAGCAGGGATCTTGCGTGGAAATTAAGAGGAGATGACCACATGGCCTTCAAGGGAGACCTGTTATTTTCAGTTTGGAAGTTACGCTAAGGCTGGCACTTATGCAGGAGCATCTCTCTCAAGTCTTTAGAAACTAATGAAGGATAAATAATAAAGCAAAGGTTCACCTTCCTTTGGCTGCTGCTGGGTCAGAACAATGTGGGCTGGAGCAGAGTGCTGGACAGCTGAGTTCTTGACCACCCTAACCTTAATTAGTCACAGACCCTGTAGAAATTCCTAAACTCCCAGTGACTCCAATTGCCTTTCCTGTAAGACGGAATTGAGATTTAACAAACAGCACATGAAACAACTACAAAGCACTACACCAGGGCTATCTTTTTATAAGTGTGGTATCTTGTCCAAGAACAGAGGTTCTTTTAACTGTTACAATTTATAGATTTTCCAACATGTTGGAGATTACAGCAATGAGAGTTCCATCAAGAAACATAATTCAATGAGGAGACTCTAATAAGAGCCTTCTTACAAAGGTGTGGGCAGGGTTAAGAGAAACAATAAGACATATTAAGGCACCAAGAACCTGCTAAGGGCGGAAGCCATTACCAGCCCTGTGCTTGTTACCAGGATCCTGTGAGAGCTGTGGTCACGGAGGAAGGGTCACTCGGGGTCACTCTGAACAAGGAACTTAGCCTATGTCAACAAAACCCAAAGGGATGAGAGATGGAAAATGCAACTACAAATCCTCTTTTGTTGTTTTTCTTTAAACTCGTTTTATTTATTTATTTATCTATTTATCTTTGAGACAGAGTTTTGCTCTTGTCACCCAGGCTGGAGAGCAATGGAGTGATCTCGGCTCACTGCAACCTCCACCTCCAGGGTTCAAGTGATTCTCCTGCCTCAGCCTCCTCAGTAACTGGGACTACAGGCCTGCACCACTATGCCTGGCTACTTTTTTGTATTTTTAGTAGAGGTGGCGTTTCACCATGTTGGCCAGGCTGGTCTCAAACTGCTGGCCTCAAGCGATCTGCCTGCCTCGGCCTCCCAAAGTGCTGAGATTACAGGCGTGAGCCACCACGCCTAGCCAACACCCCCCGCTTTTTTTTTTAGTTATTTTTATTTTTATTTATTTATGTTTTTTAAAATTATTATTATACTTGAAGTTTTAGGGTACATGTGCACAATGTGCAGGTTAGTTACATATGTATACATGTGCCATGTGGTGTGCTGCACCCATTAACTCCTCATTTAGCATTAGGTATATCTCCTCCCCCCTCCCCACAACCCACAACAGTCCCCGGTGTGTGGTGTTCCCCTTCCTGTGTCCATGTGTTCTCATTGTTCAATTCCCACCTATGAGTGAGAACATGCGGTGTTTGGTTTTTTTTCCTTGCGATAGTTTGCTGAGAATGATGGTTTCCAGTTTCATCCATGTCCCTACAAAGGACATGAACTCATCGTTTTTTATGGCTGCATAGTATTCCATGGTGTATATGTGCCACATTTTCTTAATCCAGTCTATCGTTCTTGGACATTTGGGTTGGTTCCAAGTCTTTGCTATTGTGAATAGTGTCGCAACAAACATACGTGTGCATGTGTCTTTATAGCAGCATGATTTATAATCCTTTGGGTATATACCCAGTAATGGGAAGGCTGGGTCAAATGGTATTTCTAGTTCTAGATCCCTGAGGAATCGCCACACTGACTTCCACAATGGTGAACCACAATGGTTCCACCAACAGTGTAAAAGTGTTCCTATTTCTCCACATCCTCTCCAGCACCTGTTGTTTCCTGACTTTTTAATGATTGCCATTCTAACTGGTGTGAGATGGTATCTCATTGTGGTTTTGATTTGCATTTCTCTGATGGCCAGTGATGATGAGCATTTTTTCATGTGTTTTTTGGCTGCATAAATGTCTTCTTTTCAGAAGTGTCTGTTCATATCCTTTGCCCACTTTTTGATGGGGTTGTTTGTTCTTTTCTTGTAAATTTGTTTGAATTCATTGTAGATTCTGGATATTAGCCCTTTGTCAGATGAGTAGGTTGTGAAAATTTTCTCCCATTTTGTAGGTTGCCTGTTCACTCTGATGGTAGTTTCTTTTGCTGTGCAGAAGCTCTTCAGTTTAATTAGATCCCATTTGTCAATTTTGGCTTTTGTTGCCATTGCTTTTGGTGTTTTAGACACGAAGTTCTTGCCCATGCCTATGTCCTGAATGGTATTGCCTAGGTTTTCTTCTAGGGTTTTTATGGTTTTAGGTCTAACATGTAAGTCTTTAATCCATCTTGAATTAATTTTTGTGTAAGGTGTAAGGAAGGGATCCAGTTTCAGCTTTCTACATATGGCTAGCCAGTTTTCCCAGCACCATTTATTAAATAGGGAATCCTTTTCCCATTGCTTGTTTTTTCTCAGGTTTGTCAAAGATCAGATAGTTGTAGATATGTGGTGTTATTTCTGAGGGCTCTGTTCTGTTCCATTGATCTATATCTCCGTTTTGGTACCAGTACCATGCTGTTTTGGTTACTGTAGCCTTGTAGTATAGTTTGAAGTCAGGTAGTGTGATGCCTCCAGCTTTGTTCTTTTGGCTTACGATTGACTTGGCGATGCAGGCTCTTTTTTGGTTCCTTATGAACTTTAAAGTAGTTTTTTCCAATTCTGAGAAGAAAGTCATTGGTAGCTTGATGAGGATGGCATTGAATCTATAAATTACCTTGGGCAGTATGGCCATTTTCACGATATTGATTCTTCCTACCCATGAGCATGGAATGTTCTTCCATTTGTTTGTATCCTCTTTTATTTCATTGAGCAGTGGTTTGTAGTTCTCCTTGAAGAGGTTCTTCATGTCCCTTGTAAGTTGGATTCCTAGGTATTTTATTCTCTTTGAAGCAATTGTGAATGGGAGTTCACTCATGATTTGGCTCTCTGTTTGTCTGTTATTGGTGTATAAGAATGCTTGTGATTTTTGTACATTGATTTTGTATCCTGAGACTTTGCTAAAGTTGCTTATCAGCTTAAGGAGATTTTGGGCTGAGACAATGGGGTTTTCTAGATATACAATCATGTCATCTGCAAACAGGGACAATTTGACTTCCTCTTTTCCTAAGTGAATACCCTTTATTTCCTTCTCCTGCCTAATTGCCCTGGCCAGAACTTCCAACACTATGTTGAATAGGAGTGGTGAGAGAGGGCATCCCTGTCTTGTGCCAGTTTTCAAAGGGAATGCTTCCAGTTTTTGCCCATTCAGTATGATATTGGCTGTGGGTTTGTCATAGACAGTTCTTATTATTTTGAGATATGTCCCATCAATACCTAATTTATTGAGAGTTTTTAGCATGAAGGGTTGTTGAATTTTGTCAAGGGCCTTTTCTGCATCTATTGAGATAATCGTGTGGTTTTTGTCTCTGGTTCTGTTTATATGCTGGATTACGTTTATTGATTTGCGTATGTTGAACCCGCCTTGCATCCCAGGGATGAAGCCCACTTGATCATGGTGGATAAGCTTTTTGATGTGCTGCTGGATTTGGTTTGCTAGTATTTTATTGAGGACTTTTGCATCAATATTCATCAAGGATATTGGTCTAAAATTCTCTTTTTTGGTTGTGTCTCTGCCAGGCTTTGGTATCAGGATGATGCTGGCCTCATAAATTGAGTTAGGGAGGATTCCCTCTTTTTCTATTGATTGGAATAGTTTCAGAAGGAATGGTACCAGCTCCTCCTTGTACCTCTGGTAGAATTCGGCTGTGAATCCATCTGGTCCTGGACTTTTTTTGGTTGGTAAGCTATTGATTATTGCCACAATTTCAGAGCCTGTTATTGGTCTATTCAGAGATTCAACTTCTTCCTGGTTTAGTCTTGGGAGGGTGTATGTGTCCAGGAATTTATCCATTTCTTCTAGATTTTCTAGTTTATTTGTGTAGAGGTGTTTGTAGTATTCTCTGATTGTAGTTTGTATTTCTGTGGGAACAGTGGTGATATCCTCTTTGTCATTTTTTATTGCGTCTATTTGATTCTTCTCTCTTTTCTTCTTTATTAGTCTTGCTAGTGGTCTATCAATTTTGTTGATCTTTTCAAAAAACCAGCTCCTGGATTCATTAATTTTTTGAAGGGTTTTTTGTGTCTCTGTTTCCTTCAGTTCTGCTCTGATTTTAGTTATTTCTTGCCTTCTGCTAGCTTTTGAATGTGTTTGCTCTTGCTTTTCTAGTGCTTTTAATTGTGACGTTAGGGTGTCAATTTTGGATCTTTCCTGCTTTCTCTTGTGGGCATTTAGTGCTATAAATTTCCCTCTACACACTGCTTCGAATGTGTCCCAGAGATTCTGGTATGTTGTGTCTTTGTTCTCGTTGGTTTCAAAGAACATCTTTATTTCTGCCTTCATTTCTTTATTTATCCAGTAGTCATTCAGGAGCAGGTTGTTCAGTTTCCACGTAGTTGAGTGGTTTTGAGTGAGTTTCTTAGTCCTGAGCTCTAGTTTGATTGCACTGTGGTCTGAGAGACAGTTTGTTATAATTTCTGTTCTTTCACATTTACTGAGAAGTGCTTTACTTCCAACTATGTGGTCAATTTTGGAATAGGTGTGGTGTGGTGCTAAAAAAAATGTATATTCTGTTGATGTGGGGTGGAGAGTTCTGTAGATGTCTATTAGGTCTGCTTGGTGCAGAGCTGAGTTCAATTCGTGTGTATCCTTTTTAACTTTCTGTCTCGTTGATCTGTCTAATGTTGACAGTTAAACATTAATAATTATGGGTGTTAAAGTCTCCCATTATTATTGTGTGGGAGTCTAAGTCTTTTTGTAGGTCACTCAGGACTTGCATTATGAATCTGGGTGCTCCTGTATTGGGTGCATGTATATTTAGGATAGTTAGCTCTTCTTGTTGAATTGATCCCTTTACCATTATGTAATGGCCTTCTTTGTCTCTTTTGATCTTTGTTGGTTTAAAGTCTGTTTTATCAGAGACTAGGATTGCAACCCCTGCCTTTTTTTGTTTTCCATTTGCTTGGTAGATCCTCCTCCATCCCTTTATTTGAGCCTATGGGTGTCTCTGCATGTGAGACAGGTCTCCTGAATACAGCACACTGATGGGTCTTGACTCTTTATGCAATTTGCCAGTCTGTGTCTTTTAATTGGAGCATTTAGCCCATTTACATTTAAAGTTAATATTGTTATGTGTGTATTTGATCCTGTCATTATGATGTTAGCTGGCTATTTTGCTCATTAGTTCATGCAGTTTCTTCCTAGCCTTGATGGTCTTTACAATTTGGCATGTTTTTGCAGTGGCTGGTACCGGTTGTTCCTTTCCATGTTTAGTGCTTCCTTCAGGAGCTCTTTTAGGGCAGGCCTGGTGGTGACAAAATCTCTCAGCATTTGCTTGTCTGTAAAGTATTTTATTTCTCCTTCACTTATGAAGCTTAGTTTGGCTGGGTATGAAATTCTGGGTTGAAAATTCTTTTCTTTAAGAATGTTGAATATTGGCCCCCACTGTCTTCTGGCTTGTAGAGTTTCTGCCCAGAGATCTGCTGTTAGTCTGATGGGCTTCCCTTTGTGGGTAACCCGACCTTTCTCTCTGGCTGCCCTTAACATTTTTTCCTCCATTTCAACTTTGGTGAATCTGGCAATTATGTGTCTTGGAGTTGCTCTTCTCAAGGAGTATCTTTGTGGCGTTCTCTGTATTTCCTGAATCTGAATGTTGGCCTGCCTTGCTAGATTGGGGAAGTTCTCCTGGATAATATCCTGCAGAGTGTTTTCCAACTTGGTTCCATTCTCCCCGTCACTTTAAGGTACACCAATCAGACGTAGATTTGGTCTTTTCACATAGTCCCACATTTCTTGGAGGCTTTGTTCGTTTCTTTTTATTCTTTTTTCTCTAAACTTCCCTTCTCGCTTCATTTCATTCATTTCGTCTTCCATCACTGATACCCTTTCTTTCAGTTGATTGCATCGGCTCCTGAGGCTTCTGCATTCTTCACGTAGTTCTCGAGCCTTGGCTTTCTGCTCCATCAGCTCCTTTAAGGACTTCTCTGCGTTGGTTTTTCTAGTTATCCATTTGTCTAATTTTTTTCACAGTTTTTAACTTCTTTGCCATTGGTTTGAATTTCCTCCTGTAGCTTGGAGTAGTTTGATTGTCTGAAGCCTTCTTCTCTCAGCTCATCAAAGTCATTCTCCATCCAGCTTTGTTCCATTGCTGGTGAGGAGCTGCTCTCCTTTGGAGGAGGAGAGGTGCTCTGCTTTTTAGAGTTTCCAGTTTTTCTGCTCTGTTTTTTCCCCATCTTTGTGGTTTAACTACCTTTGGTCTTTGATGATGGTGATGTACAGATGGGGTTTTGGTGTGGATGTCCTTTCTGTTTGTTAGTTTTCCTTCTAACAGACAGGACCCTTAGCTGCAGGAGTTTGCTAGAGGTCCACTCCAGACCCTGTTTGCCTGGGTATCAGCAGTGGTGGATGCAGAACAGCGGTGGCTGTAGGACAGTGGATCTTGGTGAACCGCAAATGCTGCTGCCTGATCATTCTTCTGGAAGTTTTGTCTCAGAGGAGTACCCGACCGTGTGAGGTGTCAGTCTGCCCCTACTGGGGGATGCCTCCCAGTTAGTCTGCTCGGGGGTCAAGGACCCACTTGAGGAGGCAGTCTGCCTGTTCTCAGATCTCCAGCTTTGTGCTGGGAGAACCACTACTCTCTTCAAAGCTGTCAGACAGGGACATTTAAGTCTGTAGAGGTTACTGCTGTCTTTTTGTTTGTCTGTGCCCTGCCCCCAGAGGTGGAGCCTACAGAGGCAGGCAGGCCTCCTTGCGCTGTTGTGGGCTCCACCCAGTTCGAGCTTCCCAGCTGCTTTGTTTACCTAATCAAGCCTGGGCAATGGCCGGCGCCCCTCCCCCAGCCTCGCTGCCACCTTGCTGTTTCATCTCAGACTGCTGTGCTAGCAATCAGCGAGACTCCGTGGGCGTAGGATCCTCCGAGCCATGTGCGGGATATAATCTCCTGGTGTGCTGTTTTTTAAGCCCGTTGGAAAAGCACAGTATTAGGGTTGGAGTGACCCGATTTCCCAGGTGCCATCTGTCACCCCTTCCTTTGACTAGGAAAGGGAATGCCCTGACCCCTTGTGCTTCCCGAGTGAGGCAATGCCTCACCCTGCTTCGGCTCATGCACGGTGCGCTGCACCCACTGTCCTGCACCCACTGCTGGCACTCCCTAGTGAGATGAACCCGGTACCTCAGTTGGAAATGCAGAAATCACCCGTCTTCTGTGTTGCTCATGCTGGGAGCTGTAGACCGGAGCTGTTCCTGTTTGGCTCCGGAGCCATCTTGGCTCCACCCCAAACCCTCTTTTAGAAATAGGTGAGAGTATCTACCATAAACAGCCTCATGGATAACCATATTTACTGACATAACAAAATTTAATAACTTTTATTTCAGAATAATTTGTCTAGGCTTCTTTAAATAACAAACATCATGGCTTATTAAAGGATATAAACTCATTTAAATAAATTTTGTTTGAAACTTAAACATGTCCCTGGTTTAATGAATATATCTGAAGAGAAGCCCTGGCCCACAGCTATTCCACTGACCAATAGCTCCTGCTTTTAGTGGTGGGACTATCTCCCGCTAACCATTACCCAGTGTCTATTCCCCACCTTGGCTCTCATTCAGCTTTTAAGAAAGGAGGCCCACTGACTCCATTGGAGTTGCAAGGTTGCTGACTCAGCTAAGAGGTTGGGCAGGTGCTTTCTTTTGTCCACTTCATAATCCTTATGTTGTCCGCTTTGTAATCTTTCTCTCGCTGTCACGACACTTGCCCTTGCTACTCCCTGGGGAAAGGCTCAACAGCTGTACTTTGTCTAGGAACTTTTACGTAGGATAAAGTCTTTCTCATTGGCCATGCTGTCCCTAGGGCCTATATGTGCACAGAACTACTGACTTCCATAACGAGAAATTGATTCCCAAAAACTGCACCTAAAAAATAACTTGCTATGGATTATCTTCCTGCGTTGGGGAAGAGCCAAAAGACACCCAGACCTTATGACCAAAAGAAGTAAAATAAGCCATGCTCTTTGCTCTTGGTCATTACTTTCTTCCATCCTGCTTAGGAATTCTGTGAATCATCAAAAAACAAGTGGAGTAAAAACAAAGTGAGGCAGAGAAGCCAACCATAATAGGGCCCCTCCACGTAGTGTACTTCTACTGATCTGTCAGAATCTCCTCCACAACTCCATGGCTTGAGCAGAATCCCTCGCCAAAAATCTTCAGGCTAAAATTCTACACCTGTGGGGAAGCCAGAGGATGAAAACAAAAGGGGAAATAATTGGCTCAGAACTCTATTTGAGTTACAGAATTTCAGAGAAGGACTCCTGTAGCTCAACTCAATATAAAGAAGACAACTTTATTATGTGACATCTTTTCTTTCACTCTATATCCAGAAATGCCTTTCAAAGCAAATTTATTTGTGATTTGGACAATTTAAGAGTTTCAGGTAGAGGAGAAACTAAAAAATCTTGAGATTTGAATCCAACTAGAAATTCCATGAGGCATGGAACTAGTCCTCTTGAAAGGTATCTAATGAACCCTGCTGCCTCGGCCTCAGGACCTCCTGCACTGGGACCCACCTTGAAGAGCCATCTGGTTTCTCATCCTCTCTGATGGCTAAAGAATGTTCTTCCTTCTGGCTCATGCTACCCTGGTCTGAACTGCCCTCTTGTCTCCCAATACAGGACATTCAGACTTCATGAAACTGTATTAGCCCCACTCCTGCTGACCTCTTTCTCAGGAAATAGAAAGCCAAGTCATGTGCTGCAAATGACAGGAAGGAAACTAGGACTAGGAATGGAGTGGAGGGCTTGAGGAGAGTGCGAAAGGTTTAAAACAGTCATTTGGGACCAGATTGGAAACTTCAGGTGCCAAGGGGTTGGCATCTTTAATTTGTAAGGCAGGCACCATGATAAGTTTTCACAGGCACCACTAAGCAGCAGGATCTGAGGAAGCAGATGGTTGGATTTGTCCAGAGTTGGAATTGTTGTGCTGACAATCAGAGGAAGGACAGCTCCAGAGGCAGATAAGGGTATTAGGAAGAGTGTTATTGAAGTGACTACCCATGAAGAACATAGGTAGAAAAGGAAGGAAAGCCAGAAAATGCTGGGAGGCTCTGCAGAGTCAGGGAACTGGAGATCTTGAAGGATGGAGGGACTAGATGGCAGCTCTGGTGGGACTAGAGATATGTGGGAGGAATAGGGAGATGGCCAGGTGTGATGGTTGAGTGATAACTTGATTGGATTGAAGGATGCAAGGTGTTGTTCCTGGGTGTGTCTATGAGGGTGTTGCCAAAGGAGGTTAACTTTCAAGTCAGTGAACTGGGAAAGGAAGACCCACCCTTAATCTGGGTGGGCACTATCTAGTCAGCTGCAGCAAGGCTAGAATATAAGCAGGCAGAGGAATGTGGTAGGACTAGACTGGCTGAGTCTTTAGGCCTTCATCTTTCTCCCGTGCTGGATGCTTCCTACCCTTGAACATCAGACTCCAAGTTCTTCAGCTTCTGGATTCTTGGACCTATACCAGTGGTTTGCCAGGGGCTCTTGAGCCTTTGGCCACAGACTGAAGGCTGCACTGTTGGCTTCCCTACTTTTGAGGTTTTGGGACTCGGACAGGCTTCCTTGCTCCTCAACTTGCAGATGGTCTATTGTGACACTTCACCCTGTGATGGTGTGAGTCAATACTCCTTAATAAACTCCCATTCAAATATTCATCTGTCCTATTAGTCCTGTCCCTCTAGAGAACTCTGACTAATACACCAGGAGTGGAGATTCCAAATCTAAGGCAGTGCAAAGAGAGGGAGGAGGATGGCATGGTTCCTGATGTGATGGTGGCAGTTGGTGGATAAGGCAGAGGGGATAACAGGGGTGAGAATATGGACTGGGCTGTTGGATGATCTGTCCCCATGGACCTAGAGGTCAGTTAGTCTAATGGCAGGAAGTAGATTTTTCCAGAGAACATGGAGCTGGTAGACAGAAGTGCTCTGACTGGAGCCCAGACCTCTGGGCTGCCATCTTGTGTGTGTTCTCCATTAATAAGCACTGCACACCTTTTCTGCTATAAGTAGCTCCCAAAGAATAAAACTTCTGAAGCCCCACCTCAGAGTTCTTATTCTAGGTGTCAGGACGGCAGCTCTGTCTCTGTTCAAGAAAACCCTGGATGTGTCTTTCTCTGAGGTTGAGAACTGTGGCTCCCAGCAAACCTCTCCATTATGGACTAAGTCTTTAAAAGGACCCATCTAAAGGTTAGATGGGGGAAAATGTTGGCATGGACAAAAATAAAAATAAGGGTGAGGTGCTTGGTTCTTTTCTTCTGGTTTAGACCTTGGCTCCTCCATGACTGTGTCTCTGAGCTGGAGACATCACAAATGCCAACCCTCAGGTAGTTCAACCCTTCTCTCTTTTTGCTTCCCAGTCCTCCGTCTTGGGAGGGTGCTGGTAAGAAAAGAGCTATTACTTGATAAACCAAAACTAATTTTTTAAATATAATTTTTCTCTTTTTTTGCCTGCCCTCCAAATGTTGCTCTGTGAAAATGTGCTTTTTATATGCTTGCCACATCTTCCCCAAGAAACATGGAATCAGAAACTCAGCATTCAATTTAGTTCCAAGTTAGAACTTCTGGCATCCAATCACAGTGCTAGTTTTTTGGTGCATATTCAAAAATCAATATCACCATCAAAAACAAAATTGAAAAAAATTGGAATGATGTTCCTTTTAAAAAATGAAATTTCCTAAATTAGCTACGAAGAAATACCTCAAGCCAGAAGGAAGAGAAACTGTGATCTTGGGTAAGTCACGTTCCCTCCCTGGGTATTAGTATTCTTATCTGTTGAACTATCTGAGGTCATTCCCAGCTCTACATATTGTTACGAGTATGCTTAAATAGCTAAATAGCTTTTGTGGACTGCCTCCCCCCTCCCCACAAAATGTATTCACAGGAAAAATGAAAAAGTCTGGTTTGGTTTGACTTTTTCCCATAGAGACATTGATAGAAATCCTGCACCACTATTGTTCCTATTCATCTTGACATTTTTTTTCACTGCATCTCACATCTCACAGAGAGCTTATCTGTACTCTATTTCCAAAATCTTCCATATTATCCTCATGGTGTCTTTGTAACTCTATTCACTGTATTGAAGTTTGGAATAATACAGTTTTCTTGAAAGATAACACCCAAAGCCAAATTCTTATAAAAGACTGTCACTTTGGTTTGAAGAGTAGAAATGAGTTGGCAATAAAGATAAGACCCTCCCTTCACGTTAGGACCAAAGAAATCTGAAATCTTTAAGAAGTCCAATTATGAGCTGCATACTTTGCTGACAAGGCTGAAATAGATACATTATACTTTACAGTAAAGAAAAATCACCCCTAGCAAAAAGCAGGGACAAAAATTCCATTTAATCATCATTTATACAAGAACTTGGAGTCCCAGCATGACTTATCCCTTATTGCTTCAAACATTACATCATCATTTATTCCCAGCTCAGTTCAATTCCCTTGTGTTGAATGTCTTCCTTTACTGAAATTGATCTTTGTTAATACCAGGCATAATGTGTTCTCTGTCTCTTAAAGGAAACCGATGGACTCTTGCCATGACAGGAGATAACTGGAAATCTATATACTCTGGACACCAATATCCCATCAATACACTAAAATGTCTTTTCTTTAAAAATAACAGCCCTGCATGAATTTGATCACTTTCCCAAATTAGTGTAATTGATGCACCCTGAAGCCTTAATGATTCAGAAAGTGCATACTTGAGGGATATTTAAATAGCTATTTTGTAGGGAGATAAAATATGGGCCAATTCACTGAATACGCATTCCCTGAGTTTAGGTATTGCTCAGAGCTTGGCTGAGGGCTGGCTGATATGTCAGAAAGGCTGCCCTTAAATAACACAGGGGGCAAATGGCTTCTAACAAGCATGATCTTGTTCTCTTCAGGGCCCTCAGTGAAAGATGCAAATGACTGCATTTTAGGACATGATAATTATTATGGTAGGAATTATTCCACTGGCTGTTTCCAAACCAAAATTAACCTCAGTTTTCTATCCTGAAAAACTGGGTTGATAATGATTTCTACTTCCCAGGGTTATTTACTGATGTTGAATCTAAATGAAGTGCCAAAGCATACTCGAGTCTGGAAAACAGCTCTGAGAGTCCCCAGAACTTCCTCCTACAGGACCTCCTCTCTTCCTCCAGTGCGGCAGTGCTGCTGATGGAGGCTATTCTGAGAATGCTGAATAAATGAATACATGAATGAGTAACTTCCTCCACCAGCACCTTATAGGCATGCTCCAGCTGCACACCAGCTAGGAGGAATTGGCTGCATTACTTCAAGCTAAAAGATAGCAAGTATACCTCCACTCATCATTTCTAAGCCCTTGGCAGACATAAATAATCAATCACAGCATTCTTCTCAAATGTGGCCTTCAAAATATTTCCCTACAGAAATATATTTCAGGCAGCCACTACCAATTGTTCAGAGTTGACACTAGAGATAAAACCTATTTGAAAGCCCCAAGGGTATACAAATTATTGTTAGGGCATAGAGGCTCCTCCTAAATGGATGCTGGAATCATTGATGCATCACAGCTGCCATCCTGTATTGTCGGGATGCCCTTAGCACTGCTCATGTGCACTGTGGGTGGAGAAGGCTGGGAAACCAAGGTCTACTTAAGGGGCAGATTGTGCTGTATACGGAAGGGCGCTGCAGAGGGACTTATTTGGTTTGCCTCTGCCTAGCAGCCCTGGATGCTTCACCCTGCCCAACACACACCACTCTCCTTGTCAAGTGAAGCAGCCCATTGTCTTCGACCTGCTGTCTCTGACCTTCCTGGTCTTGATCCAGAAATACCCCAGAAGCTAACTGGGCTAATAACAAGCCCACTCTTGTTCTTCACTTGTGTGCCTGTCACCCCTTCTCTGTGTTGCTCCTGACCTCCTCTGTCCCTAATCCTGCCTGGGTCCTCGCTCCTTGCTGCTCAGACTCTTGCCTGAATCCCTAAGCCCCCAATGCCTGCTTGTCTGCTTCCACTTATCTGGCTACGTGCCTATAGTTCTGGTGACCCCTGGCAAGTGTCAGGCACATTGTGCTGGATGCCTCTCAAGGTTGCCAGCCTCTACTGGGGAAAGATCCAACATGTACTGCTTGCTTTTTTTGGTGCCAGCTTCTTTAAATCCATTACCTAATATAATGTTCAAAACAAAGCCGGGAGGATTGATATAGCATCATTATAATCTATGTGGGGGAAGGGAGGGGACTGGAAATTCAGAGACATTAAACAACCCAAGGTCACAGAGCTGGTAAATGCAGGGCTGGGATTCCAGATCTGACTTCAGAATGGGAACACTGTCCATTCACCACACTGCCTCCAAGGGAACTGATGCATACACTGCAGGCTTTGTGGAAGGTGTTGCACAATATAGGGCAGTTTCCTCCTTCTTACTTTCCCCTCCCCACTGCCTCTAGCTCCAGATCTTCTCCTTCAACATGGCTCTCAGGCTCATGTGACTCATGTGAGGAGAGGAAGAAACAGCGGCTTTCTCTGGGTACAAGAAATCCAATGCAGTGATTTGCAGCATGGGGTCTGACAATTAACTAAACAGGATGCCTTCCAGTGAGACAAATCTTACTTGTTTTTATTGCCACATTAAAATGTGACTCTTAAGCAAAACAAGAATATAAATCTTACTGGAGGATGCTGGAGTTTAAAACAATATATACTCAACTCAATATTCAATAGAGAAAAGTCTTTATTGAAGGCCATAAACCTTTTTTTGCATGTCAGGCGGGGGGGATATGACCATAAAACTGGCTCTGGGTTAGTGATTTGGGAAATGAATAAAATGTTTGTCTGGGTCCCAGCTGGATTCTTGGGGGCAGCCATTAAAGCCCCCATATGCAAGAGCAACGTTCTGTAGATCTATGTTGTCCAAGTACAGTGTTTCTCCCTGAGGGTGCTCCTGGCATTTATAGCAGGATAATCTTCATTTGATGGCGGGGTGGGGTTGCATTGTACATTGCAGGACATTTACATCCCGGGAATAGACCCCTCCTTATTCCCAAGAATACTTCAGAGCATTTCCCAAAGAACCTATGAGGCTGTGCTTTTCTCCCACTTACCATGGAGCCCCAGAACAGGAGTCAGCAAACCAAAGGCGTCTTCACTCCCCCAAGCTCCAGTTGTTTCCTCTGTATACAAACAAGAATGCCATCTACCTTTCACTTACCTTTGGGTCTTGTGATTGTTCAGAACAAAAGAATAAGAAAAAAGAAGGCAGGGGAGAAAGAATAGAGAGGAGGTTAAGGTTCCCAAATAGTACTTTTTTATAAAAGGCAAAATCTTGACTCACAAATACAAAATAAACATGTCATTATTAATGAGGAAACTGGTAAGATGTTATAACTAGTTCAAAGGAGAATTTTTAAAACATCACATAGAACATCAGAAATGCTGAAATAAATACAGATAGATATAAAATTGATCAGTTTCTACAGAGAAATAATCAAATTCCACCCCCTGGACACAGTTTGCATTCCCATGGACTGGAATCACTTGCATTAGTACCAGAATTCCACATCTTGACAGAGTTGTACAATAGTTGGTAATAAAAGATGACCCAAAAGGGTGCTCTAGATAGGACACCCACTAATCAATTTTGCCTATTTCCAAAGTCTTTCACAATTTTTGCTGACAAGGTGGTTAGGTATGAGGGGTGTCTCTAAGAGAGGACTCTGTGTCCTGCCCTATTCCCAGCTAAGCCAAGGGTATGGCTATATAGACACCCAAGGATTTGGCGACGGGGCTGGGGGAGGAGGAGCAGGTAGACAGCTCAAGTGCCAGGCTTCCCTTCAGTTTCCATGGAAGGGGAAAATCCTCACATATATTTTCCAATAGACCATAGCAGGACAGATGTCAGAATGCTGTAGAGATGGCTTCAGGGGATCTTTTTACATGTAGAATAAAATACCAGCCCCTTACTATAGCATGCAAGACCCTTCCTGATCTGGCTGTGCCCACCTCTGTGGTTTTCTTTCTTCACTCTCCCTTTCTTCTCTCCACTCCAGCTATGCAATCATCTTTCAGTCCATGAAAGAGGCCGAATTCCTTCCTGTTTTAGAGCCTTTGCACTTCTCTTTCTTCCCCCTTGGAAATCCATTCCTCCAGATTTTTGCATGGCTGCTTCCTTCTCATCATTCTGTTTCAGCCTAAATGTCATGACTGAGAATAGCTTCACCACCTCTGGTCCCCTTCACAATACTCCTTGTCTCCTCTTTTCATTGATTCATTTTCGTGTCTATGACCTGGCTCTCTTCTCTAGAACATAATATTCTGATGGCAGACTTGTGCATTGCCGTCTGCAGCGCCCAGGAATCAGTGGTGCTCGGTATTTTCAGATCACCTGGTTGCTGAGGCAGCTAAGCCAAGGCAGCCTGCTTGTCTCTCTTAAGGCTAAGAGTAGCACAGGTGTGATAGTTGGATCTGGTCTCCTAACTGGGGTAAGAAGCTTAATGGATCTCGTATGAATTGTAATTGCTGAGGACCAAAAAGGAATGTGAACATTTTAGGAAATGACAGCTTGGCAGGCATCTCTGTAGCCAGGGTCCTGATGCCACAACACCATGCTAGTCCCCTGGGCATAGAGCCTACACCAAGGAAAGTGGGGGAAGGAAATAAGCCTGAAATGACTGAGTTTGCCCTCAATTGGTGAGATTGTGTTTTCTGCAACCATGTGAAATGACTCAAAGAAAAAATTTAAACTTCTGTGTTTGAACACCTAAGTTTTGTGGCCTGCAATTATTTTGCCTGCTACATAAACAATTCTGTAGACTAACCATCAAAATTTTGGTAGATTATGGGTCTTGCATATTAATGTGTACAAAAGGCTAGTGTAAGGGGAGGAGGAGAAGGTTGAAACCTTTGCTTGTGTTAACCTACCCAGATATTCCCCATCATCTTGAACTTAATTTTCTGTCTTACTATGTTTGTTCGCATTGACAATACAGTGAGGGCCTTGGAAGGAAGGGGGTGGGAGATGGAGAAACAAGGGGGTGTCTCTAATTTTTATCTTTACCACAGGAACTCTAAGAACATCCTTTCATGCTCTCAACACATATTAATCAAATGTTTACACGTGTCAGGCACTATTCTAGGTGCTTGGGATACAGCACAGAACAAATGAGGTGATTGATTCTGCCCTGAGAATCTTACAATCTTGCAGGGGAAGAGAACAATACATAATAAGTTGACAATAAACAAGAAAATTACATTGCAGGTTAAAAGGAGAGGAGTGCTTAGAAAAAGAAAAAAGCAGATCAGGATAAAGAGGACTAGGAATGGGTGGTAAAGGGCAGAGCAGCTTTGGGTATTACTGTGTTCAGGAGAGACCTCATTCGAGCTATGATTGAAGGAAGTGGCGGAACTACTTGAGCATCAGGTGAGGAAACAACTCGAACAAAAGCCTCATGGGGTAAGGCGGGGCCTGGTTTATTTAAGAACAAAGGGAGAAGTGTCTGTTAACATCCAAACACCGCATGTTCTCACTCATAGGTGGGAACTGAACAATGAGAACACTTGGACACAGGATGGGGAACATCACACACCAGGGCCTGTCGTGGGGTAGGGGGGAGGGGGATGGATAGCATTAGGAGATATACCTAATATAAATGACGAGTTAATGGGTGCAGCACACCAACATGGCACATGTATACATATGTAACAAACCTGCACATTGTGTACATGTACCCTAGAACTTACAGTTTTAAAAAAAAAAAAAAAAGAACAAAGGGAAAAAGGCCAATGTGCCCAGAACCAGTGAGGGAGAGGAGAGCAGCAGGAGTGGAGTCAGGGAGTTAATAGGAGCTGGATCATGCAGGGTTTTATAGGCTTTTACTCTGAATGAAATCAGGGATATACTAGTTTCCTGTGGCTGCTATAACGAATTACCAAAAACTTGGTGGCTTAAAATAATAAAATGTATTCTCTCACAGGACTAGGGCTCAGAAGTCCATAGTCAGGTTCACTGGACTGAAAACAAGGTGTCAGCAGGGCTGTGCTCCTCAGGAGCTCTGAGGAAGAATTTGTTCCCTGCCTCTCCCAGCACCTGAAGCTGCTTCACTTCAATCTCTGCCTCCATGATCACGCTGGCTTCTCCTCTTCTATCTGTTAACTCTCCCCCTGCCTCTCCCTTATAAGCCTCTCCCTTATAAGGAGACATGTGATTGCATTTAGGGCCTATCTAGGTAATCCAGGGTCATCTCCCAACCTCAAGATCCTTAATTTAATTGCAATTAACAAAGAGCTCCCCCCTCCCTTTTTTTTTTTTTTTTTTTTTTTTTGCCACATAAGGCAACGCTCACAGGTTCCAAGGATGAGGACATGGATATGTTATAGGGACTGTTTTCCCATCCACCACAGACACCACCACAGGGTTTTGAGCAAACATGATCAAATATACCTTTTAAAAGCATGCAAAGAACCCTCAGGTAGTGGAGAAAAATATAGAAGCAGGAAGAACATGATAGCAGGAAGGCTTTCATAATAATCCAGGTGAGACATGATAGTAGCTCAGATCAGGGTGATAGCAGTGGAGATGGTAAGAAATGTCAGATTCTGAGTATATTTGAAGATAGAACAAACAGCATCTACTAAAAGATTAGATATGGAGTATGAGAGAAAGACAGGAGTTAAGGTTGACTCCAAAGTTTTGGATTTGAATAAAAAAAAATAGAGTTGCCATCAACAGAGAAAAACAGCGTTTCTGGTGGAGCAGATTCAAAGGAGAAGATAGTTTGGGACAAATTTGAGGTGCTAGTCTGCTGGTTTGACATTGTCATGGTCTGAATGTTGGTATCTCCCCAAAATTACATTGGAAACAAGTATCCAATGTGATATTGGTGTCAAATGAATGCTGATAGGTCAAGGAAAGTGAGGATTGTGGACTATCTTTGGATTTAACCGCATGGGGGTTACTGGTGATTTTGACAGGGAGAATTTGATGTTAGAAGAGTTAGGAGAGATGGGAGGAGAGGATTTGAAGGCAGGTTGTATAAGAAGTGGGGCCTTTTAGAACATGATTCAATCATGAGGGCTCTGGGCCAGGCACGGTGGCTCACGCCTGTAATCCCAGCACTTTGGGAGGCTGAGGCAGTCAGATCACTTGAGGTCAGGAGTTCCAGATCAGTCTGGCCAACATGGTGAAACCCCATTTCTACTAAAAATACAACAACAACAACAACAACAACAAATTAGCTGGGTGTGGTGGCACGCGCCTGTAGTCCTAGCTACTTTGGAGGCTGAGGCAGGAGACTCACTTGAACCTGGGAGGCTGCAATGAGCTGAGATCATGCCACTGCACTCCAGCCTGGGTGACAGAGTGAGGCACCATATAAAAAATAAAAATCTTGGGGGCTCTGCCCTTATGAATGGGATTATTGCCCCTATAAAAGAGGCCCAAGGGAGATTGTTTTCCCCTTCTGCCATGGGAGAAGGCAGCAAGAGGCACCTCTATGAAGCAGAGAGTTAGCTTTCACCAGATACTGAATCAGTTGGTGCCTTAATCTTAGACTTCCCAGCCTCTAGAATGATGAGAAGTAAATTTCTTTTATTTATAAGTTACCCAGTCTAAGGCATTTTGTCATAACAGCAGGAATGAACTAAGGCAGACATCCAAGTGGAGATGTCAAGTAGGCAGTGGCATATACTAGTCCAGAGTTCCAGACTAAGGTCTGTGTTGGAGAAATATAGATGGTATTTAAAGCCAAGGGACATGATGAGATCATTAAGGAAATGAAATCAGACAGAGAAGAGATTCAATGACTGAGCCCCAGGGTAGTCCAACACTGAAAGGTTGGGAAAAAGAGAATGACTCAGAAGAGACTAAGAAGCATTCACTGAGAAAGGAGGAAGGCCAGGAGGGTATGGGGTCCTGGAAGCCTAGAAAAGAGAGTGTATCCAGGAGGAGAAAAGGCTGAATTGTGTCAAATGATGCAGATAGGGCACGGAAAGTGAGGAATGTGGATTACCTTTTGATTTAACCAAATGGAAGTTATTGGTGATTTTGACAAGAAGACTTTGATGTTAGAAGAGTTTAGGACAGATGGGAGGAGGGGAACTGATGGAAACTAGTGCCTTCGTCTCTTCCAAGGAGTTTTGTTGCAAAGAGGAGCAAAGAAATGGGACGTAGTAGGTGGGGGAAAGTGGAGTTAAGAACAAGGCTTTTTTTTTTTTTTCACTTTTGTTTAGATGGGGAAAATAACTGAATGCCTGTATCTCCCAAGTAAGGAATGATTCAGTATAGAGAGAAAATTGATGATGTAGCAGAGAGAAAGATAAATTGCTGGAAGAATGTCCTTGAAAAGACAAAAGAAAATGGATGTTTATCTAAGCTAATGTACACAGAGGCAGAATCTGTGGTGCAGATGCTGGTGGGGGATAGATGTGGTTGTGAGAATCTGTGGAAAGTCTCTGTTTCCATTTTTCTAGAGAATTAGAAACAAGATTATCTGTCTAGAGCAAGAATAGTGAAGGAGGCATTGGTAGTCTGAGAGTCATCTAGGAGAATAGCAGAGTGTGCAAGTGTAGGGAAAGCCAATATTACAGTGAATGCTTCAATCGCATCTTTGTTGAATGTGATGGAAGGAGAAGCCTAGGGAAGGCATGGTTTTAGTTCATTAGACTCGCAGGGGCTTTTAGGAGCCTCTTTGCATGAATGCATCAAGAGCTGATGAAAAACATGATGAGGGAGAGCTCAGGGCTGGAATGGTGTCTTGAGCCTTTCAAACAAAGGGCTGCTCCAATCTCAGAAGTGGCTGTGTGTGGGTGGGGTGGGGTGGGGAGGAGTGGGGTGGGGTGAGGTGGGGTGGTTGGGGGGGTGGGGATGCAGAACAAAGAAGCAGCCCTAAAAAGAAATGAGGCAGCAGACAGCGGACTCACCCTCAGGTAAAAGACAGTCAGCACATGCTGTGGCCTTTTTAGGCAGATTATTTAGGGTAAATTATCTGCTAAATTACTTGATAGAAAAGACCATGACCTGAAAGGCCCAAGTGAACATCTGGGGATTCAAAAGGCTGTGGCTATTTAGGAGCCAGGACAAATATTCAGAGCCATCATCTCCCTGGTGGAGGGGAGCAAGAGGAGACCTCAGGGGAACCATGATAATTGCTGTGAGTGGACTGGCCTGGGACTGCCCCAAAGCTGAGCTCATGAACCTTCTGATCAAATGGCCCAGGAAGGGATTTGTCTATTCCCCAGACTTCGTCCTGAAACTTGCTCTTGAGAGAACAGAGGATGTAATCAGCCACCAGCAGTGCTCTGCCAGGTGCCCTGGCCCCACGCAAGTTGTCTGGACCTATTTGGGAGTTTGTCTAATCCTTCCCGGCACCAAGAGGAAATGGGAGAGCCTGAAGAAGGTGGATTAAGCGTTCCCAGCTGCTGACATGCTGCTGACTGTGGCAGATAAGAAGGGATGAGTGGCATGTGCTGAATGCAAGCTCCAATATTACTTGACTACATTCAGATGGCTGGTGTTCAGGGTACTTGAAGTTATTCAGACCCATCCGCCCTGTTTAGGAAGTCTGATGTGTGTTTGCAGACATGTGTGAGGAGCCAAGGGTGCAGCAGAGCCAGTATGATGGCTCATATTTGCTTAGCTCACACATTGCCACGCTGGTTCCAAGCACACGGTCCCTGGACACACTCCCTCCTCCTTTTCATAACTGTTACAGAGAGTGAAAGGGGCCTGTGTGCTAGTAATCCAGGCAACTCTCTGACCATCTAAAAGGTAAGTTTCCATGCCATTAACTCCTGTACCTCCCAAGTAAAGAAACTATAGAATATGAGCATGCATACTGGAAATGAGAACAAAGACTTGCAATTTGATGTATTAGGCCCTATTGAGTACGGAGAGGATGCATTACACTGGGAGTCATGTGACTAGTCATATGACCACAGGAGGCCATGTTACTTCTCTGAGCTCCAGTGTTCTTATTTGTAAAATAAAAGAATTAGGCTAGACCAAATCAGTGTCTGCCTGCCTGCCTTCCTCCCTCCCTCCTTCCTTCCCTTTCTTCACATGGAACTCTTTCTTCAAATGAAAAAAAAAAAAAACTAGCCCTACACTTTTGCTTGTAACTTGTTTCTAGCTTTTTAATGTGAAATTATCATTCACATAATAGTTTATGGATAATACGTGGTATAGTCCAGGGGTTGGAAAACTTCTCCTGTAAATGGCCAGGGTAAATATTTTAGGCTTTGTGGGTCGTTCAGTTAAGTGAGAAAGCAGTGATAGGTAATAGGTAAACCAATGGGTGTGACTGTGTTCTGATAAAACTTTATAAATACAGGTGGCAGCCCAGATTTAGTCCATGGGCTATAGTTTGCCAACCCCTGGGATGGTTCCATTAGCAGTTTCCTCAATTCTTGAAGCCTGTATGAGAACTCCAAGGTTAAACTGAATGAGGGAGGAGCTGAGACTAACTAGATCACTCACTGTACTGCCCTTGACCTGATAGTATTTCTCTCACATCCCTAAATATAGGATTTATCTCACAGCCTAAATATAGAAGTTCACAAATAGAGGGGACTTCAAAAAGTTCACGAAAAAATTGAGTTAAAATATAAAGATAAAAAATATAAACTGTATTTCTCAGCATACACTCCATCAAGGTCAAGACATTTCTGTAAGAGATGATATCAGCCATTTAGTCCATCCCTAAAGAACAGAGGATCCCAGAAACTTAACCATGTCAATACAGTCTTTTTTTACATTATTAACTGAGGGAAAATTGGTGCCTTTTAAAGACTTGTTTTTTTTTTTTTAAGATTAGGAAACAAAAAGAAGCAAGAAGGAACCAAATCTGGATTGTAATGTGGATGCCTAATGATTTCCCACTGAAACATTTACAAAATTGCCTGTCTGATGAGAGGAATGAGGAGGAGCATTGTCGTGGTGAAGGACTCTGATGAAGCTTTTCCAGGTGTTTTTTCTTTCTTTTTTTTTTTTTCTTTGCTAAAGCTTTTGCTTTCTCAAAACACTCTTATACTAAGCAGATGTTATTATTTTTTGGGTGTCCAGAAAAATCAACAAGCAAAATGCCATGACCATTCCACAAAACTTTGCTATAACTTTTGCTTTTGACCAGTCCACCTTTGCTCTGACTGGACCCCTTCCCTCCCTGGTAGCCATTGCTTTGATTGTGCTTTGTCTTCGGGATCGTACGGGTAAGGCCATGTTTCATCTCCTGTTACAATTCTTTGAAGAAATGCTCCAGAATCTTGGTCCTACTTGTTTAAAATTTCCATTCAAAGCTCTGCTCTTCTCTGCAGTTGATCTGGGGTGCAATGGTTCTGGTACTTGTTGAGTGAAAAGTTTTCTTAACTTCAGTTTTTCAGTCAAAATTGTGAAAACTGAACAATTGAGATGTTTATGGGGTTGCCTATTGTTTCTGCTGTTCATCATTGGTCCTCTTCAATTAGGGCAAAAACAAGATTATTTTTTCCTCTCAAATTGATGTAGATGGTCTGCCGCTATGAGCTTCATTGTCAACATTGCCTCACTCCTTCTTAAAATGAGGTATCCTTTTGTAAACTGCTGATTTTCCTGGGCATTGTCCCTATAAACTTTTCACAAAGCATCAATGATTTCACCCTTCTTCCACCCAAGCTTCAACATAAACCTGATGTTTGTTCTTGCTTTAATTTTAGCAGAATTTATGTTGCTCTGATACATTTTTTGTTTGTTGTTGTTTTTTTTTTTTTTTTTTTTTTTTTGACAGAGTCTTGCTCTGTCTGAAGTGCAATGGCACAATCTTAGCTCACTGCAACCTCCACCTCCCAGGTTCAAGCATTCTTGTGCCCCAGCCTTCCGAGTAGCTGGGATTCCAGGTGCCTGCCACAATGCCCAGCTATTTTTTTTTGTATTTTTAGTAGAGATGGGGTTTCACCATGTTGGCCAGCCTGGTCTCAAACTCCTGACCTCAAGTGATCTGCCCACCTCAGCCTTCCAAAGTGATAGGGGCTCTTTTTAAGTGGATGTCTTATTCTTCTTAGCACCTCAAATTATATCCTGTTAAGACATGTTATAACAAGTTATTACACATTTATTTTGGTGCAAAAAATAATATTGAAATCCATGCACAGTTTTTCCATAATTTACATTTTCCATGAGCTTTTTGAAGACCTCTTGTATATGCTCCAAGCGAATTGTCTTTACTTAGAAAGAAATTGCTCCATATTCGTGAAGGGAAAAGAGACCAAGAACCCAAACTGTTGTTGACCCGACTGATAAGCCAACTGGCAACCACTCTCCACTATCCCATAAGGCTAATGACAAGTCCCGAGCTGGATCCTGAAATCAATGGGATCCTGTCACTTTCTTCCACCAGAGCAGAGGCCCCAAAGGTAGTCCACACAATGCTCCTCTCCACTTGTGTAGCATTTGTTGCATGAGTAGTTTCCAAAAGTCCCAATGTCAGGTTGTTAATTGTGTAACAATCTGCCTATGTGAGGATAGATTCTCTAAGTTTATAATGATTTAGATTCTCTAGGTCTATATTAAAACTCTCATATGTACAAAATTTTACAGTTGTAGATGATACTTCCTGAGCTATTTTTCTGGTCCTCTTTTTCTGAGTACCATTCTTTCCCACCTCTAGTCATCATATTCTATATGATAGGAGCCCAAAGGGTGCTCAAAGGCCCCTTTGCTGCCTCAGGATCTTTGCACATGCTGTTTCCTGGACGTGAATCTTTCTTCCCCCAGCTGTATCCCTGATTAATGCCTACTTATCTTTCAAGTCTCAATTTATATATCATTTCCTAAAAAAAAAAAAACCTCCCTTGGCTCTCTAATCTAAATTAGTCCTTTCTGTTATTCTTAGTATCTTATTTTCCTCCTTTATCACACTTATCATAAGTGTTATCATATATTTTGTTGTCTTCAGTTTAACATCTGCTTCACTACAAGAATTTAGGGGAGCAGATGGAGACCTTATCTATTTCGTTCAACATGGTATCCCCAGCATCTAACACCACGCAGTTAGTTGGAAATTAATTCACATTTTTTGGATGAATGACCCATCACTTGCTGCTGTTGATTTAAAAAAGGCTGACATCTTTCCAGGGCTGGAGTCCCTGCAACCTGGCCTTGGGTTCTTCCTAACCACACACAAGAATGCTCACAGTTTGCATAGACTCTGGGCACTCCCATGGGCATTAGGAAGGGGGGAAAAAAGTGGAGGGAAGGAGTGAGAAGAAAAGTCAGCAGAGTAGATGTCCTTGTTTCCAAAATGTTAAAGGAAATGTTTAGAACTCCCAACCAGTCTGGGCTTGAACTGAGTCCTTCATATCATGAGAATTTTCTTCTCCCTTGAGGAGAACTACCTATTTACTGACACTTTTCACACTTATGGTCATCCTGCTGCTGTCCCCACTACTTCTGTCCCTAACATACCCAGTTCCTTGGTCTGTGCCTAACCTATGGGCAAGTAAAGTTTCTTCCCTGAGAATGACCAATGGAAACTGAAAGAGTTCATTTCCCACACATAAATTCGGTGACCATGATTTATGAATCATGATTTATGGTCTATAAATAAAGAAGATTCAAACAGATGTGAAGGGAGAGCTAGCGAGGACAGCTAGAGAGAGAGCCCTGATGCATTCTAGTTCCTGGTTACAGTTCTTTCCTGAAGTCTCCCTGCAAACTTGCCCTCAGGTGCTTTGAGAAACCCACCTTTTTGATTAGGCAAGTGACCTACGGTAAAACAAATTCTAAGTAAACTTAATGATTTCTCACAGATTGTCCTGTTTAATCCTTACAATAACACAGTGGGGGTGGTATTACTATCCCCATTTTACAGATGCTTTTTGTTACATGAAAATTAGTCCGAGATTAATTGTTAGGGAGACTTAAGTTCTAGTCTCAATTCTACAATGACTGCTACTTCTAAAGCAGATTAACTTCCTTCAGCCTCAGCCTTTCTCAAAAAGCAACTTAGACTGGCAGAAAGATTCACACAAGTGGTTAAGCAAGATCCTATTTGTAATTTATGAAATCAATGGCCATGACCTGGAAGACTTCGTATGGGCAGAGCTGTCAACAGCATGGTCTGTGTCTCCTCATCCCTAAGTGCATGAATTAGATTTTATAGCATGTAAGATGCCTTCAAGCTCTAAAATTCAACAGACTATTTTCTGGCCCCAGCTAGCAACAGGTTCATTCTCAATCATGAAAGAACTGAAAATGGCTAATAAATTTGGTGAAACATTTGGACAACACAGTCATGGAACCACTTGAATCTATAATAATTCTTTTTGGCTCTAAAAACCTTTGGAATTTTTCCCTTTTATTATAACTACATGGATCATTACTTGGCAAAGAAATTTCCCCTAATATTGATCTATGAACATAAAGAATTATATCTCAGAATAAAAGAATATAAAAATAAAGCCTACTAACTTACTGACAATAAAAGTAGGGGCTGAATTTTCATGAAAACGAACAAACAAAAGCTTCTATGGAAACTGGATGAGCTGAGAAAATGAGCAAGCTTAATTGATTTACCCTGAGTTAGTGGGTTTCAAGCAAATGTTCCCCAGTTCTGAGCTTCCAATGTTTTGACATTGTTTAATATCAAGAATTGATCACTGAATTCTTAGTTGATTGTCAGCCCACTCAGAGCTGTAACTTTGATTGTCATCTTTACCAGAGTGTCCCAGGACCTCATCTGCACAGTTACTAGTATTTCTTGGATGAATGACATTTCAGAAAACCAAGATCCTGTAACCCCACAGCATAATGGGGAAACACCTAAACAAAGCCTACTAGCACTGGACCTCACTGAGTTCCCAAACTGAAAAACCCATTAAGATAGACTCCGAGGATGATGGTCTGCCAACTACATTGACATGTATTTTCCAAAAGTGGCATACAATTTGGATCAGATGAAATTTAGGGACAACCTGTATTTTTCAAACTTCTGTGATTCAGAAAAAATCAGGTCTATTCCTATAATAGTTCCTGGCACATATGTGGTTTTCAAGGAATGGTTTTCAAATGAATAAATTAACTTTACATATGTGTATAAGTATCAAAGCTTTTAAGTATATATGCATACTATGTTCATATTTTATTACATATAAAAGGAAAAATTTTTTTGTTTTGCATTATCCTTCAATCTTACTTCTTCATCTCAGTTTGGACATATACATGTGACTCAGCTAATCCAAAGTACATTCTACCATATTGGCTTTAGAGGCTCATCTTCTGACCCATTCATGACCTCATTAACTGAAGCTTGACTGAGACCTGAGAAAACTCAATTAAACAGCACTTTGCTTGTCCAAGGCACCTAAACCTTATTTTTTTTCCTTTGCCACATGGATAGATAGATAGATAGATAGACAGACAGACAGACAGGCAGGCAGATGGATAATAGATATTTAAGTTTTAGTTGCCCTTTTAGAGCAGAATACAAATCCTGAATTTCCCTTTGTTCCTGCTCAAGCAGCATATAATATGGTGTCATCCTCTACCTGTAACAGGGCTGTTCATTTCATTGAGTTGCCAGGTCCTTTGCCTTCATTAGCCCTCCACTGCCTTTCATTTGATTTGCATCTCAGGTTCCCCATATAGGTAATGATTCTAATTTTGAAAATTTCCAGAGGTTACAGCAAAGAAACTGAGTCAGGAAGAAAGACATACACAGAAATGATACAAGTATTCCTGGCTCCCCTCACCCCTGCCCCGTGATTCACCCCTGAGAGAAAGGATGGGCTTCAGGGGACCATGGAGCTTGGGGCCCTGAGCCTTCCTCTATACTGCTTTTTCTTCAATAAATGGGCACTCATAGTTAGTTAATGTCAGAGACATCTTGACAAATGAAAATCAGAACCTTTGCCTGAAACCACCAAAGACTTTTAAAAAGGCACCAGTCCCTCTCATGCCCTGCTCCCTCTTATCCACTACACAACTGCCACAGCAACCTCTCCCTCCCTTCTTGCCTCAGGGCCTTTGCACATTCTACTTATTGGGCCTGGATGTCTCTTCTTCTAGCTTTTTCTAGATTAATTCCTACTTATCTTCCACGTCTCAATTCCCGTATCATTTCCTAAGAAATACCTCCCTTGGCCCTCCAATCCAAATCAGTCACTTCATATTCTCTCTTAATATCCTGTTCTTCTCCATTGCACATATCATATATCTTAAGTGTTGTTATATCTTTATTTAATGTATTTTGGTTCAATATCTGTCTTCCTCAGAAGAATTTAGGGAAGAAGATGGGGACCATATCTATTTTGTTCAACACTGTATCTTCAGCATCTAGCACTGTGCAGTGAGTTGGAACTTAACTCACATTTGTTGAATGAATGGCCCATCATTTGCTGCTGTTGATAGAAGAAAAGGCTGACATCTTTCCAGGGCTGGATCCAGAGCACTCTCTCCACCCTGCAACCTGGACACAGGTTCTTCCTAACCACACATGGGATATAAGGCTGCCAGCAGGCTATAAGAGACACACACTCTGGGCACTCCCATGGGCATTAGCAGGGAAAACAAGAGGTGGGAGAGGGGAGTGGGGAGAAAAGACAGCAGAGTCGGATGCCCTGCTTTCCCAAGTGTTAAATGACATCTTTAGAACTCCCAGCCCCCCTGGACTTGTACTGTCTTTCACAGCATGGTGGTTTTTCTTTCTCTTAAGGAGAACTGCCGTATCAGTCTGTTTTCACACTGCTATAAAGAAATACCAGAGACTGGGTAATTTATAAAGGAAAGAGGTTTAACTGACTCACAGTTCCATGTGTCTGAGGAGGCCTCAGGAAACTTACAATCATGGCAGATGGGGAACCGCAGGCAGCTTTCTCAAGGTGGCAGGAGAGCGAAGTAAGAGCACAGGAAAAAACTGGCACTTTTAAAACCATCAGATCTCATGAGAACTCCCTCACTATCACAAGTACACCAAGGGGGAAACCACCCCCCATGATCCAATCACCTCCCACCAGGTCTCTCTCTCTCTCAACACCTGGGGATTACAATTCAAGATGAGTTTTGGGTGGGGACACAAAGGCTAACCATATCAGAGACCTACCTACTTACTGATGCGTTCGAAACGAGGCCTACTCCAGTACTGAGCCCGGCCTCTCAAGCTTTGGCTTGAGTTATGCTTTATGGATGCTCCCTCAGGCAGGCAGCACCTAGATACTTGCTCAAATCAGGAGTGCTCAGTTTTACAGTCAATAAGGCCCTCTCATTGTACTGGTTTCCTTCACTGCTATAATAAATTGCCACAAATTTAGCAGCTTAAAAGTAACATAAATTTAGTTATCTTGTAGTCTTGGAGGTCAGAAATCCAAAATGGGCCTCACTGGGCTAAAATCAAGATGTTGGCAGAGCTGTGTTCTTTTCTGAAAGCTTTAGGGGAAAATCCCTCTCCTTGCATTTCCAGTCTCTAGAGGCTGCCTGCATTCCTTGGTGCGTGCCCCTTCCTCCGTCTTCAAAGCCAATTGTGCTGCATCTTTGACCATTCTCCTGTAGTGCATCTCCGCCTCACACTCTTCTTCTCTTTCTCCCTTTGACTTTTAAGGACTCTTGTGATTATATTGGGCCCACTCAGATATTCCAGGATAATTTCATCTCAAGGCCTTTAAATTAATCACACCTACAAAATGCCTTTTGCAATGTAAACTATTCACAAGGATTAGGACACGGGCATCTTTGGGGGCCATTATTTCCCCCTAGCACACTGGTGAGTTATTCCTAGGGCAAGTCTCAAAATACAGGTGAGGTGGTCTCAGTTCCACCCCAGCCACTTCCTCCGAGGAGTCATGGAATATAATGTGAAAAATGTAAGGATTGGAATATTGATTAATCAAAAAAGCAGTGGCAGAAGCCTCAAACCAATGAGCTCCATTCTTCAGCATATCAGCCACCACAGTCAATAAAAGCCAGCTGTAAAAACTTTCCAGGCCCTAAGAAAACCATGTGAAATAACAGACTGGAGTGATGTGAAGTTTCTGATATTTGCTAATAATGAATTTGGGATGTTCAGAGATAAATTTCAAAGTCATTTGTGCCAGGAATTATTTCAGCTACAAATAATAGAATAACCACAAAACAGTGGCTTAAGCAATAAAGGCATTTGACTATTTCCTGTAACAGAAAGCTTAGAGGTAGGTGGTCCCAATACGGGGGCAGCAGCTCAGGGGCAGAAGAGACCCAGGCACTCTCTGCCTTTCTCCTCTGCCTTTCCCAGTAGGTCAGTGATGTTTCTCCTCATGGTGAACAAGATGGCTGCACATTCACCAGAATCACATCCTCACAAAACATCTTCCCAAGCACCAAAGAAGAGGATGGGGAGTAGGACCCTTTCTCTTCCTGCTGCTCTGATATGGTTTGGCTATGTCCCCACCCAAATCTCATCATGAATTCCCATGTGTTGTGGGCGGGACCTGGTGGGAGGTAACTGAATTGTGGGGGCAGGTCTTCCTCATGCTGTTCTCGTGATAGTGAATAGGTCTCATGAGATCTGATGCTTTTATAAGGGAGAGTTTCCCTGCACAAGCTCTCTCTCTTTGCCTGCTGCCATCCATGTAAGATGTGACTTGCTCCTCCTTGCCTTCCACCATGATTGTGAGGCCTCCCCAGCCACATGGAACTGTGAGTACATTAAACCTCTTTTTCCTTGTAAATTACCCAGTCTCAGGTATATCTTTATCAGCAGCATGAAAATGAACTAATATGTGCTCCCTCTTTTATCAGAAAGGAACATTTTCCTGGAGTAGCCAGCTGACCTCACCCCAGATCTCAGTGGCCAGTCAGGTCACATGTCTACCCTGGCAAAGGGAACCAGGATTCCATGATTGGCTTAGACCAATCAGGAATCATCCTCTGGGGTTGGACACATTGAGACCACAAGCAGAATTGGAGTTCTATTAAAAGTGAAGTAGGGGCAATATCTATTGATATTGCTACTGGCAACTAGCAATGTCTGCCACAGAAACATGATTTGCTTTTTATTTTTAAATGTGTGAATGCATAAACAGGTGGATCTCCATTCAGAATAAGGCACACTTTATGCCCAAATCTGAGATGTTTATCTTATCAACTGAACGAGACCACCTTGGGCCTTTGTATACAGATACCTTAAGTTTATCTAATTTTATGTAAAAAAGAAAAAGACAAAGGCACTAAACTAGTATTCATGGACAGATTCCCATGTGATATCCTTTAGCCATCCATTAGAAATTATTGAGTACCTACAGTGACCTTGGCACAGTGGCTAAGCACTAGGACAAAAACATTGTTTCTCTCCTTGGGTAATTAATTACAATATGGATGGTTATGTGTTATTGCAGGGACAAGAACAAGAAACAAGGAAATGTCTCTAGGGATAGAAGGGTAACATAGCCTTATCTTGGAGTCAGGGAGGGTTTTCAGAGGATATGAGGCTATAAGAGAGACCTGAAGAACAAATGGAATTAGCCAGATGATGGGTGGGATGGGAAGAGGATGAGGAGATGCTCCAGGCAAAGAAACACAGCTATGCAAAGGCTTGGCAGTAAGAGAGCTCAGGAAAATTTTGAAAATAAGTATAATGCAGTAAAAAGGAGCAGAGTGTGATTGGTGGTGTGAGAGGACAGATAGGTTGGGGGTCAGATCATGAATTTAGACTCTATCTCAAAAACAATAGACAATGGGGAGTGACACAGTAAGATTTGCATGGTAGAAATCAGGGCCAGTGTAGACCGTTTTATTGCCTGATTGCCACACCATCCTAAAAGTCCATGAGAAGCTGTGTCTGTCAGGCACTTGGGCTGGGTGCAGTCTCTAACACTGATCCAGGTAAATGTTTTGAATGCACTGGCAGCCTCTCATCGATCCAGCCTGGCTTCTGCCTTCTAGATCCATGGTGGCTCCTGGTTTTAATATGACATTGGGCTCTTTTCCCTTGCATTCTGGATTCTGAATTCTGTAGACCAGCTGTGGTTCAAATACCAATGCCCCTTCTATGGTGGGCAGGAGGGGCACTGGGAGAGGTGAGAACGTGAGCTATTGAGGAGTGAAAAGTTTGCAGGAGTGCACACAAACACACACGGCCACTAAGCCCAGCACAGGACTTGCTGGAGCTCTCAAACAATTACCACATTTATTACCTTGGCGATTGCTCAGGCTAGGGAACACCAGACACTTGAAGTTTGTTTTCCTTTTCAATTGGAACTGACATTTCCCCACAATTGGATTACTTTGAAATCAAGAAATTGCAGTTCAGATAGTTCATAAACTTATTTCTGTTCCACCTTGTAGCATTTATTACAAAGACTGATCAGCCAAAGAATATGGGCTTTCTGCTTTTTATTTCCTGTTTTATTGCAGTAACCTTTGAAGAGTGGGTGGTATGGTTCACAGGGTGGAGGTGGCTCGCAGGTGGCAGGTAGGAGAGCAGCCCAGCAGAGACCGGGGTCCTCTGGCTCTCATGGACTCTGTCTGCTGCCTCCTCCACCCAGCCCCCCAGAGGAAGGGTCTGGGAAAAGATATCCAGTGTTCTGGGGGAGAAAGGTGCCTAGGGGGATGGGCAAAGAGGCACTGGAAACCCCACACTGTGTCTGATAGAAACCCAGAATTTGAGTGGGACGGCCATTCTTTCCTGTCCCCACTCCCTCTACCCATCTTTGGGGATAGGTTAGAAAAGGCCCTTGGTCAGAGGGAAGAGATCACAAACTCAGGGGTTCTGGAGAGGAGTTCTGGGACTTTTGGGGTCCAAAGGTCATCAGTCTTTGTTGGGTGTGTGTGTGAAAGAGAAAGGGAAAGGCCTTGTTATCAAAACATTTACTAACTAGTGGCAGACTCTGCAAAACAGACTGAGGCCCCAGCAATGACCTGTCTGTCCTCCAGAAGCTCCCAGTCTTGCAGGGCCACTGAGCCTAAAGCCAGGATAGGGAGAGCCCAGGAGCTATGAGAGCCCTGGGGAGGGCTTCCTGGAGGAAGTGCAGTCTGAGCTGGCTTCTGCTTGGAAAACCCCCTTGATGTAAGACAATTACCTTTTACACTGTTAGACCCAGATTACTGAACAGGAGAGCTGGCAGGGGTTCAGGGCAGAGGCCCATCCCAAGATGACCACTGTACATATGACAGCTTGGCAGGGTGGTTAAGAGCCCTCCTGGGGTGATATCCTGGTTCTATCATTTGCTAGCTCTGTGACCTTAACCTTTTGTGTCTCAGTGTCTTTATTTGTAAAAAGGGGCACATATGGCTTACCTCATAGAGCTGCCGGGGGAATTAATGAGAAAGTCTGCGTCAAGGCTCCGGATGGTACTGGCCACCAGGAGCACTTGGTAAAGGCCAGCTCTGCTAATTTGGCAGCACCTGACTCTATGTGTGTCTTTCAGAGGGGACGAGGAAGGTGCAGAACACACAAAGCCTGCACCTTTGTTCTTGGAGCCCTGTCCACCAAGGATAGATGGGCTGACTGTGGTTGGGTCAGTCGAGATTTAACAGACAACTTATTTTAAATGAGGAAAGGAGAGCAAAGTTTTTCCTCATCTGTCATATGTCCTTTTTAGGATTTAAATACCAGTTATAATCTCCACTTGTTTCTTTGTCAAATAAATGCCTAGAAGCACAGCCTACCTTCTATAACTGGGAGAATAAAATCTCAAATTGGTTAAATAACTTGTCCCACATTGAGATTATTAAAGAGTAGGAGTATGAACTCTGCTCTTCTAAAGCACAGGCCCAGGCCTCCTAATGAATCACATTATTCCCTGTCATCTGCTACCCAACAAGATCTGCTTCCTACCATTACCGAGTTGGTCATACAAGGTGGAATGATTTCACCAGAGCAAGCCATGCTCAGAAACAGAAAATGTTGCCTCAGGTGCTTTCTTGAATGTTAGATTTTAATATAAAAGCCAGTTCTATCCATAATGGGCAAATCCTAAGCGGTTGATTCTCTTAGGTTTCTCTTACAGCAGAGAACAGAGGATGAGAAGAAAGAGCTCTGAAGGGTCAGCAGAAGGGGGAACGGGGTACCAGGTGACTTTCATCCCTGTGAGTGGGAACTTGACTTTGCGTTGCGACCCTGCTCAGCTGTTCATCCAAAAGGAAATTGTGGTTTACAATTACAGAAAATCAGTAGCTGGAATTATTAATAATAGCAAAAAAAGCGCTGTTGGTGCAGCAAGTGATTTGTGGTAATGTTTTCTAATTGATAGTCATTTCTATTATTTAAATACTAACTAATTCATTTCATGTACTAAGCAGTGCATTGACTTTACTTACAGTATTATGGCAGCCCTCCTAGCTTAAAATCATTCCTTATTGTTTTCTTTAGGTAATTAAAATGCACTGCTCCCATGTTCTATTTGTGGCTGCTAATAGGATTGCACCCACTGAGAGAGCACTGTGGGCAGTTTATACAAAAGCAACCACATATAAGCTCTGGTCCTTCCAGCCTGATGATTTTCTCACCAGTAGGATTCCCGGGATATCCTTTGGTAATGTGTCCACAGTCTCCCTACTGCTGGCTTCATTTGGCTCTTCTACAACATGAGAAGAATGTGAAGTCTTTGAGTGCAGCTGCCATTTTACAGCAATGACCTAGGAGGTTCTGGCTTTTCTGCAGACAGGTTTTCTGGGCCAGTCCTTTTCCTCTGCAGGACTGTGGGCCTCCTGTCTAGGCCTATGAAATGAGAGGGATGGAAGTGGTCATCCTTAAGAGTTCTTGATGCTCTAAATTTGAATGAGATAATGGAATCAGTGAATATATTTTCTTGCAGGTGCATTGAAGATTCTGACTACTGAAAACAGAAAATACAAAAAGATTAATGGGCCTGTTGCCAGAGGATTCACTGCCGACAGACATGAGCTGCCTGTTGCTGTTTAGTATCTCTGCATCTTCCTGAAGGCTGAGTTTTATTATTTGACTCCTCATATCCCTTTAATCAATAGGCTGCACATAAAATAAAATCTACTGAATCTCAGCTGAGGCTCTAGCATGATGCTTTCTGAGATATTTCAGAATATTTTTCCAAGTTTATTTACAAGATGAGTATTTATATTCCATTTTTTGGACATATTCATTTGTTTTTGTTTTTGTCTCAGGAAGACAAGAGAAGGTATTTATAAGCTGTCAGTCTCACCTCACAAGGTCAGAACTGAAAGCTCTGTGTAGAAAAATCCAAGTGCAGGATTCAAATATGTTGTATTGCTGTTGCTGACTTATGACTGTGCCATGTCAGATGGTTTCAGCAACCTTGAGAGATTAAGACCATGGATTCGTGTTCCATGTAATTTCATGAGTTTTGTTCTGTCCCATGGCTTCAGATCATGGTCCTAGCTCTAACCAGCTATCTTGTAGATGTATGTCATGTGTTGTAAGAAGCATTTGCTTTGACCTGAAGCTTGGCATTGAGTTCTTGTTACCTGTGAATGGACCTTCTTCCCCATCTTGGACCTATCAATGCTGAGCATGTTCTGAACCACAGCTGGAAAGGCTAAGTCTCTTGGCACAAGAAGTCTTGTCTACCTGGTTGAACCCTGACTGTCAGATGGCATGCCTAAGCTCAATGGCTTTCCATCATCTTACTGAGCAGGTCTAATGTCAGGCCCTAAACCTTCCCCCAACGGAAGGTTTGATGTCATGAGCCTGGCCAGCCTATCCTGAGCTACAACCATGGATAGCACCTCCTGGAATGTTTGGCACTATTTGGAAGAGGTCAAACAAGTAGATATAGATACATTTCAAATAAGAAAACTGTCAGGGAACCAAAGAGCTACCCAAAAGATGGACTTTGAATTTTCCCTCTGCTGGAATTCATTGAGAGATAATACAGATGAAAACAAATAGGCTTTTTTATTTAAATAAAAATAGTGAGGTGGGACATGCCCTAGATATTAAAATATACCAGTAAGCTGAAATAAGTTAGTTAGTACTAAGGTACAATTGCAAAAATGGACAGACACACCAAGAAGAGACAACCTTGATATAGACTTTGATATTTATAATCTATCTATAATAAAGGAGGAATTACAAAGTCAATAAATGGAGTTGGAAATTTTAGTATTTTAGGAAAAAAGAATTGACTTAGATATTCCTCCCAGAGTATTTTACAAAATAATTTCCAAATGGATAAGATGGACACGAGAGTTATGTGTACAAAATGAAACTTAAAACATCACAAGGAATTGTAGAAAGATTTCTATCTAACCTCTACATGGTAAAGGACTATTTAAATTAAACATAAAAACAATGGGGTAAGATCAAATAGATTTAACTAATAAAAATGTAAAACATCTGTATATTTTTTAAAATCAATATTTATCTTCAAAGAGAAACTATGAAAAAAATGGTTATCAAGGAGGGATTCTGAGAAGACAGAAATGACAGTGGCATAGTTTTTAAATCTCCCAGAATTCTGACATAAAACAGATGGAGCTATTAGACAACCAAAAACTATAAAATCCATGGACAACATTTACAAAGTTAAGTGACAAAGTATTCCCACAAACCCTAAAATACAAGCAGATGGGGCAAACCACCAGCGGCCTCAAGATCTTCAAGGTGTCAGCGTATGTGCCAGAGGAAGCTGAGAAAGGAAGGGGAAATCTGACAGATTTGAGAATAGGCCAACCCCAAAACTGGGAAGCAAAGCAGGGTCTCATGAGAATAGCAGTTGGACCTAGGAGGGATTTTACCCAATTGTATTAGTCAGGGTTCTCCAGAGAAACAGAATCAACAGGATGGATGGGTGGGTAGGTAGGTAGGTAGGTAGACAGATAGATAGATAGATAAATAGGAGGAGATTTATTATGGCAATCAGCTCACATGATTATAATGGCTGAGAAGTTCCACAATATGTGGTCTGCAAGCTTTAGGCCCAGGGGAGATGATGGTAAAACTCTCAGTCCAACACCAAAGGCCTAATAACTGGGGAGGCTGCTGATGTAAGTCCCAGAATCCAAAGGCCCAAGGACCAGGAGCTCTGAGGGCAGCAGATCACAATGTCCCAGCTCAAGAAGAGAGAGAGAATTGTCCCTTTCTTCACTTTTTTGTTCTATCAAGTGGAGCCTCAATGGATTGGATGAAGCTCACCCCCATTGGTGAGGGCAGATCTTTCCTCAGACTACTGATTAGAATGTGAATCTTTTCCAGAAATACCCTCATAGACACACTTAGAAATAATGTTTCACCAGCTATCTGGGCATCCCTTAATCTAGTCAAGTTGACACATAAAACTACCCACCACACCATTCCAGTCATGGTGAGTGCAGGGAGGTTTGTAAGGAGTTCTGGAGAGACCAGAGCAGTCTTGTCTTTACACCTTGCCTGCTCTTGAAAGGAGCAGTCAGGGCTCCCCCTGGGAAGGTTCTCAGTAATTATGGAGGTGGTGGTGGTTTTCATACTCTTATTCTGAGGCTGTTGTATGTATAAAATGGGATAATGCAAATTAATAATTATTGAATAGTCTATTATCTCCTGTGTCCTTGAGAACCAGGATTTTGGGTATAGAAGAAAGGAAGTACAGATGTCCTATAGATTAAGTAAAAATCTTATAGTACGGAAATTAAACTGGAAAGTCCGTATGAATTCATGAGGTGTGTGCATGTATTCAGTTCTGCCAGAATATGACATATGCATTCCTAAAAAAAAAAATCACCTCATGGTGCAAAAAATCACAAGATTAAAAACCACTGGGTTTATGGTAAAAAATGTGGGTAAAGGCACAACACTCAAAAGCTTCAGTGACAAATTTTTAAAAGGATATTTATGCAGCCAAAAAACACATGAAAAAATGCTCATCATCACTGGCCATCAGAGAAATGCAAATCAGAACCACAATGAGATACCATCTCACACCAGTTAGAATGGCAATCATTAAAAAGTCAGGAAACAACAGGTGCTGGAGAGGATGTGGAGAAATAGGAACACTTTTACACTGTTGGTGGGACTGTAAACTAGTTCAACCATTGTGGAAGTCAGTGTGGTGATTCCTCAGGGATCTAGAACTGGAAACACCATTTGACCCAGCCATCCCATTACTGGGTATATACCCAAAGGATTATAAATCATGCTGCTATAAAGACACATGCACACATATGTTTATTGTGGCACTATTCACAATAGCAAAGACTTGGAACCAACCCAAATGTCCAACAACGACAGACTGGATTAAGAAAATGTGGCACATATACACCAAGGAATACTATGCAGCCATGAAAAATGAAGAGTTCATGTCCTTTGTAGGGACATGGATGAAACTGGAAATCATCATTCTCAGCAAACTCGCAAGGACAAAAAACCAAACACTGCATGTTCTCACTCATAGGTGGGAATTGAACAATGAGAACACATGGACACAGGAAGGGGAACATCACACTCCGGGGACTGTTGTGGGGTGGGGGGAGGGGGGAGGGATAGCATTAGGAGATATACCTAATGCTAAATGACGAGTTAATGGGTACAGCATACCAACATGGCACATGTATACATATGTAACAAACCTGCACATTGTGCACATGTACCCTAAAACTTAAAGTATAATAATAATAAAAATTTTAAAAGAAGGATATAAATCTAGCAAAAATGACATAGGAGTTATATACATGGTTAAAAATATGCTAAAAATAGGTAAATACTACAATAAATATGGTACCTCACATTGAAAAAGACCTGAAATTTGCTTGTGGAAGTGGGCATTGGAAGGATTGCAGCATGTTCAGTCATCATGAAGGGGTGGAAGAAAGCTTATCTGAAACTGGATGGAAAGTTGTCACATTAGATGTGGATGAATGTGGCTCAGTGTCCTCTGTTGGGCATTGACGCTGAACATGAGAGTTACCTGACCTTCTGTAGCCTTAAATCCTGGGTCATTTTTTTCTGCCTTTGAGGAATGCATTTGTAATAGATAGCCTGTTTGATCAAAATTGAAAATTTTATCTGTTCTCTAGCCTTATTCAGTTAATTTCTGAGTAATTGCTGGACATTCCTTTCCTGCCTTTTCATCTGCACTTGCAACTTTGCCCCTCAGTTGAAAACTCTGGAAATTAGAGTGGTGTTTGAAACCACCAAACCCACTACTCATAGCAGTAAAAGGTGCCGCATCTACTAGATCTGGCAATTTCTGTTTAAGATGTTTATAGAGAGATGGTGTATAGATTGTGCTTCTCTTTGATTTTGAAAAAGTCTATTCTTATTTTTTATTATTTTATGTATTCTTACATGGTTTTGTTCAGCTTGGTGTAGTTTTCTGCATTAGTCGACTATTTCTTCTGTATCAAATAGCCAAACACAAAATTTGTGTAATGCTCCACTTGTTCCCTATCAATTGTGGTTGAACAAATTAGTGTTTTCAAAATAAGTGTTATTGCAGAACAGCTGTGGGTAGATTTTCCCCCAGCTCCTTTAGCTCTGTCCAATGGAAAGGACTTAAAACGATGACTAACCTCGCAGTGGAATACCAATGAGCATCTGTAGCACCATGATTAAGATCTCAAAATACTATATCCCATTAAAAGAAATCAGGGTTTCTTAAAGAAATGGCTGGTTTCAGTCTGGGACAGGGGATGGGTCTGGAACATCTTGTTATTCCAGATAGCAAGGAAGCTATCAAAGACTACTACGGTCATGTCAAAAGGACTCAGGAGCCAATTGAAGAAGCTCTTGCTGCCAAAGATGAGACATTTGTATCTCAAAACAAATTTTTCAATTGTATATACATATTTAATCCATCTAATACGTTTAAATCCATGAGTTCCTAATGATATTTGAAAAACAAAACAAACTGGCTGCTTTGGGAGGATAAAAAGCACCTACTTATTATCTTGAAAACTGATAAATAAAGGCAAAGAATCAAGCATTTATCCTGTCTTTCTTTTGTGAACCGTACCACTGGGTAACAAAATCAGAGAGGAGAGAAAACATCTCTTTGTGGAAGTATTCCAACTAATACATGAAAAAGAAATGATAGAATTAGAACATTCTCATTTTGCAACCCCCAGTGAATTAATGGATCTAGGCACTGAACTTCAACAGCTGCTAACATCACAAAAGGGAGACATGCAGACGGTATTTGCCTCCTAACAAAAATCACAACACCATCTATAATCTTGCCAAGGGGATCAAACTTAAGCCTAATCAAGCCTTTGGATCCAGCTACCAATTTGCAGAAAATACAGAGCTCAGAAGAACATATTGAACTGTTTCTTAAATACACAATCAGCAAAATCCAGACTGTGAGAAACTTTACAGGTTAACGTTTTCGGGTTCTTAAACAAAACAAAACAAAACAAAACAAAACAAAACAAACTATAAGAATAAGAGAAAGTCTAGGTGGAACTTCTAAGTTAAAAATATTTAAAAGACATAGCAAATTTTTAAAAATAGGCAAAGCTAAATTACAGTGCCTTAGGGATGCACTTTTTGTGATAAAGCTATAAAGAAATGCAAGGAAGTGGTTGCTGTAAGAATCAGGGTAGTCAGTAATTAAGTTAACCTAGAGAAAATTACAGAAACTCTATTTCTTTACAATTGTGTGTGTGGATTGAAAGTCATGCTCACTACATGCCTACTGAGCCATGCTTTTCCTGATCTGCCTTCTTTCAGGACAATGCCTAGGTTTGCATCTCTAGCCCAATGTGTAGCACGTGCATTAGCAACCACAGGGCCTAACACTACACAGGGTTTCACCTGTGTTGAATGGTTTGCTACTGGGCTAACCCTTTGCCATCCTCCTGCAGGCTAAGGCAGTTCCCTGGGATGAGCAGAGCAGCCACTTTATTCCTAGATCTCCTCTCTAAGGTTATGAGAAGACTCAGTGTTTGCTTTTCTTCCCCCCACATCCAGAAAAACAAAAACAACAACAAAAAAAAAACAAAAGCAAATGCTGGGCCTGCCCGAGATTTTTCCTCACTATCCTTGCAAGAGCCCAGGAGTCCTATTTGGCTGTTTCATGACAAGCCAATTAGGTAAAGATTGTTAATCAGAGTAATGAGGGGAGAAGGGACTGGAGGAAAGGAAGGAGGACAGGAGTGTGGCAGAGGCAGCTGCAGAAGACAGAACTACCCCTCCCGCTCTGCTCTGATGTTTTATTCAGGCTGTTTGCAAATGAGCCAGTGGAAACAGCATTAACAATAAATGAGATGCATTAGACTGAGAAGGGGCTGGGAAGGGAGATTTGAGGGTCTTTCCTTGCCAGCCAGGCTCACGGGCTCCCTGTTGGGTCGACAAAGGTGAGTCCTTCTCAGGCGGCCTTACCTGCTGGCCCACCTGTACTCTGGCTTTCTGAAAAGGTTTATGTCCCATTTAGCAAATAATACCAAGAAGCTCAGAGGCTTTTCTAGCAAGTGAGAGCCAGCCTAAAAGGCCTATCCAACATACTAACACCTGATGGCAGGAAAATTTTACTCCCAGCCTCATCACTAAAGTGGTCACAATTCAAATGACCTGTTAGGTAGTTTTAGGTCCTCCACTTTATTAAAATAATGAATACTTGATTTATGCTTTATAATTAACCAAGCACTTTCCATCACAAAACATTTCTCACAATAACCCTGTCAAGGAGTGGGAGTGATCCATTTTATAAATAAACCGAGCAAGGTTACCCAGGGCCTGAAAGACCTCACTTTCAGAATTCCATTCATTTTTTCCTTTCGGACAATTTCCATGAGATCAAATGCCCCCCACCTACCAATTTACCCAGACTTGTATAGCTCCTTCTTTTCATTCAACAAAAATGTACTAAATAGCACAGGGGCTGAGCTAGGCCTCCGGAGCACAGGAAATCCCAGTGGCCAAAACATCATGTTTGATTCTATAGGCTATCAAGCTGCCAGTTTTCCTCCGATATGGATTCTGATTCTACTACAATTAGTACTTCCCAATTTAAAAATGATGGCAGTTGTCATTCATTAAGCACACACTAAGGGCTAGGCTCTGTGGTAAACAACCTACAAATGCGATTTCATTTAAAGCTTTGAGTCTATGTCCCTTAACCCCAGACAGAGCTCATGGTCAGAAACCATATGCTGCCAACACAACACTTTTTCCTTTTTTTTTTTTTTTTTGAGATGGAGTTTTGCTCTTGTTGCCTGGGCTGGAGTGTAGTGGCGCGATCTCGGCTCACTGCAACCTCCACCTCCTGGATTCTCTTGCCTCAGCCTCCCTAATAGCTGGGATTACATGTGCCCGCCATCAGGCCCGGCTAATTTCTTTTGTATTTTTAGTAGAGACAGGGTTTCACCATGTTGGCCAGGCTTGGTCTTGAACTCCCGACCTCAGGTGACCCACCCACCTCAGCCTCCCAAAGTGCTGGGATGACGGGTGTGAGCCACTGTGCCTGGTAAACACTTTTTATAATAAAGGGAGCAAGCTTTCCTTTTCCCCATTGAATCCCACCCTTTCACAACCTCAGTGAAACTACTCCCGGTAGTGAGACACGTTCCAGTTGTCTGACTTGGCAGCATGATTCCTCCAGGGTAGCTCTTCCACTGTATTTCTGCTTCACACCCATCAGCATCATGGGCAAGGGTCTCTCCAGCAAAGGGTGGTTAAAGAAGGCCAAGTTTCATTTCGTAGCTTAGACAAAACAAACCTCTGGCACATAAACATTGGATTCCTGTTGGTCAGGCCAACGAGACCCAGGAAGACTTAGAGTGATATTCCCTGGCACCCATGTCTCTCAAAGGTCTCCCCTAATATCCCCAATATACCAGGAAGGCATAAAGGAAGGAAAAGATGTCTATCAGAGAGAAGCAGAGCTCCAGAAGACAATTGTTTACCTTGCGTTGCTTTTCAGCGTAGGGACCTCAGTGCGGCAGCAGCATCCTCATCACCAGGGAGCTGGTTAATAAAGCGGAAACTCCAGCTGCACTCCAACCTCCTCCATCAGAGCCTGTGCGCTAACATTTTCAGGGGAGTGGAATACACGTTGGAGTTTGAGAGGCACTGAGTTAGAACACGTGGGGAGAGACTACAGTGTAGTGCTGTGGTTCTCAAGGTATGGGGCCCCAGAGACCAGCAGCATCGGCATTACCTACTTTGAAAACACAAATTTTTGAGCCCCACCCCAGGCCAATTGAATCAGAAGCTCTAGGGGTGGGCCCTCACCATCTGTGTTTAACAAGCCCTCCAGGTGATCCTGATGCATGCTAAAGTATGAAAAGCCCTGGTATAGACAATCAGTTTTCCAAGCCCTGGCTCCCCTACTTCTGACTCATCCCTTAGGCTGCACTCTTGGCTGACATTTGGGGGAATGGAAGGAAGGCCTTGTATACTTGGTTTTCCCCCTTCCATTTGATTTCCCTGGGGACGGTTCTTAAAACTCAAGCTTCTGAACAAAAAGTCTGTCTTGCTTGTGATTTAATCCTTCATTTGCATTGCCAACAACTAATGGGAAGAAAGAAGTTCCAGGAGACCAACTGGCTTTTTAGTACTGCATTGTATATGATCAGAAGCAGGCCTGGGAATGGAAGACTCAGGTTTCCCAGCCCAAGAATAAACAAGGGCATGAAGCCACAAGGAAGGGGGGCTTTGGTGGGGCTCTCCCAGGTCACAGGCTGGGGGTGTGGGTGGGCATGTACACAACACTGGCACAAGATAGAGCCAGATGGGAGAGAGTATCTACACAGACAGAAGAGGCAAGAACGTGTGGATACCCTCCTAGTCCACAAAATCCGAGAATTGTCAGCTGTCAGACAACAACACAGTCCACCTCCCACTCTGATCAGTACCACACCTACATCTCTCCAGACTGAGGACCTCCGTTTCTTCAGTCTGTGGTGGTGCCCTCACCACCCGCTGATATTAAAAGAAAGAGCACAATAGTGTCCATCCATTCATTCAACAAGTCTTTGCTGAGACAGGCCTAGATGCCAGACACAACGCCAGGTGCACAAAGACACGACTCCCAACTTCAAGGAGTGTACATTCTAGTGGAGGAGATAAGCCTCAATTTTTTAAGTATATAGTCACCACAACATGTGGCCATGTTGGGGGATTGTGTGACAGGGAACCTGGCTTAGTCTCAGGTCAGTGAAGGCTCCTTTAAGGAAGGAGACTGTTGGAGTTTGGGTTCTGAAGAATGCACAGGAGTTAACTAGGCAAAGGCAAGTGTTCATGGTGGTAAGGAGAGCATCACAGGCAAAGAAAAAGGACATGAGCTGAGACAGAGCATGGCAAGTTTAAGGATCAGAGAAAAGCACCATAAAGAGACTCAGGTCATGACAGAGGGAGGTGGCATCAGATGGGCACAGAAGTGGTGGGCAGGACTAGGCCACAGGTTTGTAAAGCTTTGAGTGTTTATCCTAAAAGTGATGAGGAGCCTTCAAAGGATTTTAAGTAGGAGAGTATCAGGGACAGATTTCCATGTTGTAAAGCTTACTCTGGCTGTGCCATGGAGAGGGAAGTGCTGATTCAGGAGTATAAGCAACTATGAAGCTGTTGCAGTTGTCCAGGGGCCTAGGACCAAGTGCTGGTGGTAGAGGTGAGCAGAGGAGTGCAGATCAAGGAGAGACTTGGATGACATCCTTAGGCTTTGGATATGGATTGGACATTGGTAAGGTGTCCAGGGAATCTCTTAGTCACTAGGCTGGGCTGAAAATGGAGTGAGAGCTGGACAGGAAGAGAGGCAGTCACTTAGCTACAGATGTAGAAGAGATGCACCCAGAAAGAACACATGATGAAAACTAGGACAGTCTGCAGGGAGTAAGACTCACTTAGCAGTTAATTAAAGTAGGTGTCCAAACAGCTCTCAGTTATTTGCGTTATCCAATGTGTTAATTAGGGTTTGTTCCTCCTATTGCAATCTCTGGGCTTTGTTCATTTACATCTTCACCAGTAGGTGGTAGGAGAAGGGAAGCGGGACTTGGGGGACCCAGTTCACTTACTCAATGTATGCCTTGTGGAGAGATGAACACTAAGTGGCCTCATCTACTTGGAATGCCAGCTTATTGCAACTATTTGGCTTACAGAACAACAATCCTGTCCCTGAAGAGGAGAGCTGCATATAAATGCAGTTTACATATCCAGTAACTTTCTGCAACCATCCCTTAATGAATTAGTCAAACCTCCAGGCATCCAAATTGGTTCCTATGATCCTTTCATCTTCCAGGTTGTTTGCCTTTAAAGTTTAGAACTGGATTGAAGAGTATTTATAGCAATGGGACATTTTTGTGAGCCTGAGGAAAGGGGTCTTTGATAAATCAACACTAGAGAATTGTAGAAAAGGAATGCAGCCGGAGGAGTCTTTCAGGCAGGTTTGCAATGACTTCTTGTGCCGTCTTTTGGAAAGGTGCGAGGGCAGCAGCCACCCTGGGCTTGGAGATTGTGTGGAAAAGAGAATCCAAAACTACAGTAAAATTTTAATTGTATGCTTGATCTGTTTCAGGATGAAGAATTAAGACAGATTTAGGTTTCTGTTTTCTTCAGGGTTCGGGCAGGAATCAAACAGTACACTCAGAAGAGAAGGTTGAAGAGAAATGAATGAAGGAACTATTTCTAAGGCTGTGAGCAGGGAAAAGGGAAGCCAGTGAGGGATAGTGAAGCACAAACTATCCAGAAACCACCAACACCCCAAGGCATGAAATGAAAAGAGGAGAGAGTGGGTGGTTGTTTGTCCAAGTGTGGCAGGAAGCTGCCTTGAATCTGCAGAAGAATGGATCCACTGCCAACTACAGTTCAACCAGGAGAGATCCTGGAAGGCAAATTCCCAGACCTCAACCACAGGTGTCTCCCATTGGTCCACCCAAAGCAGAAACTGATGAGCCTGGAGCGCACTGACTCACCCCACAGGCAGCCTCCCGGGCACAGAGCAAGTTCAGAGAAAGGTGCAAAGTGGACACATGGGGGCAAGCAGAGAAAACCCAGCACATGGGTGGGCCAAGAAACTGGTTCAGATTTGCAAATCTAGGCAGATTAATATATTTATATGGGTCTGTGAGTTTCACTGCCAAGGCAGTCTTGGTTTCATAATGATACAGTATAGCGCATGTTGCTAGTATTAAACAACCAACGGAAGACAGAGCTGCTAGCCCGGGATGTGCCTGGGGTGAGGTGGGGAGGGAACTGTGCTGAACAGAGCTGTCTGTTGTTTCCTCGGTTTCCCCTCTGAAGTCAGCTGTGCCTCTGGCCACGGGGCTCTTTTGTTCTTCCTCCTCTCCCCACTCCTCCACCAAAGGAGACAGGGCTTGAATTATTGATGAAATCAAAAGAATAAGCTTGGGGATTGCATGTTTCCATCTTGCCTGTTGTTTGTCTGGTAAATAACGTGTTCTCTGTAAAACCTAAGCTTTTATCTCAGGTGTGCTGACCAGATTGAAGCCGGCCTCGAAGCTTCCCTTGGAGAAAGCCGGCTATGATCCTGGCTCACTCCAGTCTTCTCTCTTTCCATATGCAGATAAAAGAGTCCAACAGCACACTTTCCCCGTGGTTTCCCACACCACTGTGGAACACACGCAGAAACAGACTTTGCTCCTGGTCTTTTCCGTGACCAGATACATGCTCCCCTCCCCAAGACCTGCTAATTTCAGAGTAGTTACCTGTTCCCTTTGGTGAGGCAGGGAACCCTCAGGGTCCCAGTAGAGGAAGACCCGCTCAGACACTGCCCTCTGCTGGAAACTATTGGGACTGCTCCATCCTCCCTGAGGGGTCCTGCCGGGTTCCAGAGAAAGGGACCTTCACTCCTTCTACCTGGTTGCAGATACACCTGCAACATAGGTAGGGACTGACTTACCTAGAAAGCTTCTCTCATTAAGGTCTTAGACGAAAAAAATTTGAGTAGGAGGTGGGAGGATTTTTTATGATTTGATGTGGAAAAAGATTTCTAAACGACACGAGAAACAAAACACACACAAAAAACTGATACATTTGACTACATCAAAAACAAAAACTTTTGTGTGACAGAAGACAACATGAGCAAAATTAAAAGACAAAAGGAGAAAATACTTGTAACAAAGGATAAGTATCTAGATTATATAAAGAACCTCTACAGATTGAAAAGAAAACAAACAAAAATCCAACAGAAAAATATTCTAAAGATATAAAATTGTAATTCACAGAAAAGAAAATATAAGTGGCCCATAAGTGCATGACAATAATACTCTGTCTTACCAGTAATCAGGAAAATAGAAATTCAAACATCAGAGAGAGATTTTGTTTTAACCTGCTAAATTAGAAAAAATTAAAAAGGGCATGGGAGAAAAGATATTCTTTACTCTCTAGGTAGGATCATAAGCTGGTATAATCACTTTGCAGAGAAATTTGGCAATATCTAAAAAATGCAAAATATTCATACTCTGATCCAGTGAGTCCACTTCTCCATATCTACCCCAGAAAAACACTTTACCCATGTGCCCAGCAAGTTTGTGGCAGCTTTGTTTGCAAAATATCAAATGTTAGGTGCAGAAATAACTGAAATTAGCATAAAAATGGGGTTGGTTAAATAAACTATAATTCATTCATCATATATATATTTTATATATATTATTTATATATTATATATTATTTATATATTATATATAATATTTATATATATTAGATATTATATATAATATCTAATATATATAAAATACATAAATAATATATATTATATATATATAGCAGTGTTTTAAAATATATATACTATGTGTACTGACATGGAAAGATCCCCAAGACCTATTGTTGAGTGAACAAAAATCAAGCTGCAGACTGACACACCCTATGATAACTTATATGTAAAACACCCAGGCATATTAAACAATATTTTTTCTATGGGTATAGATACTATGGTCTTTAAAGCATGGAAAAATGCACAGGACGTATAACACTGATACCAAGAGTTACCTCTGGGGCAGAGATGAGGATTGGAGCTGGTGGTCAAAGGGGATTTCAGCCTTATCTGTAATTTTTTTTTTAGTAAAAAGAATGTGTTAATGTATTATATGTGTAATTAAAATTAATAAAAGCTATTCTTATATTAAAAAGGAGAAAAATCTCTCTTCCTCCTTATTAAAGCATCTGCAACAGCCAGGAATCATTGAGCTATGAGTAAAACGCTGCCTTAGGTGATTTGTCAGGGGACCTGCTAAGTAGAGGGCAATGTGGTTGTCCTGGAGACAGCTGTCTTCAACACAAACCATCCTGTGCATCTATCTACACATGTCGGATATGTAACCATATCCCATTCAATGTCATACTTTTAAATCTCGGTTCACAAACTCAACAGTAATAACTTCTAACACAATGAGAGCAGTCAGTATTAAAATCTAGTATCTCATTTAAACTTTTACTCTTTCTCTCTCCCCACCCCACCCCCAGATGAGTTTACTTAGATTTAGAGATGTTAAATAGCCTGTCCAAAGTCAGTTGACTAATATGTAAGAATTTTTCCTACCCCAGAGGCCATTCTTTTCAACCATTTAAACTATGTTACAAAGTGATAAACGCCTTTGTCAACTTCAGCCAGGTAAGGGAGGCTGAGGCAGGAGGATTGTTTGTGGTCAGGAGTTGGAGACCAGCCTAAGCAACACAGAGGAAACTCCATCTCTAAAAGAAAGAAAGAAATGTCAGTTTTCTGTCAAAAGCTTTTGTGGGTTTCCCTGCCTCACATGCCATGCCTATTTGCTGCATTGCTCTGAATCAAAACAGCAGCTGGTTCATTCTGGGAGAAAAATCTAGCATAAGAAGAGGTGTTATTTGGGTCCCAGTATAACTAAGAAGCTCAAAGACAAATACGCATTAAAGGAACAATTAAAAATTTAGGAATAATCCTCAACCAGAAGACTACTTCAAATGCATTAAAAATAAAGTTTAGGAACAAAACTAATCAATAATAGCAAAGGTGAAATTTCGATAATAATGCAAACCTTGCAAGGTTCTCATAGGATACAATTTGCTCCATTTTCCAAATTCTGCAAATTTCTTATATCAACACGAAATGCGTTCCAGTGATGCAGCCTTATCCTCACCACTGAGCCATTCCTGCCAGGCAAAAACAATGCAACTGAGCGGCATCAGAGATTACAGAGATATGGCCCTGGCAAAGGCCCACCAGCAGGGCTCTTGGGTTCCCTCTGAAGCAAAGAAAGGCAGCCCTCTGCTTGCTGGGGAAGACGGCTTTCAAAGGATGTTTCCAGAATAACTCATGAGTGGATGGGGGCACCAGGTTTACAAATGAGAGTTGTGATTTCCCACTTACAATGAATTTTTAAAAAATGAATTAATTCAAAAAAATGAATTAATCTCTGTTGGATTTCTTCTTAAGAACAGGTGTGTCTATGAATAATACATGGTGGGGCAGGCAATGCATGGGTCTGAAGACCCAGAAGCCTGAACGCAAATGAGTCCCAGACTGTCAAGATTAAAAGGTAGATTTTAAGGAGCATCACATAAGCGAGAAAAAATCTGGGAGAGCACAAAAACTACTCTGCAAATAATAAGCACACATCTAAGCCCCTGGCTAAGAACACAAACACATCTCTTCTCAGATAGTGGTAATTGAAAGTCACTAGGTTCCCATATGAGGAAGGAGGAGATAAATTAAAAAACGTAATCTAAAATAAAGATTAAAACATTAGGGTTTTAATGAATGATGTTTCAGGACAGAGAATTAAGGACATTTACATCTTCCTCTCTAGTTTGGAACTTTAACTTCTTAAACTCATTAGGCCCAGGCGTGGTAGCTCACGCCTGTGATCCCAGCACTCTGGGAGGCCGAGACGGGTGGATCACCTGAGGTCAGGAGTTTGAGACCAGCCTGGCCAACACGGTGAAACCCCGTCTTTACTAAAAATTTAAAAGTTAGCCAGGAGTGGTGGTGGGTGCCTGTAATCCCAGTTACTCAGAAAGCTGAGGCAGGAGAATTGCTTGAACCTGGGAGGCAGAGTTCTTGCCATTACACTCTAGCCTGGGCAACAAGAGTGAAACTCTGTCTCCGTAATAATAATAATAATAAAACTCATTAGGCACTGGCACAAGAGGAGCCATGGTCAGAGCAGCAGATGTGGGGTGGGGTGGGGGCTGCAGAACTCCTGGGTCCCCTCCAGGATTTCACTCCCTGGCCTCCCAACAGCTCAGCTCTGCCTGGCTCTGCCCACCAAGGCTGAGAAGATGCTTTGTTTTGTTTTTTTTCAGTTTGTTAAACAAGAAATAATATCATGGCATCGTACGGTTTGGGGTTTTAAATGTCAGCAAAACCCTTGTAATGTAGAATTTCTAACTGGCAGTGTCTCAGTCTAGAGCTGTTTGGGGAAAACAAGATGTTGAAAACTGTGTCCCTGGCTGGCCTCAAGAGCATACAGAAGGATCTCCCACTCCTTGATTTGGTCCTTCTAAGACCTGTGGTGTCCCCAGATAAAAAGGAAGCTATGAGGATCACGGAGACGACAGTAAGTAACATGCTGTTTGAAGGAGGGGTAACCTGAGATCTTGACAGCTTTACCGTGCATGCCTGCATGCATGAGCGCACACACACACACACACAAATGCATGTTTCTTTTCAGCTCTGTTGGAGCAAAGAATTTTCACAGATAAAGGATTTGGATTTTTATCTTGTCCAGGTGCCTTTGGGTATTGTCTCAAGACAGGACAAGGTTTGGTCCCTTTAGCCTTGTCCCATTTGGAAGTATACACAAACAAAATATTGCTCCACTCCCCTTCCTTCCTCCCTCCCCATCCCTTCAAGTAAAATGGCCCACATGTAGGAGCAGAAGCTATTTGGAGCTGTGGCAGGAGGCACATTAATATGTGAACTGAAAACAGACCCCTTAGAAGTCTGCCCACATTGCAGAATTGGAAATAGATGAACTTCTTTCCCATTACAGCAACAATACCACAAGGCAGGATTTGTTTGCAAGATAATAAATTGGCAAACAAGCCGGGACTAGATGGTGGCTCCTGCCTCCCTCTGCAGCCTGAGTAGCGCTGAAGGAGAAAAGCAACCAAGGCTATGGCAGGCCCCGAGGAAAGCCAGGACAAGGGGCTGCATAGAACACCGCCCACAGCCTCTGCTCCCACCCCAATATCTCATTCCTGGCCACTGGCCTTTCAGATAGAGGTCCCCTTGAGTGTGTCACTTGTGGCTGGAGCCTGGTAGGGTCAGGTAGCTTGCCCTTTAGTCTGGCCCTAATGGGGCCATTCCTCATGGTGACAGAGGCAGCACAGTGGACGGAGACTGAGAGAGCCCAGACTGCCATGTGCAACCCCACCTTGAATTCTGACTCTGCTACTTATAAACTATGTGACTATGTGGACTTAGACAAGCTAATTAACCACTGCAAGCCTCAAAATCTCTTATCTGTAAAATGGGTATAATATTATCTACCTCACAAGGTTATTCTAAGAATTAAATGAGAAACTGCATGAAAACTCCTTAGCATATTGCTAGCATAGAACTTAAATGCTCAATAAATGTTGCTAATATTATAATTGAGATCCCCTAACAAAAATCTTCTTGCTCAAACATAAATATCTTCCCTAGAAGAGAACCTGGTACAAGCAGACCCAAGTGTTATCAGCTCATATATCTCTAGATCAAACTGTCTGATTTATTGCTATGTGCCTCAGAGACTTGCAGAGTATCAGCCTCACTGTAAGTTAAATGAATTAAAGTTTCATTTAAATCTAAGTGTAAATAGCCACACGTGCCTAGCGTAGAATGCCTTCAAAGATGTCCATATCCTGATTCTTGGAATGTGTTTACATACGAACTGGCAAAGTGGAACTAAAATCGTAGATGGAATTAAGATTGCCAATTAGCTGACCATAATGTAGTGAGATCAGCCTGTGTTCTCCAGGCCTGCCCAGTGTAATCACATGAGTCTTTAGAAGTGGGAGAAGGAAGCAGAAAAGGTCAGAGTGATGTGATATAAGGACTCCATCCATTGTTGCTGGCTTGGGAGATACAAGGGGGCCAGGAGCCAGGGAATGCTGCTGGCTTCTAGGAACTGAAAAAGGCAAGAAAATAGATTCTGTGTTAGAAATTCAGAGGGGAACACAGCCTGCTAACATCTTGATTTTAGTTCAGTGAGACCCGTGTCAGATTTCTGACTCTGGAATGTAAGATGATCAATCTGTGCTGTGTGAGTACTCTGTTTGTGGTAATTTGTTACAAAAGCATAGGCAACCAGTACAGAGGGGAGGATTTCAACAGCCGAGATCGGGGTAGCATCCTGCAGGAGGGACTGAGGAAAGGCAGTGGCCCTGAAGAATAAGACACACCCAGAAGGTGGACTGGAGGAGCTAGGGTAGGAAGGAGGCCTGGGAAGAGGGAAGGCATCATGGCAGCAGAGTCTAATAGTCCAGGGACAGGGTGGCATCTTTACTCGGAGGCCCTGCAAAGGCATTAGAGCACATGCAGTGTGTCTCTACTTGCTCTCTGCTGCTGTGAGTGATTTTCTGATACCTCTCTCCTGACATTTCTCCAGGCCCTCCTGCACCCTGTTTAGCACCACCTGAGGCATGCCACCCAGTCACACAGACCTTTAATAATGAGTGAAACAGTAGCAGGTGTCAGAGCTGAGAGAGGAAAAAGATCTCAATTCCCACCGGAGGACGGAGATCATTTTATGCATTTCCATTTAAAGGGAGAAGTGAACAGCATGAAATCACATGCCAACGGGGAGAAAGAGTTTAAACCAGGATGACCTTGGCAGGGACAGGCGCCAGCAGCTTCCAGGTCATGGCTCCCCAAACTGAGCTTCTGGGGAGAAATGGGGCACGTGCACAAGGCCACCATCCTGTCCTGACTTCTACCCTGAGCCCCAGCTCCAAGCCCTGCTGGCCTGCCTGACGTCTTTACTTGGATGTGCCTCAGGTACTCAGCTCATCCTGCCCCAAACTCAGCTTGTCACTTGTTTTTCCAAATATGCTCCTCTTCTCACATCATGACTTCTTTTCAAGCCAGAAACCTGGAGTCTGCCAGGGCTGCTCTTTCCCTCATATCCCCGACCCTACTGCATCATCCATGGCTACTCAGCATCTTACAGCCCAGTCAGTTCTGTCCCTGCCCCTTCATCCCCACTGCCAATGACCTTCATCCAGCTCTCATCATCTCACGTGTGGACCAGTGCAGTAGCCTCTTGACTGACCTCCACTCCAACTCTCTCTCTAATCCAGCCTCTCTTTTGCTCCCAGAATGTTTTACCCCCTAAAGTACAAATCTGATGATGGAACTTCTCTTCTTAAAATCTTTGAGTAGTTTCTCTTCACTGTCAGGATAGACCCCAAATTCAGGCTGGCAAACAAGGCATTCCAAACCTTGCTCCTGCCTAGTTATTCAACTTTATCTGCTCATCTACTGACCACCCTCTGTCTTCACTCCCAAATTTTGCCTTCAAGGTCCCAGGCTATTTCACACACTGTGGCTTTGAAAAGTCTGTCTCTTTGCCTTGTCTCCCTGGTGAATTCTTACTTGTTCTCCCAGGCCCACCTCGTGCACCCCTACTGGCCCCTCTGCCAACTCTCTTGCCCTTGGCTGTTTCCTCCTTCACACCAGTGTTGCACTTGTGCACTCACCTCTCTGCCTCCCTAACTGTTTCCTGGAGAGCAGGGACTGTGTCTTGTTCGTCTTTAGATCCTCAGGGCCTAGGACAGTCCCTGGCCCTGGCCCAAAAGCCTGGAGGGGTGCCTTTGGAATGCATGAACCTGTAAATGGGAGAGGCTGTGGAGGGAACTTGCAGACAGCTGGGGAGACTTGGTGAAGTGAAGAAGAAAAGACACTTCCCCATGCGGACATGGAGCCCCTGCCTGAGACGAGCCCTGGGCCTCCAGATCAAGGGGATAAACTGAGTGTCAACATAGAATCCATAAGACTAACAGATGAACTATCCAAATATAAATATCCACCTCAATGGTGTCACAAAAGAAGAATTACTGCCTGTTCCTGGGATTGGAGAGGGGCCAATTCTTCATTTTGCTTTCTTCTGGAGAGTAGCATAAATTGGACTCAGGCCCACCGGGCTTCAGGATCTGTAAGAGCCAGGAGCTAAGGACGTCGGAAACATCTCTGTGGCACCTGGGGTTCTATTTACACAGGAAGCTGAATGCTGACCTCACTCACTTTTTTATTATTATTGAGATAAAATTCACATAACATAAAATTCACCTTTTTAAAAATGTACAGTTCAGTGGCTTCTAGTACATTCATGATGTTGTGCAACCATCGCCATTATTTAATTCCAGAGCATGTTTACCCCCAAGGGAAAACCTGTACCCATTAAGTTTTCACTGCCCAATCCCCTCTCCTCCCAGCCCCGGGTAGCCGCTAGTCTATCATCTGTCTCTACGGATTTTCCCATTCTGGCTATTTCATATAAATGGAATCATGCAATATGTGGTCCTTTGTGTCTGGCTGCATTCAGTTAACATAGTGTTTTTGGGGTTCATCCATGTTATAGCATGTATCAGAGCTTCATTTCTTTTCATGGCTGAACCATATGCCACTGTGGATATTACCACATTTGTTTATCCATTTGCCAGCTGGTGGACATTTACGTTGTTTCCACTTTTTGGCATTTATGAATATTTGGCTGCTGTGAACATTTGTGTACAACTTTTTATGTGAATATCCATTTTCAGTTCTCTTGGGTATATAGCTAGGAGTGAACTTGCTGGGTCAAATGTTTACCATTTGTTGAGGAACCCCAAATGTGTCTTCCACAGTGGCTGTACCATGTTATATTCCCAACAGTAGTGTGTGAGGGTTCCACTTCACCCACTTTTAAACATCTTAGGTGTCTAATTCCTAATGTCGGGTTTTCTCTGGTAGACCCTGAAAAAATACAACCAACTGGAGAGCAACAGAGTCAGAATTTAACACCTGAAATGGAGAAATAGCATCAGGCTGAATCTGAGCTTATCCCTGATGCCTCTAGCCATGTACCTCCCAAGATGTGTTCTCTGCAGCCATCACATGAGGCAGGGTTCTGTGCAGCTCAGAATAGCAAGGGCATCACATGCTCTGTCTCCTAGATCGATTAGGTAAGAATGCCCACGTGTGGCATCTCTATTTTCTCCCATTTAGAAAGCCGATGAGGAAAATAAGTGAGTCCTACTAGTGAGTAGGAAGGAGAGGAAACAGGCCAGATTCCAGGAAACAATTTTATTTATCAGAAATTAGGAGTCTTTTCTGTGGAAGCCAGAGGGCTGGAAGAATCCTCAGGGGTAGGGCAGGTGCATCAGCAGGGGCGCAGGAGGGCTGGCTACCAGGTTAGCAAAGAGCAGGTTTGGCCCAGTCTGAAGTTGGGTGATATGCAGAAGTCTAGGCAGGTGGGAGGTCTGAAAGCACCAACTGTAGCCCAGCCTCAAGGTGTGAGTCTGAGCAGCAGGTGCAGGCCTGGGTGACAAATGAGAACATGGCAGTGTTCTGCAGGCCCCAGAGGCAAGCCCACAGCCACACTCAGCACTGCCTGCTGGTCCAGCTTTATAGCAGCCACTCTCCCTCCCCAAACTATGCGCTGGCAATAAAAAGGAGGGTATCTCTAAGTCCATGAACATGGTGTGCCCTCTCATCTCATCTCCCATCATTCACACATGATCTTTTCAGCTGCCTGAAAATTTACACTCTCAACCCCCAATCTCTAAAATACTCCGATGTATTCTTCCAGTCTCAGCTCAGGCATAGCGCCTCTGTGAAGCCTTCCCTATGCCCTCTGAGAACCTGGGTGCCCCTTTCCCCATGCCCTTGATCTGTAGCACCATGCCCATGATGGCCTCCATCTCACTGTCCTGATCCGTGGTGTCTCCTCGCTACATGGCAAGCAATGCCGGGTGGGAGACACAACCTTTCCACCTGTGCAGTCCTGGCCCCTAGCACAAAGTGCCCAGTGCTCTAGGGGCTGACTGTTTGCAGTCAGTCTGGCTGCTGGGGAACTGCACAGGGATTCTGTTGCAGAGCCTGGAATTCCAGTAGGGACTTCACTAAAAGGAACGTGACCGGCATTTGTGACGGAGAGAACCAGGCTAGGGCTTCAGGACAAGACCAGCCACAGGCTAAGTGATGATGTTCTAAGCCAGGCGTTGGCAAACCACAGCCTTACAGGCCAAATGCAGTCCACCATTTGTTTTTATATGTCCCAAGAGCTAAAAATGAATTTTACATTTTTAAATGATTGAGCAAAATCAGAAGAAGAATAATACTTTATGATATGTGAAAATTATATAAAATTCAAATTTAGTGTTCATAAAGTTTTAAATTATCTCAATAGAAATGTGTAGCAATGTATTTTCTCTCCTGTTACATGATTATGTGCATAATATCCTTAATTTTTCCTCTTAGCTCAAAAAGCTTAAATTATTTAAATCTGGCCCTTTACACAAGCAATTTGCCAACCCCTTCTCTAAGCAGTTAGCCTCAGGATGCTCAGTCTTCCCACCTCCCAGATCCCCCACCCCGAATACCAAGGCCAAGCAGACCAACTCTCCCTCCTAGAATGGCAACATTTTCAGTGGGGAAGAAAAAAGCCAGCCGTGACACCACCTCCCCAAGGCTGAACTCAACAGCTCCAGCACTTTCCCTACCCCCACACACTCATGTCCTGTTACCAAAGGGCTTCAGGAAAATACAAAGCAACTCCAACTCACAAGAAGATCCATAGCCCTCCATGTGATCAATGACTAAAGCACGATAGTCCTAAAATCTATTTAAGGAGCACTTACTACATGCCAGGCACAGTGTGGGGCATGTTAAAGACACATCTCAAATACTTGCAACCCTCTTAAAATTTCTCATTGTTGTACCTCTCACATACATGGCAGAACAAAAATGTTGGTCCCCTTTCCCTCTTTGATTCTTTTTTATCAACACCCAGAGTGGAAAGGGAATCTTTAGCAAAACACATCAAAGTGACACTAATTTACATAGCATTTATCACGAGCAAGGCATAGTTTTAAATCAGGGTTTCTCAGGCTTGTCACTACTGACATTTGGGGCTGGATCATTCTCTGACGTAGGGGCTGTCTTGTGCATTATAAGATGTTCAGCAGAATCCCTGGTCTTTACCCACTAGAGAGATGCCAGCAGCACTCCTCCTCAAGTTAGGACAACCAAAAATGTCCCAGACCTTGCCAAATGACCCCTGGGCTAGGGGACAGGAATTGCCCCCAGTCAAGAATCACTATTCTAAATATTTTACATATAAATTTATAAAAACTCTATTAATAAACCCTATTATTACTCTCATTTAAGAGCTAAGTAATCCTTGGCACAGAGAAGGCAAGTAACTTCTCCAAGATCACATAGCTAAGAATGATAGAGTGAGATTTGAACCCGTATAGTTGGTCTCCTGCATCCATGCTATTAGTAATATCAATTTTAGCAGGTCTCAGAACCTGCTGAGTGACCCTCACACAGAGAACAGTAGGAGGTTCCTCTGCTGCCCTTGTAGGGTAAAACCAAAATTGAGGATCTCTTTGGCTTTGACCAGCAAGATAAGACTGGAGTCTGAGGGAAGGGAAAGGGCTAGAAAAGGGAAGCAGAGACAAGGCCAGGGGACTCAAAACTTCTGGGCATCCATCCGAGGCTGACTCTGTAGCCCTATGGGAAAGGATAAGTCCTACTCTGTATCACCCTCTGGACTATGGGTGTTTACTGCTTCCCTCCCTCCCTCTCTGCCCTTTTTCCTTCCTTTCTTCCTTTCATTCTCATCGGTAATGGACTGTATACCTGCCTTTCCAGATATTGTGGGGTGTAACATGAGGAATAAGAATAAATAAGTAAACCAAGGCTCAGAGCTAATGAAGCAAAATGAGCACATGCGCACACACACTTCCCTCTCACTCAAGGGACCTCCTAGCACAGCTGGGATTTTGTTTCAATTACCATTGCTGTTGGCTGCAGATAACAGAAACCAGACTTACAGTGAATGAACTAAACAGGAAATCATTTTTCTCCTTCACGGAAGGGTCAGCTGTGAGCCCTCCAGGACTGCTGGTGGCTTGCACTGCTGCCAACACCCCACCCGCCCTCTGTCTTCCTGCTCCTGCACCCTGGGCATGTGGTGTCATCCTCCTGCCCACAAGAAGGCTGCTGCACTTCCAGCAAGCACAATCACAGACAGGCGGGAGAGGAGAGGAGGGGATGATGGACAGGTGGTGCCAGTGGAGTCTGTCCCTTTGGCTTCCATCTCATTGGCCAGAACTGGGCCACTCGATAACCCTGGCTGCAAGGGACCCTGGGAAGTTCTTTATTTTTAACTGGACATGTTACCATCCTGCAAAAAAATATTGGAGTTCAGTTAGCAAGGAGGAGGTGGGGAAAGGGACACTGGGGAGACATCTAGCAGTGTCTGCCATGGATTCCAAAGGTAACCCTCATCCCACTAGGGAACACTGCGCCTCACGAGAGCCAGCAGAGTGGGGTGGAGGGTACAAACTCTGAAGACAGATGGCTGGCCTTGAATCTTGTTACTACTTGTGTGATCTCGGGCCAGTTGCCTTAACTTCCTATACTTACATTTCCTCATTTGTAAAATTAGGAAATAGAAAAGCACCCAATTCACAGTATTGCTGTGGGGATCAAATGAGTTAGCACGTGTAAAATACTTAGAAGAATGTCTGGTTCATAATTCATTCTCAATAAATATTAGCTATTTTGGCTGTTACTACATATTTATGGAGTATCTACTCTATGCTAAATGCTACACATTTTCTCATCTAATTCTCACAACAAATACATGAGGGGAATAAATGTTCACCCAGGTGGCATGAGTTTAGGAGTCACAGACCCCACAGACTGTCATTTTGCCATTTCATCACAACTTTACTCCCTTGAATCAAGAAGACTTCTAATCCTTGAGAGTTTCTTTAAAGGAAATACCTGTAAGAAAGTTCTCCACGGCTTTTTCAGCAAGCAGCTTGGCAGTTGACACTGAGGGCAGAGATTAGTAGAATCAGCACACCAGAATGTCAAAGACAAAGCCTCTACTTCTGACTTTCTAGTAGGTCTTGTCCCGGGTTCGGCTGCAAGGTTTGAGTGAAGCTTTAATCTAATTTCTATTCTTTCTTGCTTGATCTGCAAATTGACTCACCTATCCCGGATACTTAAAGAAATGTGTTAATGGTGCTCCCGGGATACAGCAGAGGCTGATATGCACAGAGCTTTCAATAATCAATTAGGTCAGGGTTGAATCGACCTAGAAATGCTGAGACAGAGGAATATGGGGAAAGGTGGTGGCGGGGGACTGGGGCTGAGAGAAGATTTGAGCAGTTGGTTCCTGAGTAAGGTCAGACTAGGCCAGAGAACAATCAAGTGCAATGATCCAGACTCTGTCTTTACAGAGATCCTAGGTGCTGACCCAAGTACAGTCCAAAGCAACCTGCAGGGGAGAAGGCATCAGATCTGTGGAGGAGGCCAAAACAGACCTGGGCCCTTCCTACAGCCCCTCTCTACTGTGGCACCAAGACAGAGCCAGTGGAGCCCTCACTCAGTGCACCCCCAAACAAACTATCGGATTTTGTTTGACTCCTAGAAGTCCAGCCTAAATTAAATTTCATATTCCTGGAAGTGCTTTGAAAAATTCAAAGACTCCTATCTCTGTATGGTAAATTCTATTTTTAGGAATATTTTCTGCAGAGGTAACGTCCAGAAGGATTTTGCACTGTGGCATTATTTGTAATAGTGATAAATTCGGGAACAAACGAGGCATTCATTAATAAGGGACTAGTTAATTTATGGAATACATATGTTTAAAAACAAAGAGTACCTCAGAATTTACTAACATAAAAAGACGTGTCTGAATTATCAAAAGAAGATATACAAATGGCCAACGAACATATGAAAAACTGCTCAACATCACTAATGACTAGGGAAATGCAAATCAAAACCACAATGTGATACCACTTTACTCCTTGCAAGAATGGCCATAATCAAAAAATAATGGATGTTGGTGTGGATTTGGTGAAAAGGGAACACTTTTACACTGCTGGTGGGAATGTAAACTATTACAACCACTATGGAAAACAGTGTGGAGACTTCTTAGAGAACTAAAAGTAGAACTACCATTTGATCCAGCAATCTTACTACTGGGTATCTACCCAAAGGAAAAGAAGCCATTATATGAAAAAAATTCTTGCACATGCATATTTATAGCAGCACAATTTGCAATTGCAAAAATATGGAACCAGCCCAAATGCCCATCAATCAATGAGTGGATAAAGAAATTGTGGTATACACATACCATGGAATACTATTCAGCCATAAAAAGGAACAAAATAATAGCATTTGCAGCAACCTGGTTGGAATTGGAGAACATTATTCTAAGCAAAGTAACTCAGGAATGAAAAACCAAACATCACATATTCTCATTCATAAATGTGAGCTAAGCTATGAGGATGCAAAGGCAGAAGAATGATACAGTGGACTTTGGGGACATGAGAGTAAGGATTAGAGAGGGATGAGGGATGGAAAACTATCAATTGGGTACAGGTATACTGCTTGGGTGATGGCTGCACCAGAATCTCAGAAACTACAACTGAAGAACTTATGCATGTAACCAAACACCACCTGTTCCCTGAAAACCTATAGAAATAAGAAAAAAAAAGTGTCCGATAAGTAGTTACATAGGACAAAAGGACATTACAAAGGTACATATGGAAGAATAGGTACAATTTATGTGAAAATAAGGAAATAATACAGATAAGCATATATATTTAGAAAAATATTAGCAGAAAGGCAAGAACGTGGACAGAGACAAAGACAGAAATGTCTGAAAAATGTTTGCTTAAATGTTAGCATTGGTTTATCTGCATAAAACAGTTCCCGAAGAGCCAGATTTCTCACTGTTGGAGTGGGAATTTACAGATAAGCAAGGGGAGGAGGCTAGAATGACTCGTATGGTAATGGATTAGAGATGGAGATATCAGAGGAATTTATTAGTTTAATACAGATACAGACAGTTACATATCAAAACACTTATAGATGCGTGTATACTCATGCATTGGGATACACACACCTATTTCTTGGTTTTCTCAGCTCAGAGGGCCTAGATGAAGTGACACTCCAGTAGCACCGAGTGTATCTACAACCCAGATCTTTATTTCTATTTTTATTCTCCAATAAAAGGAACCAGAGTGCTTTGGAGAAATGGCTGATTCTAAGGCTGGGCAAAAAATATACACGATAAGTATGGATCATTGCGTAATGCCGGAAAGAAAGGAAGTACTAAAAAACCAGTCAAACAAAAATACTGCATTGGTGGGAGTACATCAAAGGAGCCCAGGAACCAACTATCAGAATTCCCAATAGCCAGTACTGAAGCAATTTAGGCAACACAATTAAGTATATTGTATTATAATCCAACTATAAAATAAATATCCATGAGTCCATACTGATATAAGTAAATGATTGAATACATTAATAAATGCAGGGAGGGGAGCGAGAGATAAAGCTCCCATGCAGAAGAATTCCGAACAATTTATATGCACACTCTGCCCTCAAGGAGTATAATGCCCCACTCGTTAAGGGAGGCTGTGCTGAGTGGCTTCCTTCCAGAGGGTACAGCATGCAAAGAGAGAAAAAGGAAAGGTAGCCTCACAGTGGAGACACCTGACAAACACAACTCAGTCCGGCGATCAAGGTCAACATCAACAACCGTAAATCATGTGATTACGTAACCTTGATATGATGTGGTAAAAATGACACTTTATCTCTGCGATCTTCTTCCTCAAAATCTATAACCCCAGTCTAATCATGAGAAAAACTCAAACAAATTCTACTAGAGGATTGTCCTACGAAATTCCTGCTCAATACTGCTCAAAAATGCCAAGGCCATCAAAAGCAAGAAAAGGTTGGCAAACTATCCCAGCTAAGCAGAGACATGTACATCTTGAGCTGTTCTAAAAAATAAGTTTTTTTAAAAAAAAAGTTCTCACAGAACGATTTTTACATAAACAAAAGAATCAAAGAGAATTTTTTAAAAATTTTACATATATATATATATATATATATTTTTTTTTTTTTTTTTTTTTTTTTTGAGATAGAGTCTTGCTCTGTTACCCAGGCTGGAGTGCAGTGGCGTGGTCTCGGCTCACTGCAACTTCCACCTCCCAGGTTCAAGTGATTCTCCTGCCTCAGCCTCCTGAGTAACCAGGATTACAGGCATGTGCCACCATGCCTGGCTAATTTTTGTAATTTTAGTAGAGGGAGAGTTTCACCATGTTGGCCAGGCTGGTCTCAAACTCACGACCTCAGGTGGTCCACCCACTTTGGCCTCCCAAAGTGCTGGGATTACAGGCGTGAACCACTGCATCCGGCCTCAAAGTGAATTTTGATTGCAGCTTTTAACAAGATATAAAAGCATCTTTGAAAATAAAACTTTTCCTTAAAGGTTTTCCAATATCCTGGATCAAATTCTTACATAGAACTTAAGGTCAAAGTTCTTGGGCTTTCTCCAGGACATGGAAAGAGTTTCCCAAATATAGTAGAGGCAGACACAACCCTGATCAAAGGGAAGGCTGAAGAAGATTTAGGCTTCCTTTCCTAGGCTCTTGATGTTTTCCTCATCACACATACACAATAGATTAAACTTGAGCATCTCAACCTCTCTTTTGAGAGATGGCAAAGTTGGCTGTTTCCAGCTGCATTTGCAGTTTTCATCAGGTCCCAGTCCATCTCAGTGGTTTACCACCATGTATCCAAGAAGCAGACTCAGAGCTTTTCAGAGAGGCCATGAAGCCTCCAGACAGATATGAATAGACAATGGCCAAATACCAGGGTCAAGTACCCTCAAGCTGCTGATTGACTGAAGACGGTGAGACACTTCACCATGAATGCAGAATGGATGCGAAGCATCCTAAACATTCCTCCCATCCCTACTTTAAGTTAGAGAGAAGAATCTCAAGAGGCTGCACACCTATGAATGAAGCTGATGGGGGTAAGCCATGGTTTGTTTTATTTCTTCTTTTTGATTTTGTATATATGCAGCTTGACTAAGTAGAATTATAACAAGTTGTTTCCCTGGTGATCCAATAAATATCCTACAAAATATAATTCTGGATAGTCAGAAAAGTCCCTAAAATTAGCACTAGGATTTAGAAACAAGTCAGAAAGTGACATTTTTGAAAACAGAAAGTGACAAATCAATATGCAATGCATGGGATTAGCCCCCAACAGCTCTTCCTCCTCTGTGAGTCATCCACACTCGGAGATGTTTGGCAAACATTACCGACAAGACTGGAGTGTCTCCCGAATCTTGCCAAGGGCCCCGGGTGTCTTCTGTGTCTCCACAGGAAACTTCTCATCTCAAATGGACTTTAGCTTATTGAGATAAGCTACAGTTTTGAAAATTGTAGCATGCTAATGACAAATGCAAATGCAAAACTCTCCAAGGACCCTAGGGACAGGAGATAAATAGAGAAGTCCTGGTCAGGGTTTTAAAAATAGGTCTAACCAGTAGTCTGACCAATTCATGGTTTCTGGGTGCTAGAAAAGTGCCTTTTCCTGTGGAACTGGGACAAGACTTCCAGTTCATGTGACATGCTGGTCCCATGAAACTAGGTAATCTTTTCTCCTCTCTAAGTTCGCCAAGGAACCTTATGGTCTCCAGGGAAGACAATGAGAGGGAGATGATACAGATAGGTGGACTAAGTATCCAATTACTGAAAAGCCTGGTCTCTCATTGTAGAAGTCCTGTGTTGTTATGTTTAAAAATCAGTGTCTTATGCATTTGGAAAATGTTCCTCCATACTTGAGAGCTAGGGCACATCTGTACGTACTGATGCTGAAGATTCAGGTACTAGACAAAGATGTCCCTGCTAAAGGATACTCCAAGAAGCTTGTGTGGGCAGCCGGCTGAACCCTTTAATGCTTCCTCACAGTAGCCTTGGATCTTGGTTTTAAAATATAATATCCTACATGTTAAATGTTATAAGACCATTTATTTGCTCAAGATGCTCCTTAGATTCATTACTTCTTTGGGGCTGGTTAATTTTATGTAGTCAGTGAAGTTGGAATTATCATTTCTCTAATTGTGTTTCATTTTTCAACTTCATACAGAACAAAAGGGTTGGGGGCTTTCTTACATGCAATCAGCTACTTGGTGGGCCCTACCCAGTGACTGAGTCTAAGTGAAGAAACTATAGACGTGTTCTATGGACTGTAGTACTTAAAGCCAGAGCTCAAATCCTTTGCTCATGCTGCACAGAAAGACATTCCCATCCATTTGTATAAAAATCATCTTCTGTGGCCTGAAAACAGTACTATTTAATGGATTTCAAAAATTTTCATCTACAATAGAAAACGTAACACTTACAAGAGGTGATCTGTGCTAGTCACCCATGTGCATGAAGTGGGTCTCAGTTTCCTTTAAGAAGTTTTATCCATGGATTAGGGAGAAGAACATGTGTTTTAAAATATTTGTCTGTATGTGAGTGAAAACAATCTTATTCCCCAAAATATGTTCTTAAGAGAAGTTAACTTCTCCTGTTTTCTAAGACAACAACAATCACTTCTCTTCCCCCACTTTGCTCTCTATAGAAATTACAAGGCTTCTAGTCATACTCTGTATCCCCCTTGGTTTCTGCAGGCTCCTTGGTGAACACACACCCTATTATGATTAAAAACATCTGCTAGCTGTAAAATGTCTTCTCCGAGGCCCTCTAGTAGAATGTTAAAACCAAGGCTCATGCTGTTATGAGTTTCTGGAACAACAGTCATGGAGACAACAGCTGCTCTTCTTATTGTTGTAACACAATCTTTCTCGGCAGCCGTATAACTTTCCTGGAGGGAATCTACTAAAATTCAAGAGCAGAGTCCACCTATCCACCATCTCTTTGATCCAAAAGACCTCCTGGCAGCCACCAGCTAACCATGTAGGATGGGGCTTATGAACCCTTCCTTCTATGAACTACACAAGAAGGAAATTAAAGAGCAAGAGAGAGAGAGAGAACTTGAGAGAGAGAAAGAGAAACAGAGTGCTCTCTAAGACCCTGGACAACATTCCTATGTATCTAATGGCCCCACTCAAAGGCAGCTGCCTGGGCCAGAAGTACTGCTGCTTCCTTCAGGCATGTCTTCTCATCCGGAGTAAAGGCCTTGGGTCAGATATCAGTGCTTTACACCAAAGATATACATGGGTTTAAACCTCCAAAAAAAAAAAAGGAGACAGGCATTATTTGCTGAACAGACTCCAAAGGAGACTAAAAATGGTCCTTTTTGCCAAGAAGCCTCACCTGAAAGGTGTCTGGTTTGCTAAGGAGAGAACAGTATCACCCGCAGGGAAGAGCACGGAGTGGGAAGGTGACCCCTGCAGCTCGAATGGCTCGAATGGCTCAAAACCAGCTCAGAGCATCCAGGGGAGCAGTGCACACAGTCCATGCTTTCCACCTCGGTTCTAAATGGCAAGATTATCACAGTTCGTCTCTTAAACAAGCGCAATATTTTTTTCCTTACTATTTGCTTCTGTCATCCTTGGAAGGTCCAGTAAGTAAACCATTTTAATAGGGTGTAGTAATAAAATTAGGTAACATTTATGTTTTATATACATGGTATTATTTAATCCTCACAGTGAACCAATGGGGTGAGTATTGTTATATCCATTTTATAGGTAAATGACTTGAATATATTAAGGGATAAATAACTTGCTCAAGAACATACAGCAAGCAAGTGGCTGAGCAGAGATTTGAACTCGAAAGTCTAGCTCCAAAGCTCATGCTCTTAGCCATGTTACGTTTCCTCTTCACTTTCTACTCCCTCCCTTCCCAGAGTGGCTGCATCTCAAGGCTTAGTCAAATGACCCTGTATCTGCAAGCCCCCAGAAAAAAGTCCCCTCTACAATACACCTGGAGGTCTATTGCCTGAATATTTGACAGACAGTATTTTCTGAAATGAAAACCTACATTGGTCTCTCATATGACTAGAGGCCTTTTTAAGTGCTGAGGTCAAGTGACCCTCAAGGTTGCAAGGGTTCAGAGAAAGAACCTAGTCTTCATATATAGCTTCAGAATTCTGAATGTTACAGCATTGGCCCAAATCCATTTTGCACAAGGAGCAGATGGACTTGCTCAGAGAAAAGATACAAAATATTCTGAGGACTTCCAGTAAGGCCTGGAAATTAGAAGCATGCATTTATCTTTGCTTTCCACTGCAATGTCTCTAAAATGACCATACAGACACCTAAAGGAATAAACCCTATAGACAAAGAGAATGGGCAGGGAGACAATAGAGAGCAGGACAATGGAAGGTGAATGGGTGAGTGATAACTCACGGAGGAAGTCCAAGCCCAGGGGCCTTCAGAGGGATGGTTAATGAGAAGCAAGCTGACTTGTACCATGCAGGCCCTAAAAAGTTTTGGGTTTGGAGGCACTGGGTACCTCTGAAGGGGAGGTTGAGGAGTGGGACTGAAAACAACCTAACTGGTAAAAATCTTCATGAGAAGCATTTAGACCTGAGTCCTGTCCTTTCTCCCACCCCAGGAAGCCACATGGCCAGCCCTGCCCTACCTATTACAGGAAACAAGAAGCATGCCCCTTGGAGAAACTGAGCCATAAAGGTCTCAGACCTAGAGACACAAGGCTCAATAAAGGGTAAAGCACTAAATGAAAAGGAGAGAACTGCATGAACATCTACACATTGACTAAATAATGAAACTCTAAGTGCCTTCTTCATCCCCTCCCAGAAGGCTGGCAAAGAGGTTCTTTGGAGAAAATGAACAACACCAGCGAAAGACTTATCTATGATGATGTTTCACGGCTGTGTAAAAGCAAGGTACGGTCCTGATTTAGTTATTTTATTAAAAAATTTTAAAGACTTTTCATTTGGAAACAATTTGGCTTACCAAAAAGTTGCAAGTATAGTACATATACCCTTCACCCAGCTTCCCCAAATGTTAATGTTTTACATAGCTATAGTATAATTATCAGAATCAGGAAATTAACATTGATACTATACTATTAATTAATTTAAGCCGTTAGTCAAACCTTACCAATTTTACTTTTCTGGTCCAGGACTTAATACAGGACACTGCACTTCTTGTGTCTCCTTAGTTTTTCCCAATTTAAGACAGATCTTCATTATTTCTTTGTGTTGAATGACTTTAATACTTTTAAAAAGTACTAGTCAGTTGCCTTAGAGAATGTTCCTTCTCAGAGCACCATACCGGGAAGGACATGATGTCCACATATCTCATTACTAGTGAGGTTAACTTTGATCACTTGGTTAACGTGGTGTCTGCCAGGCCTCTCCACCCTAACGTTGCTTTTTAAATTAGTTTATTATAGGGAGCAACATATTCTGTTTCTCAACAAATTTTGAATCACTAGTTTTAGCATGCATTGATGCTTCTTGACTGTAACAACTATCACTCTGGTGATTGCCAAATGGTGATTTTCTTTTTCTCCATAACTCCTTCTACATTTTTAATTGAAATTCTACAGTGAGAGCTTTCTTCTCTTTCCTCAGTTATTTGTTTATTAAAGTATCTATTTATATCAGTATGGACTCAGGGACATTTATCTTATTCTATGGGTTATTTTCCATTATTCTCATTATTTATTTTGTTGTTCAAATTGTCCCAAATTTAACCAGTGAAAACTTTTTAAAATAGGCTTTTCTGTCCTTTTGACATATCCCCAACAGTTTTTGAGTACTTTCTTACTTTCTGGAAACATAAGATGTTCCAGGTTTACCTTGTACTTTTTCTAATCTAGCCTAAAATGAGCCATTTCTCCAAGGAGCTCTCATTGCTTTTACTGGAGAATGAAATTTAAAAACTAGCGTTGGTTCTTAATGTGCCTTTAGTTACAAGGGTAACATTAATTCTAGGTCCTCTCAGCAGACAGAACTAGAAGATAAATCTGTGTACACACACACACACATCTATATCCTATAGTTAGCTTTTAAATAAAGACTCAAATTTTGGATTATAATTGACATTTACTAAAATCTGCTTAGAAGAGGAAGAAATGGAGAAGTTCAATATCTCAGTGATTCAACTCCTCAGTCTCAAGTCTGAGAAGTTTTAGGTGTTCTCTTGTATGCCTTTGCATGGAACATTTATGCAGAAATAGATTAGTAACTAGAGAAAGCTGTCAAGGATTTCTTCCTAGTAACTATTTCTTTTTTATGGTTAGATGTAACTTGTGACATAGGGAAGCTTGAGTGTAGGGGTGTCTTGTGATACAAGGGAACCAAGGAGTCACAAGGGAGGTCTTTGTCATGGTGAGGTCAGTTGGCTGGCAGGTCTCCTCCATACGTAGGACCTGCATTCAGCTTTTTATTGGTTCATTCTTAAATACAATTGGACAGGTCATCAACAGGTATTTGAGAAAGTCTCCTACATGAAAGACAGAAATTATAATAAACAATAAAAAAAGAAATTTAGGACTATCAGAAACATGCAGAGAATAGGAGGAAAGAAAAGCAACAGTTAAGAAGACAGATAAGAAATATAACTGTTAAACAAGATCAGAGTGCTATTTAAAAAGAACATTCAGAGAATAAGAACTCTTGAGGATTAAAAGTATGTTGTTATGGGATCCTTGGGCTGTTGCTTTTCCAGCTGGAAACCTCTGTGGCCAGTGGTGCCTTTGCCCAAGTTTTGCTCGGCCCCTGCAGGCTGTGCTCAGCTCACGCTTCCGGCCTGGATCCCACGTCTGCCAAGGGTGAGTGGGGCGGCGAGGGGTGTGTAAGCAAGTAAGCATGGGGTCCAGCCACTGAGCACAGCCAGGCATGCTGGCTCCAGTGGGGTGGGCAACCCCAGGCACCGGCAAAGGGGCTGGTTCCCTGTGAGGCGGCAGCCGGACCAGGCGTACCACAGGGAGTTTCTACGGCTGACACCAGGAAATGTGTTGTCACCCAGAAGCTTGGAGACGCCAGGAATCACAGAGCCCTAAAGAGGCTGTCACAGCCCCAGCTTGGCAAGCTCTTAGGTCTGGGCTCCCTGAAGGGCTGCAGCTCTTTTCTCCTTCTCTCTTCTCTCCTTGTTGCTCACAACGTGGTGAGCAAGGGGCATGTTTCAGTCCTGTTTGTATTACAATTCTTTTAGCCCTGCCATCTGTCAGGTCCCAAGTTCTTGTCCTGAGTCCAGGAAGAATGAAGTACACAGACAAGCAGAGGGTGAGCAAGACAAAGAGGAGCTTTATTGAGTAACAAACAGCTCACAGGAGACCCGCAGTGGGCAACCCCTCTCTGGTGTCCCAACGGTGTCCCAACGAGTGTTCAGCTCTTAGCAGAAAGGGTAGCTCCTCTCCGCTGGGCAGGTCATCCTAAGGAGTGTTCAGCTCCTAGCAGAGAGGAGACCCTAGGGTAGATAGCACCTCTTTGCAGCTGGTCTCCAGTCATCTCTTTAGGTCTGGCTGAGTCCCAAGCTTTTTATGGGTCTCAGAGGGGAGGAAGTGCGTGCTGATTGGTCGACGGGCGGGCCTGGAAAAAACACCGCATGTTCCCACTCCGGTTCACGGGAACTGCAGCCCCGCCCTCAGGGTTCAGGTGCTCCCCAGCTTGAAAGTGGGGATTCACAGAGGACTCGTCCCCTTCTGCCTGTTTGCCTCCTACTGCCATTCATGGCATTCAGGCTATTTGGGCCAACAGGCACCTGTGTGCCAGCACTGAGCTGCCCTCAGGCCCACCTGGACTCCCTCTTGTGTTCTTTGGCGCCTAAAGTCCAGCGGGGCGAGGAGGCAGGGGGCTGGCGTGTCCACACTGCCTCGAGCGTGCACACACCTGCCCAGGCTGCGACAGCGTCCAGGCTTGACTACAACTTTGCTCCAAGATCAGAGCAAGTGCAGGGAGCGGGGAGAGGCCAGGCAGCAGGAGCAGACACCTCTGAGCCTGCGGGGGCAGGGCGCGGGTCCTTCCCGACCCCGAGAGTGCAGAGATGCCTGGGTGTGCAGCCATGACTTGGGTGGCTGCAGCTGCACCTGGGAGGGCGGGGCTCCTGCCTGCTCCCAGCCCCTGCTGGTTCCGTGCAGAGTGGAGCGCACCACCACCCTGGACCTACCTCCGCCTCGAGGCCCCTCTCTGCCCGCCCCTCCATGCCCGACTGTGCTGCTCCCCCAGCAGCGGACAACTCAGCCCGACCCCATCACTGCGGCTCCCAGGGCAGTGGGCTCTGAGGGACTCCCAGGGGTGGGCTCTAGGGACTGCCCACCTCCTGTCCGCATTTTCACCGCAGCATCGGTGGACAAGGTGCAGGTGGCATGGCGGCCCTGGCCAGCCCCACAACAAATAAACCTGACGCTCTCAGAGCTGTCCCAGTAAGTCCCGGCTGTGCCTTCCGCCGGGTGCTCGCAGGCTTCCGAGATGCAGCAGGAAGCAGGGTTGAGGCTGCAGCGGAGGCTCTGGGTCTGGGAGCGGGTCCTGCCCGGCTGTACGACGATGGAGGTGGCGTAGTCAGCTGCCTCGGGGACGCGAGTCACAGGGGCCCACCATAGCCACTGCTGCTCCTGCAGTCACTCCTGCCACCACCACCTACGCCTCCAGCTGCAGCTGGCACGATGGCAGTGGACGCTCTGGAGGGCCTGCCACTGCCATCAAGGTCGGCTCATGACTGTAATCCCAACTGTTTGGGAGGCCAAGGTGGGAGGATCGCTTGAGGCCAGGAGTTTGAGACTAGCCTGGGCAACATAGTGAGATTCCATCTCGACAAATAGTTTTAAAAATTAGCTGGGCATGGTGGCACACACTTGGGCTACTTGGGAGACTAAGGCAGGGGGAATCACTTAAGCCCAGAAGTTCAAGACTGTAGTGAGCTACGATTGTGCCACTGCACTCCAGCCTGGGTGACAGAGTGAGACCCTGTCTTTAAAAAAAAAGTCATAAATTTTTAAAAGTTTAATAGAAAGATTGGAAGGTAAAGGAGAAGAGAGACTCTAGAAGGCAAAATAAAAAGATCAAGATAATTTCTTCTTTTTCCCTTTATGAACAAGTCAGTCTCAAAACCATGAGATGAGGCTGAGAAAAGTGAGGGTCTTTACCGTGTGGAGGCTAAGGGAGGGGAGGGCATGTGCTGGTGCAGTGCAGGAATTGGAGCCTGACCTGGGGGTGTGGGGGTGTGGTGGCCTGGTGCAGGGTGACCCTGAAATGGTATCTGTGCAGGGTCAGAAGCCCTGCTTGGGGTGTCTGAGCACAAGAGGAGCGAGGAAGATATCCACATAGTTGGGGGCTCAATGGCAGCCTGGCACAGGGAGTCAGATCCTGACTAGGATGAGGCGGAGATCCTTGTGGGGGAGGGAAAGACGGCTTTGATTGGGAGTTGGTTTAAATAAAGCCATTGATCAGATAAGTAAAGATGTTAAGATATCACTCTCAGAAAAGGAAGTTAAAAATATGGAAAAAGAGAAAACTAGAATGAACCTTATGGTATTAGAGGTATTGGAATGAACTTATATATTGTTTTCACTATAGATAGATATAGGAATAAAAATGTATATATAGTTATGTGTATACTGTTTGTGCATTTGTGTGTGTATTTTGTGTATTACACTCTGAGAGGGCCTGGCAGTGCCCCAATAGCAATGAACACAGCACTCAGATCTCAACTTCTAAATACCATTGACCACTAGAAAGATGGCTAATTCCAACACTAAGGTGAGTCTGAAATATTTTGTATGCCTAAAAGTAAGAAAGCTCTCAAAGAATGATGTGACATATCAAAAGATCCAGAAATCGGCTGAAATTGGGGACATTCTGAGCATCAAAATCAATAATGATGGTAGGGGATTATAATCCACTGAACATAATAGGAAACCATGAGTCATACGCATATAAATACTGACTATATGGGAAGTTTGATGAAGAAAAGGATATTTACAGAGTTTCAGAATTCCTTTCCATAAAGTACTTGTTAATTACAAAGGGAAAAAGTGCAACTTTACAGAGAAGTGTGGCAGATATCTCCTTAATCAAATGATCAAAGAGAACATCATCAGGGATAGGACGAATCAAAATCATGCACCACCTGAGCGGATGCAGTGCAAATGCTCTGCGGCCCATCTGTGAAATCTGCTACCAAAGACGCGTGACCTGAATCGAATCAAAAGAAAGCATCAGGCAAACCCAATTTGAGGGAAAGTCTACAAGATAACTGGCCTGTGATTTTCCAAAGTGTCAAAGTCATGAAGGAAAAATTAGATTAAGAAGACTAAAGAGAAATGACTAACTGCAATATATGATACTGAACTGGATCTTTTTGCTGTTGAGGACATTATTGAGGAAAACAGAAAAACTTAACTGGGGTCTGAGAATTAGATGGTAGTCATGTATAAATGTTAATTTTCTAATTGTTATGCTTATTTTGTGTTTTTGTGGGGGAATGTCCTTGTTTGCAGGAAATACAGACTAAAGCAGTGAGATGTCATGATGTGTCATCTTCACAACTTGCTTTCAAATGGACTAGGAAAAAAGTTCTTTTTCTTTTTCGTATCTGTGAATTTCCTGTAAGTTTGGGTTTGTCTTAAAATGTTTAAAAATGGTTAATGAATAAAAGATCAATAAAAGATTTAAAAGTGTTAAGAATGGTTAATTAAGTAAAATCATGAGAAAAAAATATTTTTGAACGAGTTAGGGGTTTAGTTCAGGAAATCCAACATCTGAATCCTCTGAGCTCCAGAAGGACAAAACAGAGTAAACAGAGGGGGACAAGATTTTCAAAGAAATGTAAAAGAGACAAATGTCACAGACCACAGGACATAAACTTTCAGATTAAAAGGCTCACCAAGCTCTCAACACAATACATGGAAAAGACCAAGGCATATAATCATGACAGTTTAGAGCACTGGAGATAGGAAAAGATATAAAGAGTTTCTGGAAAGGAAACACAACAAAACAGGTCACATTATCTTAAGTGAAACAATCCAGGCACAGAAAGTCAAACATTACATGTTCTCACTCATAAGTGGGTGCTAAAAAATGTGTACACATGGATGTAGGGAGTGGGATGCTGGACAACGAAGACTCAGAAGAGTGGCGGGGTGGGGGGTGTTGGGAGGAGAATGAATGATGACAAATTAGTTAATGGGTACAATGTATGTTATTTGGGTGAGGAATATACACTAAAAGCTATGACTTGACAACCACCCAATCTCTGCACATAACAAAGTTGCACATGTACTGCATAAATTTGTGCAAAAAGTAAAACAGGTCATATACTCTTTATAAGGCAATTATTGACTTAAAGAGTAAATTGTTTCTCTTTCTCTTTGCCAAACCTCAAGTAAATAAAATTATTTTTATAAAACAATGACTGAAATGCTCCGAACTAGAAGAGACACACATCAGTCAAAAGAGTTTTTGTTCAACAAAATTCTGTCATTTTCAACTCATGATAATGTCAAATTATAGTCAGATAATACTCAAACTAGTTTCTCAGCCTTTTTCTTTAAAGAGATTGCTCCTTGAATGGCATCAAACATCAGAATAGAGATTTGAGACCTGCCTGCCACTTGTTTTGGGAAAGCTGAATGAAAGAGGTTTGTGGAAGGAAAAGATCTGCAGACACCAGCTGCTCACCGTGTCCCCCTGGAAGTGACCAATCTCTTTCATTTACACCAAAAGATGTTTCACAGGTGCCATACATTAAAGCTTTTTCTTTGTCATGTGGGGCTCCAAGAAGTGGATGGCCTCTATTTTCTGACAGATATTCTATAGGTATTTATCATGCAAAAGTTCTCATGACATTGTGTAAGGCATGAAGAATAAAACCCTCGCTTCATCCTCGTTTTGTTCTATTCCTTTGATTACCTAAAATTTTCTCTTGGGAATGGAGCAATGTAAGACTTGCTAACCCATAGTCTCCGAGAATCAGCTCTCCAAATCCTTACATTTCCAGATGAAAAATGCTCCTGAGAATCCCTGTTGCACGCATAAAGGAAGAGAATCAGAAAGTGTCAAACTTCCCAACAAAGTCAGTTAGTTCCCTACAAAGTCAGTCAGTTCCCTACGGAAAGGCCAAGACTGATCCTCATGGCAAAAGCAGCAGCTGTATATTATGACTAGTGTTTGAAGGAAAGAGAGAAAGCTATGATTCCAAACCCTGAACTCCTCCAACAACAGCTGCTGCAGGATACTAAGGGCTATCAGTGGCACAATGAACACCTCTGAAAGGCAGGGCAGCCGATGTAGCACCTTCGTGAAAATTAGAAAAAGGAGGCCTCTTTGGGCAAACATCCCCAGGCTCACAGTGTTGTTGTGCCCCTTCCTCTGGACAGAGTCATCCTAATTAAAGGAACATAAACTGGACACAATCCCCACTTTTTGCTACCTCAGTCAAGACCTTTGTGTCTCAAATGCACAAAACACCCATCATACATGGTGGCCCTGAACATTCGGCCTAACCTGGTCCTCAGCTGGTGAGCTGGGCTGGAAGCAGATCAAGTGGCCCTCTGGCTTTGTCCCCAAGGCTGACATCCTGCTTTAGGCATCCATTCTAACTGCTCTGTTGGTGAGAAGCACAGGGGGACATACACAGGAAGAAAGGGGATTTCTGTCTTGTGGAGTCCTAATAAAATAACTAAGTAACAATGAGGAAAGGGCACCAGGTCCCGCTGCTGGCACAACATCCTGTTCCCAAATACCTCTCTCCTTTCATGGAGCCCCAGCAGCACGATCTTATATGCAAACTTTGTCTGCATGTAGCCCCTCCAGCATGACGCTATAAAACTTCCCCCAGCCCCCGCCTCTTCGCAGACAGCCCTTTCTCTGCTGAGCTGCCTGTTGCACTCCTGCAACATATCTTCATACTTTCTCTAATAAATCTGCCTTTCTTTACCTATGATTGTCTTGGTAAATTCTTTACTGCCTGTGATGCCGGCCCCAGCCAGTCACACCTGTTACATCTCTCAGGCTCTGAACATCTGGTCCATTCCTGTCCCTCTATGCCTTCCTTCTGCTCCCTTTAGGCCCTGCTTGCAGTACACGAGGAGCAGGGACTCCTGTCCAGTAAGAGGCTGCCTCAGGCCCATCTTACCACTGATACAAAAGGGCTGGGCTGCCAGCTAAACCCTACCCTTAAGCCTGGAACTGTCGCCCTAAGGGAAAAGAGCTGACCTGGTTCTTCCACCCAAATGTTGCCTTTTTGGCCTGCCTCACCCCTATCCTGTGCCCATAAAAGACTTCAGCTAGCAGAGCAACACAAGTGGCTGAGCATCGAGCAGAGAAGCAATCACCGTTGGAGACTACAGATAGACACAGCTAACTTCAGATGGTGCAGCTTCAGAGAGGGGCCCAGCTAGAGAACACTGGGCTTCAGGGAAAGATCACCTCTCATCCCCTTTCCAGCCTCCCTTTCCACTGAGAATCACTCACCACTCAATAAAGTCTTCCACATTCATTACCTTTCAGACACTTTGTGTGACCTGATTCTTCTTGGATGCTGGACAAGAACCCAGGTGCCAAGAGGGCAGGTGCTGCCCACCCCTGCCCTCCACTGAGCTGGTTGGCACTTGGCCATCCCCAGATGGCAGAGCTGAAATAATACTGGTTGTAACATGCTTGGACGCTGCTGCGGGGCCCGCACGGAGCCTGCTCCTGCCAGAGAGGAGCAACTGGCTGGTTCCAGCATTCATTCAGCCTGGTTTCTGCACTCCTGTGAGGAGTGGCCAGCAGTGGGCTGAGTGAAACAAGCCAGTTCCTGCACACGAAGGGGGTAAAGGGAACTATCCCATCTCACCACAACTTATTAAAGAAAGCCAAATGGATTTTCTCCCAAGTTAATCCAATTAGGAAGAAGAAGATGACAGCAGGAAAAAGGGAACCCACAGGTTTGACAGCGAGAAGGATTGCAAAAGAAGGATATTCTCCTCAGAAACAAGAATTTTTAACTTCTTCTCCCTTCTCCCCAAATCCTACTATCTTTTGAAGTCAAATTAGTGGCCCTCAAATGAGTCAAACCCAACCCTAGAGGTTGGAATATGACTTCACAGTCACAAGAGCCAGGTTATGCACTGGTGGCTGCAGGAGAACTTGAAGGGTGACACATAGTGAAACCACCTTTGCAAAAATTGTATCAGAGAGAAAATTATGAAAGTGGAGGAGATCTGATCTAACCAATCCCTCTTGTGCCTTTAGCCTTTAAGCTACCTTTAATTATTCCTGGGCTATCTTTGGGAGGCTTTTAGTTTATATTTTAAATGATAATAGCCCTTCCCCAAAACTCAACTGCCTTTGTAAAGCTACTGAGAGAACACCAGCTTAGGGGAATGTAAACCAAAATTCAAAGTCCCCCTGAACGCTGCCACCATCTGAATGGACTCCCTCCTTGGCCAGGGCACTCTAAAATTTAACCTGAAAGACTGCTCAGGCCATGATGAGAAGTGGGGTTCAGATGTGCCTGATTATACCTCTCCGGAATCAAGACAGACCTTAAGTCGGCTACAAAGCATTTACGATCTATTGTCTTTGTCATTATCTATTATCATTATCTATTATATTATTATCTATTATCTATTTGTCATTACTGTCATTATCTGTCATTATCAAATCTATTGTATTTGTCATTTACCTGGAGGTTTTATCTGCATGATAAAACCTTGGTTTCCACAACCCCTAATCTTAACCCAGATATTCCTTTCTACTGATAATCTCTTTTAACCAAGTGACATTTAGAATATGTTTAAATCTACCTGATCTGGAAGTCCCCCCACTCCCACCTTAGGCAGAGGTCCTCATGACCTCCTGATGGTGTGTCATGGGTGCATACTTAACCTTGGCAAAATAAACTTTCTTTCTTCTTCTTCTTTTTTTTTTTTTTTTGAGATGGAGTCTCACTCTGTCGCCCAGGCTGGAGTGCAGTGGCCCCATCTCAGCTCACTGCAACCTCCACCTCCCGGGTTCACGCCATTCTCCTGCCTCACCCTCCCAAGTAGCTGGGACTGCAGGTGCCTGCCACCATGCCTGGCTAATTTTTTGTATTTTTTTTTTTAGTAGAGACGGGGTTTCACTGTGTTGGCCAGGATGGTCTCATCTCCCGACCTCGTGATCCGCCTGCCTCGGTCTCCCAAAGTGCTGGGATTACAGGCATGAGCCACCGTGCCCGGCCATAAACTTTCTAAATTAACTGAAACCTGTCTCAGATATTTTGGGTTCATAGGAAGGAGGGGGGCCTGAATTCTGCTAAGGTGTAGACATAAATGATTGCCAGCCATTATTCCAGAGGTCATAAGATATGCAACTTCCCCAGTTACTCCTGCAGATAACATCACTATTGTAGAATTGGAAGACTGGCCTTTTAAGATATCTTCTCAGATTTTTTGCATATCTGAAATCTATGGCTCCAAGGACCCACCTACCAATGATGACTCCACCTGGACCTGCCATCTGTTCCTGTGGCCCCACCCAGAAGCTATTCAGTGTCCAGGAGGATCATTTCCCACACCCCTATGCTTGCACCCCCTAACCAATCAGCAGTGAGCCTCCTTTGCCTACCCAACCTCACCCCATCCCCAAACTACCTTTGAAAAACCCTAGCTCTCCAATTCTCAAGGAGACCGATTTAAGTAATAATAAAACTCCCATTCAGCTGGCTCTGTGTGAATTAAACTCTTCATTGCAATTCTCCTGCCTTGACAAATTGGCTCTATCTGGACAGCAGGCAAGAAGAATCCACTGGGGAGTTACAGTAGAACATAGAAGCTACCAGGGACTGGGCCAAGGGAGAGGGAAATTTGAAGTCCCAGCAGGCCCACTGGGAACTCATTGCCAAAAGTGGTTTCTGTTATCACTCTAATAATCACTCACATTCTCTGAACACTCTGCTTAAGGCTAGGATGACCTGGGAAGTGGAGGTTACAATTTAAAAGGCTCCAGCTGGATGTGATAGGGACAGGAGACAGGGAAATACTGGTTAAAAGAAGGTGGTTCCCAGCAAAAGCCCCACCCTCAAGCTTGGAAATCCGAGGCCCTATATGGGAACATGCATTCCTGTTTTCATGCCTGCCTTGCTCCCCTATCCTGTACCCATGTAAGTGCCAGACCCCAGGCCCCAGAAGCAGATGAGGAGATGATCAGAAGAGCAGCAGAATGGCAGAGCAGCATAGTAGAGAGAAGAGGAGCATCTGAATGTCGAGAGGAGTTTGGCTGGGGACAGTCAGAGAGGAGATCAGCCACTGGACAGCCGAACTCCAGGGGAAGATTATCTTCCCACTCCATCACCTTTCCAGCTCCCCATCCATCCCACTGAGAGCCACCTCCACCACTCAAACCCCTGCATTCACCATCCTTCAAGTCCATGTGTGACATGATTCTTCCTGGACACTGGACAAGGACCTGGATACCAAGAGGGCATTGAGCTGGTTAAGACTTAAGCTGTCCATGGTTGGCAAGGCTGAAAGAGTGCACTGTAACACATGCCCACTTGGGTTTCGAGAGTTGCAGACACCCACCCTTGGATGCTGCCATGGAGCCAGAGTCCAGGGGAGCTTGCTCTGGCTCCTGCACCTGCCCATCTATGTGCTCCCCATTCGGTAAGGGATTTGAGCACACATGGCAGCCAAACAGATGAGCCATACCCCTGTCGCATGTACTGTGAGGAAGGGCCAGGGAACTCTCCCGTTTCAGATGGAAATCCTTAGAATGACAGCCCCAGCAGCTCCCCAGTGCTATGAGAAGCACCTGAGGTTCATGAACAATGTGTCACTCTCATGTGACAGCTTTGCCTCATCAATATGAGGCAGAAGGACACCCACTAAAGTTTATCTACACACCAAGAGAATTTAGACTCAGCATTCTTGATGCCTTTGCTCCTTCTATCTGCCCCTGAGCAATCAGTATCACTGAAAGGAAGAAAAATTATCCTTAATTACAGCAAGTGGATTTAACATTTTCCATCTATCCTCAATTACTCTTATCTCTCCCCTTGTCACGCTGTGACCAAATGGAAAGCAGCCTCTAGGTCCTTGCCTGCATACAACCCACCAGCCATTGGGGATATATTAAATTTTGTCTTGACCTTACCTCCACTCCAAATTTGAGAGCCATTTGGTACCATAGCAAGTTCTAAGTCACCTATCAGGAGTTTTAAAGTTAGATTTTCAACATAGAAAAATTACTCTTTCCTCAGTCAAGATAAAATTCTTCCAATTGGGCCGATGTCTAATTAAGGCTATTTTGATTGCCCCAAAACAGACACTAATTTTAGGCCAAGTCAACGTTTTCACCTGATTAAGCAAAATGCCTGAGTGTGGGCAGGTCCACTGAACTTTAATACCAGTCCAAGGATGTTTTCTGTTTTTCTTTTCCTTGTGCTCCAAGAGTCTTCCTCTGAGATGTCCCCCAAGTTGTTCCCCTCAAGTGAAACTTTGCACTGACTTGGTGACCAACAGCATCAACACCAAAAGATGGGTTTTGAAAGTGCCTACAGGTACTTGACACTTTTTTGAGAATAATCTGCACAGAAATCTCACCCTTTTGTACTCAACAGAGCAGTGAGCAGCACAAGACCAATCCCCTCCTGTGTGCTGTCAGACTTTTTACTCCGATAGTTGATGTGGCCTCTTTTCACTGTTTTACTCTGTAAGCTAAAGGATTCTTGCCCAATTTTTCAAGTGACTTGTTAGCCCGTATAGAATATTACCTTTGGATCCATCTTTTATCAAACTATGGTTTAAAGCTTTGCTTCTAATGAAGGACAACCCTTCCATGAGGACAGGGGCCAGGTCTGCCTGATTCACTCTTTTATCCTCACTTCTCTGCATAGCTCCCAATAGGTAGTAAGTGCTTGATAAGTGATTGTGGATTGCAGCAATGAACCAATTCTGACCAGCTAGTCAACATAGAATTATATCACAACAGCAAGTTTTAGCCCATTCAGCATGGTTCAGGCTTCCATAAAAACAACTGTCTTCCCCAAAGCTTTTTCTAAAGCTGTTAATCAGACCCTATTTAGTGATCATTGTTTCTCTGTGGCCTAAAGACAAGACATGAATATCACTGTTTAGAGTTAATTCTCACCTACCAAACAGAGGAATCAATCAGATATCCTTCCTTCTCTATGTCTTCAAATTTTAAATAGCTACAAACATGAGCTTTGGTGCCAGACTGCCTGTCCGGATCTTGACTCTGCTACTTATTTAGCTGTCCCATGGGCAACCCTCTCTATGCCTTAGTTTCCAATCTGTAACATTAAAATGATAATTGTTTATAGTTCATAAGGTTATTGTGAGGAGTAAATGAGTTAACATATACAAGGTGCTTAACACTGTGTGTGGTACCATTAAGTACTCAACAAATAATAGCAATTATTGTTATATAACTTTGGCCCAATTTTGTAAAAAGTCTTTAGCTTGAAGTACCCAAAAATACTTGTATCATCCTTGAAAGGCAACTTTTAAAAATCACAGTGAGACAGCCAAATGCCTAGGCAAATAAAAAGGGGTCCCCAGAGAATCTCTGACCCGCCCCACAAGTGTTTACATCAGATGCTTTTGTGCAGATGAGAGAACCTGCCCAGAGCCTTGTCTGAACATGCCCACATGCGCACTGGGGGAATGGGGTGGAGCCACGGGCAAGAGGGAGGAGCCTGGTTTCTTCCTGTGTGGTGGCCTGGGATTCAATCTGGGAGGTGGGGGGTCTGTCAGCAAGACTCCATCTTGCTTTGCTGAGTTGTTTTTTTTTTTTTCTTCCCTTTTCGCCCAGTAAAACCCTGTTCTACTCACCCTTCAGTGTGTTCGCATGCCTAAATTTTCCTGGTCGTGTGACAAGAACCCAGTTTTAGGGGAACTAAGCAAAATTCTGCAACATTATCCCCACCCTCCAAAATAGTTTTCCTTCCAGTTTAGACACTTACAGGTAAGTTATTTCCATCAGCCACTGCTCCAGCAGCTGTTGGTCTTTATGAGCTCACTGAAGCTTCCTGAGGTTACAGTGACATTCAGAAATACAAAAATTCTTTACTTTCTTTGGAGCTGCTTCTCCAAATCTGTCCCCTCCCTGACATCCACATGTGAGTTCAGACTCCAGGGAGACACAACAAAGAGGGAGACTTCCCTGCCAGGCCAAGGGCTAGTGGCAGGGAAGAGCCCTCAAGGGCTAGAAGAATGATGTAGGGTGTTAGTCCTGGATTCTGGTGTAGCCCTCCCTAAGATTCCAAGTCCAATCCAGTCTAAACTTCACTCAGTGCTCCTGCATGTTTGAAGCTCCTGATAAGAGACTGTTGGCTGCAGAGGAGTTTCTGAGTGAGAGTAAGATTCTTTGTGGCATTTGTTCCCAGGACGGCGAAGCATGTGGTGAGACGCTGAGTTGGGCCTTTTTCTCAAATAAAGGATGAACTTCAGGACTAGCCTTACCACTGGCTCAAGACAAGTTTGGGTCTTCCAGTCCTGCCAAATTAGGAAACGAGAGATGAAGAAGATGTGCTTTAGGGAAGCTGATCTGTCATTTCTGCACAGGACAGACTGGAAAAGAGTGGACCTTAAGACAAGGATTCCCATTCAGAAAGGAGATAAGTGGGGCCTGTAGCAGGTGGTGCCAACAGTGAAAGAGAAAGGAACAGCTAGAAAGACAGTCCCAAGGAAATGCAATCTGAAACATTGGCTGGCCAGCTAGATATGGAGCAGGGAGAAGAGAGAGGTCAGAAACTCCAAGGTTTCAAGCCTGGGAGATTAAAGGAATCCCATGACTAGGAAGAGGGCCCGATGATGTTGGAGCTGAATGATCAGCCGCTGGATTTGATGACATCTGCCTGCAAAGATGCAGTCAGTAGCAAGCATGGAGGATCTGGAGGTACAGAAAGCAGTCAGAGCTGAAAACTCGGGTCCTGGAGTGACTCACATCTATTGTGAAGTTGTAAGGATGGGCGTGTTCTCTGAGGGAAATGACACAGAGAGAAAAAAGCACAGAGTTATGCTATCCAAAAACTGACAAGAGAAGCCCTCTTGTCAGGGCAGAAGGATGAGTGAGAAAGGGAAGGAGAATAAGTCTAAGAAGGAAAATGTATGAGTCAGGGTTCTGCAGATAGAATCAATAAGATGTTTGTATAGAGGGGTGGGGGAGAGAGTGATTTATTTTAAGGAATTGGCTTATACAATTATGGAGGCTGGCAAGTTCAAAACCTGGAGATCAGGGAAGAGCCAGTGCTGCAGTTCAAGTCTGAAGCCTTCCTGCTGGCAGAGCTCCCCCTTGCTCAGAGGAGGTCAGTTTTTTGGTTTTTTATTTTTTGAAACAGAGTCTCATTCTGTCACCCAGGCTGGAGTGCAGTGGCATGATCTCAGCTCACTGCAACCTCCGCCTCCCAAGTTCAAGCAATTCTCATGCCTCAGTCTCCTGAGTAGCTGGGATTATAAGGGTGTGCCACCACACCCGGCTAATTTTTGTATTTTTAGTAGAGACGGGTTTCACCATGTTGGCTAGGCTGGTCTCCAACCCCTGACCTCAGGTGATCCTCCTGCCTCAGTCTCCCAAAGTGCTGGGATTACAGTTGTGAGCCACCACATCCAGTGGAGGTCAGTTCTATTCACCCGATTAGATGAGGGCTACCTACATTATGGAGGGCAATCTGCTTTATTCAAGGCCTACAAATTTCAATATTAGTCTCATCCAAAAAATACTCTCAGCAGAAATATCCAGAATAATGTTTGGCCAAATGCCTGAGCACTGTGGCCCAGGCATGTTGCTACATAAAATTATCACAAAAGATGAGGACTTGTCCTCAGGGACGCCAAGGATGGGGTTTAAGATAGATAATGGCGATGGAACATGAACACTGTCTCGGAGGCCAAGAACTATGAAGGAAAAGTCCACTGGATTCTGCATCTGAGATTCGCTGGACCACATTTCTCTTCCTACTAAGTGTAAAATACTGGTTAAGAGCAAGCATGGGCTTTGGGGCAAAAAAATATTCTGAAGCCCATCCTGACTCAGCCATTACTTACTGTGAACCTGCACAAATTACTTTCCCTCTCTCGACCTCAGTTTTCCAATCTCTAAAATAGAAATAACTGTATCTATGAAGAATTTTTTAAGAATTAAATATTTTGGTGTTTCTACTATATGCTAACTGATAAGTATAGCTCATGTTAATATTATCATCACTAATATTCATATTATTTCATCTTGATCATTATCATCTTCATATGTTCCATATTCAGAGGACACAATTTAGAGTAGAAGGATTAAAGAGGGAATGGCTTAAGAATAAAGGAGGGATTAAGAAGGGAATGAGGAATAAGGAAAAATGTGTGCCTGTATTTCATAGCCGACCTAGCATTCTACACTGAAACTCAGTTCTGAGTCTAGAACACTTTTAATTCATTCTCTCTCCTTTTACAAGCAAGGAAACATTTTCAACACTAATACATTTATTTCTCCCAATCTATAGTTCAACAACACAGTCAGAAGTATAGAGAAGACTTACTTTCTCTACCCTGCGCTTCTTTCACCAGATCAGCATATTCCTAACTCCCATGGCTTAGCCTTGATTGTGATGCTACTTTCCTAGAAAACTTCTAGTAAGAATGGGGGTCATAGTGGACCACATCACTTCCTTCTCCCAGCATTGCTGAGGCAAATGAGGAGGGAGCAGGTTTAGATCCTCACTACAAAGAGCAGGCATGGATTCTACCTCTTAAACATTTTACTCAGGGTTCCCTGACAATGAAAACTGCCTTTCATTTCTTCTTTCAGCCCATTGGAGTAGAGGTTAATGACTTTGTCCTAAGAAACAAAAGGCTCACATGCAATTAAAAAGATCTCAGAAACAAGTCAGGCATGAAGAGTGTTCTAGAAACTCTACAATTGAATTTTTTTTCATTGACAAATGATCCCGCCATCATTGTAGATAGGGTAACATATCTAATTCCTATAATTCTATATCTTTAAATGAAGCCTGCAGGAAATGCCTTGATGGAAAGGAAGATCAACGGGACTGAAAATAACGTATTCCACCTCATTCCCCCTCTCTGAATTCAATTTCTCACCAGGCACTCTGATAGCTTCCTTCTTCCACCCCTTCCAGAAGCCAATTCTGAATTATCCAACCCTAAAAAAGACTATGAAGCCAACAGAGTCACCAAACACCTAACTTAGCAAGGGCCCCGATCTTCTTCTCCAAGCAAACCTCTTCCTCTTTGTAATTCACCTTTATGTTCTTCATCTAGCAGAGAAAGAAATAAACAGGGAAAGCAGAAAGAAAAGAGGTAGAGAGGGCACTGCAAGGCCCAGAGAGTTCACAAACAAAAGAACCTGCCTTAGTATTACGAAGCACCAACCACACTTGCTTTAGGCTTAAATCAGACTTGATTTGGCTCTTCTGAACAAGCACCAGCATCTAAATCACTCACTTGGCAGCATTATCTGTGGCCTGTTACGTGACAGACACAATGCTACACACTGGGGGATGCCAGTATGAAGATAAGATATGGTCCTGGAATATAACATTACTCATGGTGTCACCTTGGGCAAGTTATTTAATCTCCCCGTGACTCCGTTTTCTCATCTGTAAATGGGGATAATAATAACCTCTACCTCAAAGATTGTGATAAGAATTAAATGTATTATTACATATAAAGCACTTAGTGCTAGGGTAGAGATATCATCACAGGAAAATAGGATACTTGAGAATTCCACCTGGACCTTCACACAGACAATGATCCTTGGGCTGGGCTTTATAAAAAATTGTTTAAGGTTTTAAGAAAAGTGTAAAAGAGATGGAAAGGTCATGCTGGAGGACAGGCCAGCATGAACAACGGCTCAGAGGTGAAAATACACACATTTCTTGGATGGTGAGAGGCTGGAGCGCAAAGGGAGCTGTGAAGGGGAGGCTGCTGGAGCCTCAGGCCTCCTCTCCCAGGCTCTGCAGGGCCTGTGTACCTGGGGGAGGAGCCTGTCCGGATGATCTACAGAGCTCCTGCTGCAAGAAGGAAGCAGTCCTTAACTGTGTCCAAGGAAGAGTGGTTCTGGACAAAGAGAGGGAACATTTCCCATCTGTTCCTGTGACTTCCCCACTGGTGGGGCAGGAAGGACAGAAGGGATGTTTGCCCTGAGATGGGTTCAGTTTAATTCAAGTTTCCAATAATTCTAATCCTTGACCAAATTTCTGTGAGTGGAGCCTTCTACTCTAGAATCTTCCCTCCTTCTGGGCACTGCCTTCACAAACATGAACTACCAACAGGCTTTCCTCTGCCCTCACTTTCCAGTGTTCCCAGAACTCTGAGGAAGGAGCAGCCCAGGTAAGGCAGAGCTGGAAAGGCCATGAGGTGCAGAGGTGACCTCAGTAGCCACCGTCTCTGCCCTCTGATAGGGAGCCAGGCTCTCAGTGGGTGGAGGAGACAGAGAGCAGAGAGAAAGAGGCAGACAGAGACAGAAAAACAGATGGAGGGAGAGTCTGAGTGTGTTGGCCATCTTCTGTGCTCCATCTTACACTGCCATGGTAACCAATTTGTAAAGGTGTGACCTGGTGGAAGTAGGAGTGGTTCCTCCCTCACCATCACTCCTAGTGGCCCCCTGTGGAATTTGCACTTCTTGTCCCATGACCTTATGCTCTGCTGGTTAAGGGCCCCAGGTCCCAAGGGGGAACATGGTTGGAATTCTGCTAGAAGACATGCCTGCTATCTATTTCTTTTAGGCTTCTCCTGCCAGTGAAGAAGTAGGCATGGCAAGGAGTTACGTTGTTGTCAGGGGCAATCAGCCCTGATGACCACAAGGAGCCAGGTTGCTGCTCTACAACATGGGGCAAGAATGAGTGCCTCTGGAACCCAGAGATCCCCTGGGGTGTCTCTCAGGGATTCCTGTGCCCATGGTAACCATAAGTGGGCCATTTGTATACAACTGTGGCCTGGAAAGGCTCAGACCCATTGGAGATGAAAGTTCAAGCCACCCCACAGGGTAGCAGCCTTGACCCACCAAAATGCTTACTGTGGTGAGGGAAATGTAGAAACCAAGGTGGAGAATGACGGATCTTGATTGAGGCCTTGGGATCAGTCATAAGGTCACAGACCATGGCATGTTCCACTAACCCTCATGTCCTCAGGCTTTTTGTAGAGATGACAGATGGCTACACTTTGAAGTCACTGTGGCAAACTTGACTTCATGGGAGGCATTACTAGATCTGAGCATTGCAAGGGGAAGACAGCATGGTGTCCTGTCTCATTTCTTCCTGGACCGCTTTTCTTTCCTGCTGTTGCTGGGCTAACCAGCTTTGCACAGCTTTTCTACCTCAGTTGCAAGCTGTCACCTGAAGTCCTGCTCCAAAGAGAAGAACCGCTCAGAACCACAGTGCTGCCACTGCAGACCCAGGCATCATCCCAGGGGCCTGGCCACTCCTAATGCCATGCCTTGCCCCACAAAGTCACTCATCTTGACTGGCGAGGCTGGTTCAGATGATCTCATTTCAGGGACATTTTCCTGGTTCCCCCTTTCATTTGTCCCAACTCACTCACAGCTGAGCATGCATGGATTAGGATAACAACAATGTTTCTGACAGGAAGTGTATTACTAGAACACTTTAAGAACTCCTTGTGTATACACACACACAGGCACACACACACGAGTGAAACCTTTTCCTAATATAAAGATTCAAGGTTTTGTAGTGGCTTTAGTTTGTCCCATTTTCTGTAGCAAGGTTTTATACACATACACACACACACAAACACACGCACACAGCGTCTTAAACATAAGTTGATGGAGTGTGAAACTGCACTTCATTTACTGCATAATGGAACACCTTAATGATATTCTTAGATATAATGCCTTTTCTCTGAACCACTTTTCTTTTTAGTATTTAATGTATGTTATCATCACAATTTTCATCTGTTTTTCAGAAATACTCTACAAAATCTATTTTCCTTGCTGGAAAACTAGACCCAAAGAGCAGGTATCCCTGTCTATGTTGTTAGCAAGTATTTTGAGATGTCTTTAGGGATGCATAACTCCACAGAATTGAGAATACAAAGCCAGGAGACATTAAAAAGATGTCACATCTGTAAGGATACCTCCTGTACTAAGCTTAAATGAACACTACAGAGGGTCTCATTCTCAAAAGGCTTTGCTGGTTGTGTAGGACCAAGAAAGTTATAAAGCTGAAGCCAATAATAAAGCAAATGACCAAGAAACAACTTTTATATTAATCAGGATTCGTTTTTAAGTTGAAGTGACCAAAATACAACTCAAACTAACTCAAGCAAAAAAGAAATAGGTACTGGGGAGAGGGGACAGTAGGGGAACAGGCTCCCACATACTGAGATCTGGGAACACAAAGGGAAGTTATCAGGTCTCTCTCCCTCTCAGCTCTGCTTCTTTCAGTGTGGTGGCCTCATTCTTTCTAACTGAAGAACGATCTTTACTGCAGAAAATTCTAAGCATTATTGTGGCAGATCCAGTAAGTCCCAGAGAAGGATTCTGATTGGTCCTGCTTCAGTCACATGCTTGCATCTTAGTCCAATCACTGTGGCCTGGAGGATGGGACACCATGATTTGCAAGACTCTGGTCACATGCCCACACCTGTGGCTTCTGAAGCAGAGCACCAGCAGTGACAGTCCCACCAGAACCGCATGGAATAGAAAACTGTGCATTTCCCTAAGGAAAGGGAATGCCAGAGAAGGGCAGAAGGGAAATCAGGAAGACAAAACGGTAAATTACCTACCACAAATCCAATTCATTGGTATTTTTCCACTTACACTTAACCAAGCAACGATTTCTCCTGGTCCCATAATGGAAAAGAGGGTTTATCTAGATTCATATATACAAGACTGAAGAGTGAAGAGAGACCCAGAGAATGTTCTAAAATCTGCCAGTTAGCATAATCACACAGAGAAATCTCTGCTTCCAGAGGAGGAGCCAAGTTCAAGTCAGAGGTGAGGAATGCCAACAGGAAAGCTCACTTTCTCCGGGGATATTCAGGCCAACACTAGGAAACCACAGCCAAGTCAGGCAGGGCTTGGGGCGGAACTGCTGACACCTCCACCCTAGCCAATCCAAGGTGCACGCCTGCCTCATGCAGCCCAGCGTGACTCCCGCCATTGGCACACTGTGCCCATCACAGGCTGGAGCTCCTTTCCTCCACCGTCTTCCCAACTCCTGCCAACCAGAACTTAACTACTCCTTTGGATTCTGCTTTTCACTTGTTCTTCATCAGACTATGGAAGCTTAGACTTCATAATTTGGCTGAGACTTCAAAAATAGTTTTAAAGAAAGCTATTCCCACCCTGCTAAAGTAATTACATGATTCTGCCCCCTTAAACACCCAAAGCCCTAATCTGTGTTCTCAAAACTCTGATCTTAATCGCTTTTTTCCAGTCTTATCTCCAACTACTTTTCTTCATGAATACTTCCTTCATAAACACTGTACTTTAAATTACTCTCCTTCAACTATATTTTTACTTCCAAGACGTTGGCCTTTGCTTTATGCCATTTCCCTCACTTAGGTGGTTTTTTCTCCACCAGAATTCCAGTCTTTCTTCAAATGTCAACTCAAAAACAACCCTCCTCATGGAGACTCCTGTGGCCACCTCAGTGGGAAACATTCGACATCATTGGTATTAGAATCACCGATGTTGGAAACAAGCTCACTTAAGTAGCTTCCAAGTATGAGATTTCTCTACTTGCCTCTTTAATATTCTGCCATCACTTTTAGAGAGTTATCTCACCTAACTCCAGCCGGAAATACTAATACATGCCCTGGGTCTAAAGAAAATATTGCCTTTGGAATTTGTGTAAGAATTTACGATTGAGACCTCTGAATATGCCATGAAAAATATGAGCCTTACTCTCATGAGCTGAGGGAAGTGAATGTATTTGAATCTATGAATCTCAAAACAACATGTAAAATGTGTAAGGATCTGATGCTACAAGGGTTATTAGTTTGAAATTTGGTGATTTTGCTGCCAGATGTCCATAAACTACACTACCCACTGACAAATACATTTATTAGAAGTTTTTCTTACAAAAAGACATGAACTATTTTATCAGGGAATCTAATATACAAATAGTTCCTAGAAATTGTAAGTCTTGTCATACAGCACACTAGTGGTTACAGCCTATGAAATATATAAACAACTTCTAATATAGTCTTTTCCTTTATAAAATTGTTTAGTTTATTCCATGAATTTAATACAGGTCTATATTTTAAATTGTCTACCCAAGAGTTTCCTACTTGTTAGAATTCTGTTCTTCGTCACAGCAAGCTGTTTCACATTGATGTAACTGTATGTAGAAGTTTGTTATTCTTTATTGATGTATGTACTATTTTATGATACGACTATACCACATTTATCCATTCTGTTGACAGTAGTTGTTTCCAGCTTGGGGCTACTGTGGACATTCTTGTGCACGTCTTCTGTTGGACATGTGAACTCATTTCTCGTGAATATATACCTAGGAGCATCGCATCTAGGAGTGCAACTGCTGTGTCATAGGGCAGACAAATATTTAGTTTTAATAGATATTTCCAAAGTGGTTGAACTGATTTCACTCCCTCCTATAATGTATGAGAGTTCTAATTGTTCCACATCCTCACCAACACTTAGTATTATTAGTTTTGAAAAAAATTTTAGCCATTCTGGTGTGTATGGGAATTTGTACTTTCCTAATGAATGTTATTGAACACCTTTTCATATGCTTACTAGACATCTGAATTAATCTTTTATAAAATATTTGTTTATAAAAGATCAATTCAATTAAAAAACGGTTTATTTATTTTCTTTTTCTTATAGTTCTTTATATATTTTGGATACAAGATCTTTGTCAGACATTTGTATCATGAATATCTTCTTCCAGTCTATTAGTTGCTCTATTAATCAGGGTTGTTTAGAGGGACAGGACTAACAGGATAGATGTATACATGAAAGGGAGTTTATTAAGGAGTAATGACACATACAATCACAAGGTGACATCCCACAATAGGTTGTCAGCAAGCTAAGGAGCAAGGAAGCCAGTCTGAGTCCCAAAACCTTAAAAGTAGGAAAGCTGACAGTGCAGCCTTCAGTCTGGGGCTGAAGGCCCAAGATTCCCTGGCAAACCACTGGTATAAGTCCTTCAAGAGTCCAAAATCCAATGTTCGAGGGCAGGAAGCATCCAGCACGGGAGAAAGATGAAAGCCCAAAGACTCAGCCAGTCTAGCCCTTCCACATTCCTCTGACTGCTTTTATACTGGCCTCACTGGCAGCCCTGATTAAGTGTGCGTGGCCTTTCCCAGCCCACTGACTCAAATGTTAATCTCCTTTGGCAACACCCTCACACACACACCCAGGAACAATACTTTGCATCCTTCAACCCAATCAAATTGACACTCAATATTAACCATCACAGTTGCTTAATAACTTTCTTGATGTGATTTGATCAGCAGACATTCTTAATTTAATAAAATCTAATTTATCAGTTTTTTAAATGATAATCTGGCTTTTACATTTAGATATGTGATCTACTTGCAATTATTTTATGTGTATGGTATGGAGTTCTAGAATTCAAGAAGTTAAATCCCTTCTAAAATTCTGGCACCTTGGCCAGCAAAACTTTGCAATCACACCTTTGATTTAATTAACGTGAGTAAAAGAAAAGTGAGCCTATGCAAAGAGGAATGTATGCAAAGTGAGCCAATGCCAAGGTGAAACGCCAAGAGGAACATTCTAGTATTCTCTGCAGCTTGGCATATGCTTAAAATACAATTCTTTTCAAGTGAACTCAGCAAATTGGGGGACATCTTTCACCCATCTTCGATGAGGTCATATTTGGGTCTACTGCCATTGCCATGTTTCTCAGACTTGGCTCTATTGACATTTTGGCTGGATAATTCCCTATTGTGAGCAGCTGTCCCATGCACCCTTGTAGTGTGTTTAGAAGCATTCCTGACCTCCACCCACTAGATGCCAGGAACATTTCACCCTGCAGTTGTGACAACCAAAAAATTTAAAGAACACTGGGATTCTCTCCATAAAGCCTGGGACAAGACCCAGTTTCACTGCTCTGGACAGGCAAACCTGGTCCTCCCTCTTCTCCTTACCCAGGCTGCCTTTCCTTGTTGGTAGAATTGGGGTACTACAGCAGCCTCAGAGGATTGTGGAGGGGATTGACCGTGCTGGTTTTGTGAACCCACAAATGGCTACCACTTTAACCGTTAACCACTATTCCCATGTAAAGAATAAAGTGATTTTCCTCACGTCACAGGATGAGTGGCAAAACTGGAATCTGGATCTGCATTTGTCTTACTTGAAAACCTTTTGCTGCCACACCTTGCAAATGGATGTGTATTTGGGAATGACACTAGGATAGTGGAAAGTTGTATGCACTACCCAACTATCTATCCCAGGGATGTATATGTCAGAGGAAGAAATTCTGCTGTCTTGTCTGAATCTGTTATTTGAGGGAATACCAGGTAAATGCTATCACAGTGACCCATAGTCCCTCTGTTGTAGAGAGATCTAGGCTGAGTCAGCAGGATCTGGACATAGGGTACAAAGGAGGAGGATTCCTGACCAAAAGAAGCAGCAGAAATAGATGTTTCAGTCTGTGGCTACTTGAAGCCTAGCTTTCCCCATCACCCTACAGGGCACAGAGAATAGAGAATCTCTTGCAAGTCAGTCTCCCAGGAGTCAGCCAGGGAGAGAAACACCTAACAGACCAGCAGACCCAACAAGAGACCATGAAGCAGAAGACGTGTCTCCCACAAGGCCAGATCCACAGGACTTTCACTCATGGTCATCCTTGACAAGTAACAGCAGTGTTATGATGTTGCAACCCTGTAATTTCCATTATGATCAATGTATATGTTGGGGGCCAGAGAAAGGCAGATTGATAACTTCATTTAGAGCAAACTAATTGAATTCCACTAAGAGATGCATGACTCATCTAAGAAATGTGCAAAGGGTGTCAAAGAGCACTGAGTCTCCTCCTCTGGTGATTTTTACAAGCCTCATCAATTTTTGTCCCACAGAATACTTTAATTAACATAAAAGTTCTAGAATTCTTGGAGTTAAATCCTTTCTAAAATTCTGGCATCTTGGCCAGCAAAACTTTGCCATGACACCTTTGACTTAATTAACATGAGTAAAGGAAAAGTGAGCCTACGCAAATGTCGGCTGATCAGCCGTGACACTCAGAAGAAAAGCAATAAAGACAGCCACCGGCAGTGCCTACGACAGCAGTGTCCTGGAAAGAGAGACACTTACGTGGTCCAGATTCCCTTGTTGAAAAATCCTTTCAGCCATCTTAGCCTCACACCGCTACACACTTAAGCATTCCTTGTTCTGATTCCATATGTATTGACTGAATAGAAGCTGGAGGAGTTAGGTCATGCCACTCCCTCCAATACATACATTTCAGACCCTTGATTTACATAAAAGCTGAGAAATCACTGGGGCAAAGACTCAAACTGTGGGGTTCAGTTAGAAACAACACAGCTGGTGGACTTAGCAGATGGTGGGACTTGGTGCAGTGGCAAGAAGAGGGTGTAGGATGCCCAGGGACAGTGGAATGTGCTTGTGCTTTCCTTCCCTCCCTGTTCTCTGCTGCTACAGCACTGAAATTTGCATTTAGTGTTTCTGGTGCCCACATAGGCTGGTGCCTGGAGACAAATGTCTTTCTCTGTCCTTTGTCTGTCTTTATCACGCTCCAGTTTGGTGGGGAGCAGGAAGACTAGTGAAAACCAGCTTAAATGAAGCAATAATGGAGGTGTTGAGACCTAACTCACCACAGGGAAGAAGACGAGCTATGATGAGCCCAAGCTAATGCTAAGATCAGATGTTGGGAGGAAATAGTGGTTCTTGGCCTTGTGCAGCAACTGACACCAGAATCTGCTCTGATCCAGCTCTGCCAGTGTCACATGTGTGCCTTTCGAGAAACAGTTTGCATAAACAACTCCGCTCTGGGACCTTTGCATAACTAAGAAGGAATATTTATTTACAGCAGGGATAAAGGAGCTTTGGCCTTGAGCCTTGTAGAACTGTCAGGGTTTGAATGAAGTTTATCTACCTGTGATAGCTATTAATAAACAGGATTCATGTGGGGACAAGTATAAGCAGCATCCCGGGGTCTCTAAATCTACTGGGAGAAAAGGCTGAGATTCCAGCAGCAAGCAGAGGGCTCACAGACGTTAAGATTTGGCTCTTATGGAGACTACATCTTTATTCCCAATCTGACAAAGTCAGAGATACCTGGATATCAGTGCTTACCAATCTTGCCCCCACAACTATTTTCAGTCTCTAAGGCATGGTGGATGTCCTTTCCCTATTTAAAGCCAATCTTCCACTTGTGCACTAGATCTCAACTCTGTCACTTACCTGAGGATTTTGCTCCAGCAATTCGCTTCCTTCTCTTATATCTTCAGTTTTTCTTTTCCTACTGGATCATTACCATGAGCATGCAAGCATACTATTATTTCTTCTATCTTTAAAGCAAATAAACATTCTCCTAACCCTACTTTTCCCCTAGCTCTGGCCCCATTTCTTTGCTCTGTCTCCTACCAAACGCTTCAAAAGTGCTGTATATTCTAATCAAGCACTTTCCTCTCATTCTCTCTGAAACCCTTCAATCAGTTTCTTGTCTTTAAAATTGTTCTTATAAAGGTTACCAGTTACCTACACACTCCTAAGTCTAATGCTTATTTTTTGTTTTTATCTAACTTGTTTGACCAGCAGCCTTTGGCATGACTCATCATGTCTCCATTCCCGATTCACTGTTACTCACCGGCTTCCTGGATGGACTTTCTTTGTTTCTTCTCCTATCCCAGTGATTCCACTTTTAGCTTCCTTCATTATTCTTTCTTTCCTCCCAGTGTCTTCATGTTGGAGTGGACCTTTCCTCTATCTGTCAACAGAATGGATAAATTGTGGAAGAGTAATATCAGAATACTACACATCAGTAAAAAACAACAAACTTCTGCTACAAACAATCAACATCGATGAATCTTTCAGGCAAAAGGGTGAGCTAAAGTAGTCAGACACAAAAGGCTACATACTGTATGATTCTTTCTACAAAAAAATTCAAGAACAGGCAAAATTAATCTTTGATGATAGGAGTTAAAATAGTGGCTACCTTGGATAGTGGTGGTAGGGTTATGGATTGAGAAACAAGGGAATCTTGAGTGCTGGAAAGACTCTGTTTTATATCCTGATCTGAATAATGGTTACAAGGGTATGAAAATATTCATGAAGCTGTAGTTTTTTGTAAATTGTACCTCAATCAAAAAGACATTACATAATGGAAGTGCTTACTGAGTAAATGATATTATATCTGGAATTCAGGGAGGAGGGGAAGTGAAAGGGGAGTCTATAAAATATTGATGAGTTGATAATTGTAAAATTGGGTAATGGGCACATGAAGGGTTGTTATACTATTTTGTCTGCTTTTTTAGCTTAAAAAATAAATAAAAAATATAAATATAAAATTGTCTACATAAAATATGTAATAATTGACATTATTGCACAATAATATAATTATTATGTAATATTATATTATAATGTAACAAAGTATATTATTATATAATAATATAATTATGTGATAATATTATTTGTCTACATAATAAAAATTAAACATAAAATTAATGAAAAAGCAAGTCAAATTATATCATCCCTCTGGTTACAACCTTGCCTTGACTTCCATCTCATTTAGAGTAAAAAACCAAAGTCTAAATGACTACAAGTTCCCATGTGCTGTGTCCTTATGGCCTCTGCCATCATTATCAGTCCTCACTCACCCATTCCAGTGTTAATGGCGTTTTCCCTCCTTAGGGCCTTTTCTTAGCCTGTTGTCTCTGTCCAGAATGCTCTCCCAACACATATCTACCCTCCTTCCATCTTTCCTCACATGTTATCTCTCAATGAGACCATACTGATCACCCTATTCAAAACTGCAATCTACCTCCCTGGAATTCTCAATCCCTTTTACCCTAACATATTTCCCTCCACAGAAGTAATCACTTCCTAACATACTGCATAACTTATTTATTGTTTATTGTCTATCTTCCCCCATCTCTCCTCTAAAATGCAAGCTCCTTAAAAGCAAGTATCTTTAATTTTTTCATGAAAGTATTCTAAGCACCTAAACAGTACCAAGGTCCCAAAGCACCTGGCACATAATATGTGCTGAATAAATACTTTTTTAATGAATGAAGAGATGAACAATAAATGCCATAAAAATTACGGATTCTGACTTGACCTCCCATGCATCTTGACTACAAGAGAATGTGCTGGTCATGCCACCATGATTCCTTCTGGTCCATATAAAAGTTTCTTGTTAAAATGGCATGTTGTTCTTTGATGGTGTATTGAACATGTTGGGCAATGGGCCTGTCATTCTCATTGTTCCCTATGTCTTTTTTTGTTTGTTTTTTTGTTTGAGATGGAGTCTTGCTCTGCCACCCAGGCTGGAGTGCAGTGGCGCAATCTCTGCTCACTGCAACCTCCACCTCCCAGGCTCAAGCGATTCTTCTGCCTCAGCCTGTCCAGTAGCTGGGATTACAGGCATCCACCACCATGCCCCGCTAATTTTTGTAGTTTTAGCCATATTGGCCAAGATAGTTTTGAACTCCTGACCTCAAATAATCCGCCCGCCTCAGCATCCCAAAGTGCTGGGATTACAGGCATGAGCCACTGTGCCCAGCCTGTTCCTTATCTCTTAATGAGAAAGATCTTCAGAGGCCTGGAAAGGGAGATCTGGGAGTCTCACTGACCTGGCTTTCTCAGTTTCAGTCAGTTTGGCTGTGATTGAACCCACGACACAGAAAAGCCAAAGAATTTGGATCACAAAATACAGAAACCAGTCAGCATGGCAGATGCCTGACCTGAATAGGCTGGGCTGTGTACAGGCAGAGAATGAGGCATAAGAAGCTGTCAGGCAGGGGCCTGTGGCCTTTCAGGAACAAGAGGGCAGGCTCCATCCTGACTCCTTACTCCCTCTTACAGTGTCTGTTCTCACACAACTCAGGAGGACTCTCTCTCTGGCCCTTCATGCCTATTGAATCCTAGCGACTGTCTGTCTGTTGACAAGGCACAGACTGTCTGTTGACTCTCTGTCTGTTGACAAGGCACCCAAGCCCTGACATGCATGATCCTTAGGCATCCAAATGGAGGCTAATGAGTGCATCCCAAAATGCTGGTCCAACATGATCAATACAGACTCCTTGGCTGGATTCTCAGAAATATGGATTCCAATGCAAAAGGTAGGAAGTAGGGGCTTGAAATACGTGGTTTTTTTTTTTTTAACAGTGCTCTAGAATATTCTAATTTGCAAATCAGTTTGGGAAATCAGTATAGGCTACTATTTCCAGATACAGACCCTCAACTCATTTCTACAGAGTAAATGTAGCTCTTTTTCTAATTTAGGACAGAATTTGCATTGCAAATACGATAGGCATGTCTTATTATGCATACCTATACCATTTCCCTCCCCCGTATGAATGGTATACCAAAGGGGCAAAAAGTAACCTCAGTAACTCTTAGGATTTCCCTAAGAAGTAAGTCTCCTTTTGTGGCAGTATGACCTTGGTCTGTATATGCAAATTCATAGAAATAAAAAAGAGCAAAGCCCTGCTCCCGTTCCCTAAAGGTCACCAAGTCCTACACCAGTGTCACACTGACAGAGGGGTGGGTGGGATGGGGGTTTGTAAATTTTATGACTCATAATAACAGTCCAAGTAATGCAGCTGAGATAAAGAGCTAATCAAATTTCATGCTCCAAGGCATGAGCTGATTACTGCTGGGCCAAGAGGGGATTTATTCCCTGTGGTTCTGACAGGCATAGGGGGCCAGGAGCACTCTCTGAAGCTTCACACCCTACTGACCACTTCTAAAAAGGAGGATCCATGAGTCCAGAGGCCTGACACTTACTGGGCCTGTGTTTTCTCAGATCAAAGGCAGAAGGATGGCATGAAGAGAAACCTCAAAGGCAGAAGATTTGTTGTTAAGAAAGGTGGACCAGAACTTTGTGGAATGTACCTGGGGACTCCCTAGAGAACTTGTGTTCCAGGGCCTCATCCAACCTAGAAAGGAGAGAGAACCCTGAAGACCTCTGCTCCTTTCCATTGGTGTCTTATTCTGTCTGTGAAATTAGCATAATGATGATAACCTTTTTGAGGTGGTTGCGAAGATGAAGGTGGGGAAGATTGGATTATGGGGTAGGATTACAGATGGTGCCCCAAAATTATTATTCTGACAATCTGGGAGACATCAGAGCACAGGCCCTTGGTTGAAAGACAGCAATTCTTGGGCCAGGCTCGGTGGCTTACACCTGTAATCCCAGCTCTTTGGGAGGCCAAGGTAGGTGGATCACTTGAAGTCTGGAGTTCAAGACCAGCCTGGCCAACATGACAAAATCCCGTCTCTACTGAACATACAAAAATTAGCTGGGCGTGATGGTGGGCACCTTTAATCCCAGCTACTGGAGAGGCTGAGGCAGAAGAATTGCATGAACCCGGGAGGCAGAGGTTGCAGTGAGCCCAACTTGTGCCACTGCACTCCAGCCTGGGTGACAGAGCAAGACTCTGTCTCAATTAAAAAAGAAAGACAGCATTTCTTGGGCTCAATAGCTTTGTGTTGTTAAGAACTTTGGCTCTGGATCAGAAGCATACACATAGACCCAAAGCCTGAAGAGATTTTAAGAGAACTATAAAACCCAAAACCCAGTAATTATTCAACCTCTAAGGCAATTCTCGGGCCCCATAACTTGCACCAGTAAGAAGTGGGATACCAACACTGTTTTACACCCCCAAAATGTGTTTTCCCCGTGCCCATATAAATATTGCCATGGGAGACACAAACTAAGAAAATCCTTCCAGGAACAAACCTGGGCATTGAAAGGTAACCCAACCATGGGGCTAACAGTCATAACTCCATCCTATCCCCAAAACTTCTCCAGCCCTGTGGAGTCTCTCAGTTGGAACTGAGATGAGACTAAGCTGCGCCTCCCAGTGCATCCCTCAAGATGGCTCCAGAAGGCTGTGGCTCAAGCCCGTCCTCCTTTAGGTAGGCTGGTCTCTCTTTCCTCTTCCCTAGGCAAATCCTCCTGATTTTTTGGATCTTAGATCAAATCACTCCATTTCTACTCAAAGTCTTCCCTAACCATCCCAGGCCACAGAACACTTTCCCTCCTTAGAATTCCTTATAACTTTTTACCAAGCATCGATATTGTACACAGCAATAATCTCAATAATCTCTATTTTTGTTAAAATGAACAAATATAAAGTCAATATATTTCAGCAGAAAGAGTTCTGACTTTGAAGACAGGCCCTGGTGCCTCTCCTTGCTAGCCAAGTAAACTTTGGAAAGTTTTTACCGTCTCTAAGACATGGGGGTCACCATCTGTTAAATGCAGATAATCATACCTTGTGGAGTAATTGTGACGATTAAAATAATGCTTGTAAATCACCTAGCACACAGTAGGCATTTAATACACTGGCTATTAATACTGGTCTCATTTAATTTTTCATATGCTTCTGTTTTATGTATCTAACTAAAGTTTAAGTTGTTTAAGGATAGAGTTGAGTCTCATACATTTCTATATTCTCATAGGTTAATGCCTACAATAAGTGTTCTTGAAATACAGTCACGCGTTGCTTAACCATGGGGATATATTCTGATAAATTCATCATTAGGCGATTTCATCACTGGGCGAACATCACAGCTCGTACTCACACAAACCTAGATGTCATAGCCTACTACACACCTAGGCTATATGATATAGGCTATTGCTAGCAACAAACCTGTACAGCATGTTACTGTCTTGAATACTTAGGCAGCAGAGCACAATGGTAAGTATTCGTGTATCTAAACATATTTAAACATAGAAGAACAGTAAAAATATGATGTTATAACCCTGTGGGACCACTGTTGCATATGTAGTCCATTGCTGACTGAAATGTCATTCTGTGGTGCACGGCTGTATTCGTGACTAAAGATTAAAGTAACATTTGGTGTAAATCTATTTTCTTCCCTTTGGTGTTTCCAAAATACTATCCTAAAGAGAGCAAACCTAAGTCTGGGTTCATAGCAAATGCAGTGTCTTTTTTCTAACAGTTATAGAAACAGATGATCAGTGGCCCACGGATTCCAGGTGAGGATCTGGGACCCAGACATCCAGATATTGAAAACACAGGGATGGAGTCTGTATGGAAAAAATTAAAATATAGCAAAATGTGAAATACGGAAGAGAAATCTTTCAATTTCCCAATGGAAGTGAGAAAAGAGTAAGTAAAAGATCCCCATAAAGAACCAGGGCAATAGATTCAGGTACTAGAGACCAGTGGTAAAAGGGACTTTAAAACAAATTAAGGTATCCTGACTTAGGATCCAAGTTTTTATATCATATCTGCAGAGTCAGGCATCCATACGGGTATCCACTCCAGGTTAGGCAGGAGCCTGGGGGCAGCTGGCTAAGATGCGTTCCCAAAGCTTCCTCCAGGCAGACACTGATGAATATTCTCTCTTTAAAACTAAACAAGAAAAAAACCTCAAAACTTCAAGGTATACAAGCTGATTTATGTTTGAACTTCTCTAAGAGCAACTATGTTCTCTTTCTATATTCCCAAAAAAGGCAAAGAAAAGTATTGGTCTTCCAAAACAAATAGAGGACGGAGCTGCTGCTGTTGCATGGTGTCTAGAAACTCAGACAACTTCATCATTCCATATTTGCATCCAAGAGAGAGAAAGAAAAACTACAATCATTTTCCATTTACCCATCAACCCATCAACCTCCAAGTAAGTGATCTTTAGGTCATTTGCTTCTTGCTCACAAAGGTTTAGTGATCTTTCTTGAAAGACTTTCATGTATTCTAGGGGAAAAGTGCCTCTCCAGGCCAAGCCCAGCTCTTCCACATTTAGGGTGAGCTCCCTGATTTACCACTGGAGCTCCTCACATTTCTTTACCTTGACTTCCTCTTCTGCCATCAGGCCTTGCACTGCCGTCAGCCTTGGAAAAGCCTCATAACTCTGGATGACAATATCTAGACCATTAAGCCTACATACTTCAGCAAAATTGCCTCACTGCTGTCTCTGCTCCAGGTTATAAAGATTTCTCACAGCTTACACAAGCCTCTCAAGAACTGGACTTGAGGGGTTGCCCTCAGAAAGCCGCTTCCAAGACCAAAGCCATTTTTCACTCAAGCACTCTGTCTATGGGGGCCTCAAACTACTGCACAGTAATGCTGATGATGCTAGCTCTGAGGTATTACCCAGGCATGGCCCATTGCTCAGATCTCAGAACTGGTGATCAGAGCTAGCTTGATCACCTCAAAACATATATGCATTCATACATGGATTCTGAAACATGAGCGTCAATTCCCTTTACTCATCATTGCAGAAAATCCACAGCCTACAGTGAGAACAAAAATCCACTCACTAGAATTACAAATAATCTGGTCAAGATGGTATAAAGTCAAAATCCCTGTATTATGTCTAATAATCTTCAAAATTCCCATATAACTTGGTAAGAAGAAAATTTTTCCTGGAGCCTATAAAGTTTGGGCTTTACTGAAACTACTAATTTTTTTTTTAATTTTTTTTTTTTTGAGACGGAGTTTTGCATTTGTTGCCTAGGCTGGAGTGCAATGGCCCAATCTCGGTTCACCGCAACCTCCACTTCCTGGGTTCAAGCGATTTTCCTGCCTCAGCCTCCTGAGTACCTGAGACTACAGGCACGCGCCACCAGGCCCAGCTAATTTTTGTATTTTTAGTAGAAGACGGGGTTTCTCCATGTTGGCCAGGTGGTCTCAAACTCCTGACCTCAGGTGATCCATCCACCTCTGCCTCCCAAAGTGCTGGGATTACAGGCGTGAGCCACCGCACCCGGCTCTACTAATTTTTAATGCCCCTTGGCTGACATTCCCAAGCTTCCTCTTCTCAGCCCCACATCCCAACTTTCACCTCCAGGCAGACTAAAACAGTTGAAGGATGACATTGTCAAACAGACAGCCATATTTTAAAAGCAAGTGTCAAAGTCAAGAGTATACATATCAAAATTTGCAAATGTTCATGACATTTGCCAAGGAATCTGTTCATTTCCTGTGGTGCTGCAGCCAAAGGCTACAAGATGGTGCAACGTCAGTATCTTGTCCCTCTCTGGTGCTTGACAGTGGAATCTTAGTTATGAAATGCTGTGTAGCCTGTACAAACTAGACTTTAAGGATCTTAATATGCACTGGCACTTATTTTGAATTAGGACTCTCCTTCATTATCATATCATATCCTTGCCATTTTAAACTTCTCACGGGGAAGTCCATTTAAATCAGCACTGTCCAATACAACTTCTTGCAGTGTTGGAAATCTTCTGTCCAATAAAAATCCAGTAGCCACATATGGCTACTAAGCACTTGAAATGTGGCTAGTACAACTGAGGAACTAAATTTTACTTACTTTTTTTAAATTTAAACTTACATTTAACCACAGGAGTGCAGTGACTACCATATTGGACAGCACAAATTCTAATTGTCATGACATGGAACAATGCTTGCTTCCCCAGCATTTTGAAAGCCCCAGAATGATAACCTGGCCCAGAATGACACATGGATGAATAAGAGGAATTAAAACAAAGTCCATATACGTCAAATATCAAAATGAGTGTGAGACAGCCTCCCCAGATGCAGTTTCCAAAGGAAATGACCAGTTTAACTGGTTCCATGATACTTGCCCCTTTTTCCCTGCCAGATAAAGGCTATTAAAAAACAATCAAAGTGTGAAGAGGGCAGAAAATGTGATGAAGAGATTCTTTGGAGAAAGTAGCTGCCACTGTTACCTTGGGATCTGCCTATAGTCCTCACAGAGCTTGGTAAGACAAAAGATGGCTTTCCTGTAGACATAGGAGGGAGAGAAAGCTGGGCCAGAGCTGGTTAAATCCTGCCCATGAAGACTGCCTTGGAGAGCAGTGGGACTCCAAAAGCACGAGCCAGGATGGGGTGGACTCAGTGATGTGCTGGTAAATGTTTAAGAACCAGCTCTCCAGAAAGAAAAAAAAAAAAGGCTCTGATTTTTTGCATTTGCCAATTTCTTGGGTGTAAATACTCCCTCGTGGCCAATTTCCAGCCACCTGTCTGAAGTCTCTCTGGAGTTGGGAATGGACATGCACAGTCAGCTTTTGTGAGCTGATTGTATTGTAAGTCAGCTCCAGCATTCGGCTGGTGGGCCACCAGGGAGCCATGGGTACGAGGGAAACAGCTTGCCTAGGAAATAGACAGCATCCCTTATAGTCCAAGACTTGCATGTGGGAGATCACTAGTGACAAGTGTATTTGCATATCCCAGGAGAGAAAGAATGAGTTTTAACCACTCTCCACCAAGAGCAAAAGCTGCTCAGCCAAGTCAGAGATTTCCTTTCCCCTTACCTCTCCTCTTTCTCTGCCCCTTCAGCCCTTGCAGGATAGAACATAGGAGTCTGGGAGTCTGCAAGAAGGTAAGTAAGAGAAAGAGTAGAACCTTAAAGGCAGGCAGCTGCCAATTATTGGCCTCAGCCCACTAAAAAGAAGGCGATGTCTCTCCTCTGAATGAAGACTGAGACATTGATTAATGTCATGGACTGGATTGATTCTATTTACTGAATTGAGATTGTGTGTTGAGACTCAAAATGACCATAGGACCATCTATTATTTACCAAACATTTTCTAGGGGCAGGGGATAAATTTAAATCACCCAAAAACTGATAATGATAGGGTTGAGCTTTTACTACATCATGAGTTGTGCATGCTCAACACAATTTTGACAAAAATTTTCTGCTGACTGAAGACACATTAAAAAATAGCACCATGTTTTGTTTTGTTTTGTTTCACTGTATTTTTTGTTTTTCTTTTTAAGAAATTCTCTTTTAACCTGTATGAATTCTGGGGTGAAAAAAAATTTTTTTTTTTTTAAGAGACAGGGTCTCACTATGTTGCCCCAGTTGGCCTTGAACTGCTGGACTCAAGGGATCCTCCTGCCTCAGCATCCTGAGTAGCTGGGTCTACAGGCATGAACCACCAGGCCCAGAACCCTGTGTGAGTGTTCCTTCTTCCCCTCTCTTCATGTTCACAGCATATCTTATTATTGTTAATATTGGAAGTCAACACACCAGGGATCATCATCAGACTCATGTTCTTTATTGAGAAACAAGGTATGACGCTTGGGGCAGGATGGCAGCAAAAAAGTCATATAACCTAAAGTCCCTGACATAAACAATGTGCTCACTTGGAGGCTGGGGGTGGTATTTAGGTAAAACCAACAAGATGGGAATCAGCATGACCTCTTGCTGTGTAGGACAATCAGCCTTTTGAGATCTTTAGTCACTCATGTCTGATAGTTATTTTTTTTTAAATAACTTTTAAAAAGTAATAGTGGAAAAGAAAATAGTTATTTCAAGTATTCCAAAGCTCTCAAACTCAAATGAGTAGCGTGTTCACCTTCAGTTTCAAAGTAAGCCCCACCTCCCTACATTTCAAGGGCAAGGTGAGGTGGTGACCTCAAATAGGACATGGTAGAAGGCGGCACGTAGCAGAGGCTGAACGCCCAGGACAACTGCTGGGGTCCAGTCTGCCTGCTGTGTTAACAAACCTCAGAGAGACTCTAAGACATTACCCAACGGATGAGCCTGTTGAATGTAAAGGACCCTAAAGTTAGGCTAGACCTACAGGGGCTTATTCTGTAAAAATACATTTTCTATTTACAGCTTTTGAAAGCCATATGCGATCTGTCTGCCCTGAAGTGACTACTTCATCTCCAACCAGCCCTTGGCTGGCAAAGTCAGGAAGACTCCAGTCTTTCCTGAAGACCAGGGGAGAGTTTATAACTCTAGCATCAAAGTCAGCAGCTGTTCATCTAGAAGACAACTTCCCAAAAGTCAATGTCTTTGCCTGAAGCTTTTCTTCCCAGATCTCCTATGGTGAAACAACCAAAGGGAAGAAGAATGTGGGCAGCCCTCAGTAAGACAGGAGATGAGCATCAACATTGACCCATTCTTTCTTCCAGTCCTCGATGCTTACCTTGTACATTCTTCTTTGTCTTCCGACTCAGTGCCTTTAGGGTATGGACGTTGCCTGGTCCCACACAAGCCAAGCATCAAATGGATGGCTCAACAAGGAGGCCAAGACCAGCTAATGTTTAGTGAGCACCCAAAGGGGCCACACTGGAGAGAACAGCACAGCTCCGTCTGAGAAACAGCTGTTCCTTCCTGCCTGAGAGGCAGAGTGATAGAAGATATCACAGAATGTTGCTGCTTTGTCTTCCACCCTGAACCCTCCACGACCTCCCTGTAGCTTCCTGATTTTAAGTAGACATCAAATGATTCTTAATCCTTTCTGGGTCTTGGAACGATTTGAAAATTGTCAACAGTACTGGGATTCCCAGAATAATGCACATATGTACATACTCAGATATTCCCCAAGCCCTGGATATAATTTTAAGGGAGTTCACAGACCACACTCCCCCACCCATCTGTGGACCCAGATTCTGTGGGTTCGAGATTCAGAAGCCCTGTTTCTAGGCAGGCCCTCTGTTGCTAACGCCCCTCGAGAACATCACCCTAGATGATTATCCCTTCTTCCTCCACTCCTTCCCACCTTCTCCAACTGCTGGGTTTCAGCACAAAGATTGCTTGCCAGTTAAACTGGCACCATGGACCGCACAGTAGTTGTTTCTTGGGTCTAGAGGAAACAGCCAGATTCCTTTAAGTAAATCATGTCTTAGTTATTGATTGTCTCCACTTGAAGTTTTTGACAATCTCTGATTAAATCATAAACCACTGCATCCTCCATCTCCTGCTTCAGTCTCTCAAACCAAATGTCAGTTTCTTTGTAGCCCTTCAATTCAAAGTTTGCAAATTCTGGATCTAGGCTTCATTCTTTCACTCATTTAAGCACTAACATCTATTGCATAACTATTAAATGCCAGGCACTGTTCTAGGCATCAGGGACATAATAATGTACAAAACAGCCTTCATGTTAATTTACTTATTCTCTTCCAAAATGCTAATTCTAACCAGTGCTGCTTTAAAAACCATTATAATTATTACAATAACTGCCTAAGTTATAAGCTCTATTCTAAATAGTTAATATGTATTATTATTTTTCAGAAAACTCTATGAGGTAGGTATTATTATTATCATTCTTATTTTACAGAAGTGAAAATCATAAAGGTTAAGTAATTTGCCCCAGCTAGAGAGGGACAAAGACAAGATGTAACATGAGGCAGTTTGACTAAATTACTTACTGCTAAATTCAGCATCCCTGATTATGGTTACAAAGCAAGATTAGATTCTTTAGCACTGTTGAAATGTGAACAGATGTATTACAAAAAAAATTGTCTAGCAATGTGCATATATTTAAGTAGCCCCGAGGGTTATCTGTGGTTGCCAAGAGGCTCAAAGTCAGCATGAATATAATCAGGAGGCACTGATGACTTTGTTACCCAGAGATGGTTTGGGGATCCGTCAGGAGTATCATGCACATGGACAGGAATGTGAGGCAGAGGATTACTGGAGTTGAGCTGGCAGTCAAGGGACAAACAAGCCAAAAGTTATAAAAAACATATTTTAAAATTATATATTTTTAAATAATCGTGATGGACAGAAGAAATTGTAATCCTGAGGCAATAACTGAGAAAGTATTGAGTAGGTAATAAAAGGCCTGAGTAGGCTGAAATAAATGTTTTAAAATAGCAGTTTCCTGTATCCATGGCTTCTAAAGACCTCCGTTAGTGCGAATAGTAACTCAAATGAAATTTAGAACCAAGAATAATTGAGAGGGGTAGCTCACAGGCAGGAGTGAATTGTGTTTTGCAGGATTTGAAGATTATACAATTTGGATGACTCTTCTTTAAAAAATTACTAATACCAAATTAGATCTAGGGCCTTGGGAAGGGCCTGGAAGCATAAGCTACATTACCTTTATAGCAAACCCAGCTTGGACTCATGGAGAAGGTTGCTAAGAAACACATACATTGCTAGATCAGGACAGTGGTGATTCTGATAAGGCTGAATGCCCAATTTGGAGAACTTTGTGATCCAGAGAACAGTGATTTGAAGGCACTTTGACATGAAGATGCAACACAACAGTGGATGTGGTTTGAAGGAGGGCTTTGGCAATCCAAACAACTGAAAGAGACATCCTGTGTAAATTTTAATGAGATATCAATTTTTGCCATTCAATTTCTCAATTTTAAAAAATTATACTGCTGAGCCAGCCTCCAGCTAACTTATACAGTACCTATGTACCATTTACAAAAATATGTCTATTTAGGCTGACAAGGTGGAAAGACAAACCCCTTCTGGGCAGGTGGGGTGGTATTGTATGACAATCTGGTGGAGCTTTCAGGCAAGCATTTCTTTCTTTCAAAGCATTTCTTTCTTTCTCTGTGGTGTCGCACTTGCAGGGAGCAAGGCTGGGCAAGGGAACTGCTGAGTGAATTTCAGCCCTAATTCATCCTCTCAGCTAGGTACCTTTGCACAGTGTCCAAACTGTACAACCAAACAAGGCAGTCCTGTACCTACAGGTGTAGTGATTTTAACAGCATGACTAAAGGAACCTAAAAATGTGCAATCCTCTGGCCCAGAAAGTCCACTTCTTGGAATTTATTCTAAGAAAATTATCAGGGAAAAGTACAAGTACAAATATTTATATAGAACACTTCTAGAAAGTGTTTATATAAAGAAAAATTGAAAACAACTTGTATGTCCAATAATACAACATGGATAAATTAACTTGTGACTCAGCCTAACAATAGAATACTGACCATCCATTAAATGAATTTTAAATGGCAAGAGGAAATGTTCATGACATAATTATAAATTAAAAACCAAGAAAGGAAACTATGCAGACTATAAAAATATGTGTGTTTGTTAAAAAAGACCAGAAAACACCAAACTATTAATATTAAAAGTAGTTATCTATGGAGCATTATCTGTGGATTACAGGCAATTTTATTTTCTTATTCATATTTTTCCATATTAAAATTTTTTTACCTTGTAAATGTCATACTCTTACCTTTATTGCAAACATATTTTAAAGTCGTATCCAGACTTGAAGGGCAGAGACAAAATTGGAGCAGTGAGTGAATGTTGCCTTGACCTCATGGGTGTAGTGTTTGCATCTCATTGATTTCCACTTTGCATCAAGTCCCATGCCTCTGGTGGCTCGGGTGTGCCTTGCTTCATTACCCTCTGTCCCATAGTGATGGATGGTCATCGGAGGAATGCGATATCTCCCTATGACTATCCCTACTTTTCAAAGCCCCAGGAGTATCTCCATGTACTTCAGCACTATGACAAAACAGCTTCGGGTCACTAAAGACACTTATCCAGAAGCCACCATAGAAGGTGAAGATAATGTGAGTCAGACTAGAGCAGCTAATTGACTTAGCTATTGACTTTCAGATTTATGGGACACCACTGCTGAGTAATTAAATTTACTGAGCTATTTCAACAAGATATTAACTTTAAGTAATCCTCACTAAACATAAATTGAGAGCTGGATTTGGGTTTTGTTTTGCTGTTTTTCATTTTGGTATCAGTAATTAAAGATTATTCAATTATGATAATGTATTTCTTTTAGGACTGGTTTTTGCAGCTGAAGCCTGATGAACACTATGCAGCTTGGATGACAATGATTTTGTTTAAAATCTCCTATAAAGTTCCAACTGAAGGAGACGTGCTTTCTCACTTTTTCTATGGCTAGTTGTTCTCTAAACTTCATTCCAGAACCACCTTTAATTCAAGGCAGATTTTCTCCCTAGGGTTGGAGACGGACATAGATTTAGGCAGTGTCTGTTGGAAGCCCAGGTATCCCTAGCACATGGACCATTTTAGTACATTGCGTGAAGTCATAAAGGGCTTCAAATTTAATAATCATAGTTAAATGGTGGCGTAAAATGGTCCGAGAGAGGAGCTCAGGACCTCAGGCCCACAAATCTTCTCCAAGGGATGAAGAGAAAGGCCCCACTAGGATCATGCAGTCAGGACTGCACAGTCTGGCTTGGCCTCTTCTCTCCAAAAGTGCTCTTGCCTCAGGCTTCCCCAGCAATGTATATTGAGTGGTAGATGCTGATGCACATTACATCCCTGGTGAGCATGTAATCAGCACTCCTTCTGGCAAGCTCTCAGCAGCCACTGGAGCAGAAGGTAAATCCAGGTAAACTGACATGCAGGCAAATTACTGCTCCTGGCTTAGCAGGAGTCAGACCTCTGTCTTTGGTCCAAGATATCTCACAGGGGATTGGGGATGCTGCATCAGAAACAGCAGAGGAAACTCAGGCTTCTGAATAAGGTTAGACCTGGGTTTCAACTCTTCCTAATGGGTAATTTTGCCAAGTCTCAGTTTCTTCATCTGTAAAATAGGGAGGATACCACATAACCTATGGAAGGTGCTGTGACTTCAGCAAGTGATAACATATATAAATATATAGCACGGTTACTGACACACGACATTTGTTTCATTCCACAGCTCCCAGTGAGCTCCTAGGTTCCTGCTCTTATTCAATCCTTGATTCCAGTGGGTTCTCAACTCTGGCTGTACTTTAGAATCACCTGAGACACCTGTAAAAAATGCAGATGCTTGAGCCCTGTATCAATTAGCTATTGCTGTGTAACAAATCACTCCAAAGCTTAGTGGCTTAAGAAACATACACTTATTATGTCATAGTTTCTGTGGATCAGAAATATCATAGCAATTTAGCCAAGTAGTTCTGAGAGTTTCTCATGATGCTTGTAATCAAGATGTCAGCTGGGGCTGCAGTCACCTGAGGCTTGACTGGGTGGGAGGCTATATTTTACCTCTAGCTCACTCATTCATTGGCTCTTGGCCAAGGTTTCTCACCATGTGGTCCTCTCCACCAGGCTGCTCATGACATGACATTCTGCTTTCTCCAAAGCAATGCCACTCTGCCTTTTATGACATAGTTTCCAAGGCACATATCTTCACTTCCATCTTATTCTACTAGAAACAAATCACTAAATTCTACCCACACTCGGTGGGATAAAATCCTAAAAGGATGAGAATATCAGGGGGAAGAAACACTGGGGGCCTTGAAGACTGGCCTTTACAGACCCTAATCCCAAATATTTTAATTTAACTGGTTTGGGGCCCAATCATCTTTTTCTTTTGTTAAACTCCCTAGGTAACTCCAATTTGCCACCAAGATTAAAAACTATATAGAGTTTCTCCTACGTTACCTTCTCTTTTGACCCAACTTGGTCATTTCAATCCCTTTCTTTGGCATGTCCTTAATTGGCTCATCACATCCTGCTGCTAAATTCTCTCTGGTCCTAAGCAGTCAGGCAGGTACAACCCTGGCAGTAGGTCCCAAGGGTGCATCTGTCTGAGTGCTTAGGACCCTAAGGACTGCTTAGTGGGGCCCTTCAAAATGCAGGAGCACAGCAGCAGTGGGGTTGAAGGCCAGATAGCAAACAGCATCCAAAATTAAGACCTATTGGCAGGCCCTGGAGATACTGGAGCAAATGACTAGGCAAGTGACTAGGCAAAGTCAGGGGCCAGGCAAAATCAGAGATTGGAAATGCTAAAGGGGCCAGGCAGGAGCAGCCAGCAGGCCAGAGAACAGTCAGAGGTCACCAACAATAAGGAGACCCCCCAAAGCTGAAGGAAACTTCTGGCTCAGCCCTGGCTGCCTTACTATTATTCTCTTACCCTTGTAAGAGCCAATCCCAAAACATCTCCCTAAAACATCAACCAAAAGCAGCCTGAAGTGTGAATTTGGAGAAGGAGAACAGATAGTCCCAGCTTTCTGGCAGAGGCAGTTCCTCTAACACCAGCTGCCCTCAACCCCTCTTCCAATAAGCAAGATTTCCTGGCTCATTATAATGTTGGCATTGCCATCCACAAGATGAAAGTTGCCTACAACAAAAATAAACATAAAATGATTATAATATACACATCACTGGGGAGCAAGGTGTCCATCATCACAGATGGCTTATTCATCTCTGTGTAATGAAACCCAAAGTATAATTGTATATATTTTCAGACTGTTCTCTCTCATTGCTCATTAAAGGGGGATCTGGCTTTGTCTGTCTGATCAATTTCTGCCTGCTCTTGGCCTCTGGTCCTTTGGCCTTTCATAGCACAGAATCTAGAGAAGGAGAAAGGATAGAATAAGAGGGATCAGAGCCAGTGCAGGGAGAAGGCTTAATAGGAGTGGTTCTGAAGAAATGTGGGGGAGTATTTGCAGTGTATGAGAAAAATTGATGGAAGAGAAAAAGATTAAAAAGAGAACTGTTTCTCAGGACTGTGAGTCCTTTCAACATATCCAAAAATAGCAATTATAAAAAAACTTGCAAATTTCTTTTCAGTTGATGGACTATGTTTTTCGTTAATCATAATCCTGTTTTGAAATTAGATCATGGGGGTCCCTGCTTTAATGAGGTTCATTAGTATTCACAGTGCCTAGAATAGCAGAACCTAGTAATTACTGAAAAAACTGTTAAATAAATATTATATGCTCATAAAGTTCCAGAGAGGCCTATTATAAAAGCTGAAATATAATGATATATATAAATGAAATATAATGAGAACCATAAGGACAATACATCATTGTGTGTGATCAAGTGCCTTCTGATCAATCCTGCCTGTAACCAGAGCCTGAGACTTGCTCCCCTTGTGAATTACGTCAAAGCTGGACCCTCAAGCCAGCCTGACTCCTTCTTCTTTCTCAAGGTACCTCTGGCCTCTGCCTCTTCAAAGATCTAGTGAATCACTAAGTCCTATTGATGTTGGCACCAACGTTTCTCCTATCTAGTCTCTTTCTTTGCCCCCAAAAGCTACTGTCTTAGCACAGGCCTTTATCATCTCTCATCTGAACTAACACCTACTACCTAGCTTCCCCACCTCCAGTCTTTTAAGCCCACCATCATGTACAGCTTCCAGACTGAATCCTGTGACTCCTGTCGTCGTTAGTCCCCACTGTTTACAGGATAAAGTTCGAAGCATAAATGGTTCTTTCTGATGTGGCCCCTGCTACCCACCAGTTCAGTCATGTACCTATTTGAAGTGTGATGAGCTCCCCATAAGGGTTACACCACTGTGCCTTTGCTGGGGATCTTCCATCTGCCTGGATTGCCATTCCACCCACACTCAAGCCTCCACCTGGAGGCACCTACTGTGTCTGTCCAGGCTCAGTTCAATTACCACTCAGATACAACTCAACCTCTTGTTATTTTTCCCCACTGTACCCCATAGAAAATTTTATCCCAATATTAATGACCTTGTTGTACCTATTATTTTGAAGGTCTGTCTCCCCCAGTAAGGTTGAAAGCCCCTTACGGGCAGGATCTTATCCTGATAGTATTATAGTTCCATGACTATGAAGATTGTTCATGGCCATTTGCTAAGCAGGTAGCAGGTGGCAGAGCCAAAGATCTTTCCAATAAAGCATGCTGCCTTTTTCTTTTTTGTCATTTTTAGTGCTCAGGCCTGGCATATAGTAGGCACTCAGTAAATGTTTTTAAACAAATAAATGGTTATCAGTTTACTCATAAAAACAATAGGGAGCTTGAGTTCAACTCTTGCTACTCCTCTACTGTGGCAGACCCAAGGCCTGAAGTGGAAATCCTACTTCTCACCCCCAAAAAGTGGGTTTTTAGGGATAAATGAGGCAAATGTAACAAAATCTTAATAACTGTTGAGTCTGATCTGACTTCATTTTACTACTTTCTCTAACTTTGAGTGCATTTCAAAGCTGTAATAAAAAGATGAAAACTTTTTTATGCAGCATGGTTTTAGGGTTTTTCCTGCTGTGAACTTGCCAGTGACTGTGGTGGTTCCCTAACTCCTCTCTCTGAAGCCCTTCCTTTTCCTGACCAGACCAGACCATTCTCAGCAAGGTTGCCTTGGTGACTGCTAGATCAACAAAGACACATTATGTATTTTATCTGGTGAAATCACTCCTCAATACATGCAATGAATTCACTCTTGGCTTGATCTGATTTCCCTGGGTGATATATGCAGCAGTGGTTCAGGCCTAAATAGCCACCTGGCAAGGCAATTCTTCTTCAGGAGGCAGCCTGCGGCATGTGAGGTGCGCCAGTGACAGGCATGATGGTGGCAAGATTTAGCTGCCAAACAGGACATGGTTAGTGATATTTTTCAGCTCCAGGACAGGACCCAGACTCAGCAGCCAAACTGCTCAGAGTCTGCAGCCTGGAGCAAATGGGATTTTCCTTACTCTCTGCAAAACTTCAGCCAGACTTCTAAGTACAGGAGTGCTGCCGCTGGAAGCCGAGCAAGGCATTAACCCCTCCTGGGCGCAGGAGCCCGTGACAATGTGCAACCTGCAGTTAAATTTGATAAAATATCAAACTTTATAAAATTTTTCAGGGGAAAAACTGGGTTTAGATTATTTTGCTAAGTTTTAGATCTGGGAGGTAGAAGCCAGAATGGAAAGAAAAATAAGTTTTAGAGATAGTCAGATACAGATTCTGATACCAGTTAAGCCACTGCCATTTTGTGACCTTGGACAATATTTAACCTGCCTGAGTTTCCACTGTCTCCAGTGAAAGATGGTAATAACCTTATAGAAATAATACATGTAAGGAATCAACACAGTGCCTGGGACATAGTAAGTTCTTAAGAAATGATAAATGTATTGTTCTGAAAGATTTTGACAGAGTTCACAATGTTCCAGGAGGTACATACAGAGAAAATAAGTGTTGGCTTTTAGATTAGAAAGAAAATCACTAAAAAGATCAGGGAAATCAAAAAGTACATGAAGATAGGTGGAGAAGGATCAGAAAATTTAATGGGCAGCCAATGGGAACAGAAGAAAATATGAACAGCTAAGTTTCTTTTATGTAGATTTTAGTTTTTCAGGGCTTGTTCCTGGTTTTACAAGACCTTAAATTATTTAAGTCAAGTCAACATCTCCTGAACATTCAAAATCTCATTTTGTTGGTTTGAATGCTTTTAGCAATGACACACGGCCCCCGCAGCACTGGGGCAGCATTTGTCTAAATACTGACCTCAACATCCACTGCACATAAGAAGCAGCAGAACAGATAGCAGCTTATGGGTTGCTAAACCAAGCCATTTTCCTAAGTTATACTTCTTCTATTTCCCCCATCTCTGTAAAAACATTACAGTTCATTAATTTTGTGAGATTTCAGGATCCCCAGTCTGTAATTCTCAGTTAGTGCTGTCCCATATGCTCTGGCGGGGAAGACAAGCATAAACCGTTCCCAGCCACACATCAGTGCCAGCCAAGAGGCTTTGGGCTCAGGCCGAGAGATGCAGCTTCGACTCGGATGTTTAACATCTGCCTGATTTATGGCCTCCTCGCTTTATGAAGAGCGCTGGTAAAAGCTGTTGGGGAGCATTTTGATGCCACTTGTATTCATTATCAGCAATAAATTGTGACGATGTTGCAAGAGCAAATGTATCAGACAGTCAGAGTCTATTATTGTATAAGGCTGGCGACATCCTGGGAAAATCACAGTATATACAGGATGCAAAAACTACCTTCAAGTATCATTTAGGGCATATTTTTAAATACACAGAAAATTAGGAATATAGACATTAAGATTCCCACAGTCACACTAATTGGGCCACATTATTTTCTAACCATCAGGTTGTGCATGGCACTGAGTAGAGCTGACAAATGTCACAATGAGACCCCAAAGTCAATCAGCCATCTTCAGTGCGGAATTGTCAACCCTAATGGTCTAGTCATACTTTGTGTTTGTACTATAACATTTTGTATGGCTTATACATTATCTCCTAGCTTGTTAAACAGTGTTACAGTCACTTTCATCTCTCTGCTGCTCTTCTTTTCCTAGTTATTCTCTGGTTCAGGAACCCTCATTCCCCTTTTCCCCAAAGTTTCACACCCTTCTCCCTGGCACCAGCCACTCTCCCAACCAATCTCTCCTACAACTGATGGCCAAATTAAGTTTTCTGAAGCATTGCTCTTTTCATATCAAACACTGCTCAAAAACTGTCAATAAACTTCCACATCTATTAAAACACAGCCACATACATTTCACAGCTAATCTGCTGTGTGGGCCTGATCTGCTGGGGGATCTTCCCTTGGCCCCCAATCATAGTTTATTTTTGCTTGTGTGTCTTCCTTACTTGACATTGAACTCTCTGACAGCAGAGGTAGTCCTGGAATACAATAGGTGCTCATTAAATATTTGTTGAATGACTAAATGAATGAATCTGCTCATGCATACTGGCTGGCAATATGAACTAGTAAAAATTCTTTTGGAAAGTAATTTGCAAGTATCAATATTCATTAAAATATTCATAATCTTTGACCTTAAAATGATATTCTGATAATGTATTCTGAGGCAGTCATTCTATGGGGATACGATGCTTATGAGGTATTGCCTATAATAATGAAATGTCAGAATGGATTTAAAGCAATAATAAGAGAATGGTTAAGTAAATTAAGGTAAATCCACTCAAATGAACATTATAAAGTCAATAAAAATTATTATGAAGACTGGTTAGTGACATGAAACATTGACCTATATCTTTTTTTTTAAGTATTGAAAATTAAAGCCATATCCTGGTTTATCCACTCATCTAGCAAGGATGGTAAAAATTTTTTAAGAAGTACTCAAAAGTGAAAATGGTAGAATTATAGGAAAACTTCTCATTTATTTGGATTTTTGTTAATGTTTTGGCAAAAAGATCCCCTGCGTGCCTAGCAAACAAGCACTTCAACAGTTTCCTATCCCACCGAATAAAACCCACAACGCGCCTTCAATTCTAGACACAGAACAGTTTCCTCTAAACCTATATTTCCAGATACATATATTTTTTTCTCTATGTGTTATAATATATACCAAAAAACCCCACATAAATCAAAATTATATGGCTAAATAAGTTTCCATAAAGTGGAGCCCTGTGTGACCACCACCAAGATCAAGAAGAGAATGTTCAGAATCCCCTCCCATCCCTATCTCATCCTTCTCCACAAAGGAAACCATCCTGACTTGGGCTGTGACTAATCCTTTTGTTCCTTTATAGTTTGTCACATATGCCTTATCCCTAAATATTATAGTTTCATTGTGTTTTGAACTCACTTAACTAAATGGAATCACACATTTTAGATTTTTGACTTCTTTCACTCAAAATTATGTTGTTTAGATTTATCCACATCATTGTCTGTGGCTATAATTTGTTCACTCCTTTTGTTGCCTAGCATTCCATCTCAAAAATATGCAGCATTTATTTATTCATTCTACTGTTGATTATTATTAGTTAGGGCTCTTTCCCATATGAGGGTATCATGAAGCGGGCTCTCTGAACATCCTTGTACACATTTCTTGGTACTCTCATGTATGTGTTCTATTGGAAATATACCTATTGGAAATATACCTAGGAGTGGAATGCTCCAGCCACAGTGGTGGACTTCTGACCTGTGGAAATGTGAGACAATGAATGGGTGTTGTTTTAAGCTCCTAAATATGTGGTAATTTCTAAAATGACTGCAACAATAGAAAACTATTGCAACAGGCTCACTACTCTCTGGGAGAAGGAGTCCAGCACAGGGAATAGCAAGGGTAGAGGCCCTGCTGGGAACACTCTCAGCATGCTCCAAGAATAGCAAGTTGACCAGTGGGGTTGGAGCAGTGATAGAGAGGGAGTGTGAGGACATGAGGTTAAAGATAGAATTAGGGGTCAGATCATGTGGGGCCTTGTAGACCTTTAGAATTTTATGGGAAGCTATTGGAGAGTTTTGAGCAGGAGAATGATATAATAGGATTTACATTTTAAAGATAACTCTTGCTGCCATGTAGCAATTCTCTATGGGGCGACAAGTATAGATGTGGGAACAGTTAGGAAATCTAGTGTGGTAGTCAAGGAGAGAGATCATTATGGCTGGGGCTAGTTAGTGAAGGGAGGTGAGAAGTTGAATAAATTTGAAGATATAGTCAACAGGATTTGCTGAAGGATTGGATGTGGGGTGTAAGAGAAAGCAAGATGTAGAGATGTTGAGTGGGTAGTTGGATGTACAATCCTGGAGTTCACAGGAACTGACAACAGATAGATGCCACTTAAAGTATGAAAGTGGAAGAGATTTCTTGGGAGGTGAATGTAATTAGAAAAGAGGACTGTGCTCTGAGGAAGGTGGTAATTTAGAGACCTGGAAGAGACAAAGCTAGGAAATGAGGTATGCAGAAAACCAGAAGAATGGTGTCCTAGAAGCCAAATGACGAACAGGCTGCAAGGAGCAGGGAGTGAATAGTGCCAAATACTGCAGGAGGCCGATCAGAAGAGGACAAAGACTGAGCCATTGGATTTGCAGCAGGGATGCCCCTGGTGACCTTAACAAGACTAGTTTTGTGAAGTGGTGAGGATCAAAGCTTGTTTGGGTGATCTCAAGAGGAAATGAAAAAAGAGGAAGTGAAGACAGTGAATACAGACTTTTTTTTTTTTGAGTAGTTTTACTGCAACAAGAAGCAGATAAATGATGCTATAGAAGGAGAAAAAAGCAGGGTCAAGGACAGGTAATTTTTCTTAAAGCTGGGAGGTATTATAGTACTTGTTTGATGTGGATGGGAATGAGCTAGCAGAGAGTGGCAATTCCTGCCGGAGTAAAATGCCAGAATGGGTTCAGGGGCATGGGATTCAGGTCACCGGAGAGGAGGCAGAGTGAATGAGAATGGACGTCAGCAGGTTGGAGGATGTGTCCTATGGAAATAATAGTAACCACCAGTAGCACACACACAGCACTAGGAGTCTCAGTGAGACGGGTCTCATTTCACATGCAAAGAAAATTGCACCTTAATACTGGGCAAGATGGCCAAAAAGCTGCAGCCAGGTGGAACAGCTGCCACTGAGGGACCAAGACAACTGGAGCACTCCTTACAGATCAGAGGGAAGGCACTGAGCGTGGACAGAGGGAGACACAGAAGCTGGGCTGAAGAGGGAGGAAGCTGGGAACCCTCCATGGGGCTGTTGCACAATGGGATTTGTTCCTGGTCCCCAACAACTATGGGGGAATGGATGAGTTGAACTGGCAAGGAACAACATGCTCTCACCATGGGCCTCTGCCTCTGGAATTCTGGCAGGAGAGACACCTCAACCACCATGGACACTCAAATTGGCAGGGAGAGCTGTTTAGAGAAGTGGTGGTGACAGCAAGCCAGCTGATGTGAAGCCCAGAGGGTTTTGTGCAGGAGTGTCTCTAGTGGAGCATGACCAGGGATGCCCATCTCCCGAGGCTCGACGTGGTCCCATAGGAGACTTTAGCCCTAGGGGAACTGTTCACCTGAACTCTGCAGGGCAGTCTTGCCCATCAGACTGGGTCAGTCCAACCTAAGCATGCTTGGTCTGCTGGCCTCTCCTGGGGCCCCAGCCTGGCCATGCCTGCTTGCAGGGCAGCCTTGGGTGCCCTGGGGGCTTACATCATAGCTCCTGTGCTGGCACACTATGCCTGACCAGCAGAAAGCTCCAGCAGAGCAGCCTCCATAACCACACACCAGCCCACCTGCTCCCTTCCCACACTGCAACTTCCCCCAGGCCCACGGCAGTCCCTGACACTGCTTTGCTGGTGCATGTGTGTGTGGATGGGTTTTGCCTTCCTTGCCCCACCAGCACGCATGTGTCCATGCACCCTTCCTTACCAGTGCTGCAGCGGGAGTGCACACTGCCCACTCCTGCCTCCACTGAACTGCCATTGCAGATGGCACCTTGGTGGGCACAGAGTCAGCCAGCCCTGAACTTGTGCCCACACTGCCATGGGAGTGAAACTAAGCACAAAGAACAGTGAACCCTCCTCCACCCTGAGTGACCACTCCTGCCTGTGGTGTAAGAATGCTCACACAGACCTGTGCCTGCCAGTGCCATGCCCCCATGCTGACACCAACATCAGCAGGATCATATGTACAGTCACCAGCAGGGGCTTCACACCCCCCGAGCCATGCTACCTCTGTGGTAAATGGCTGCATGGAGGCAGGCACCCCAGCACCGTCTAGCACCTGGCCACAGCCAACAAGCATGCACCCTGCTGTGCTGCCACTGCTGCCACTACTGGCACAGGCAAACAAGGATGGATCCCACTGCCACTATACTATGAAATGCTTTGGCTGACACCACCCATCAGAGTGTAGTGGCCAGAAGTCTGGGAGCACTTAGGCCTTCCCAATGCACTTAGGAGTCCCAATGAGTGGACTCCTAATCTTGAGGAACCAGAGAACAAAGTCAGTGCCCGATACAAGTCCCCCACAGTTAGAACACACAGTGCAGAAGTTGGGAGCTGAGCACTGGATAAATTCCTGGAAACATAAAACTTCCCAAGATTGAACCAGGAAGAAATTGAATGCCTGAACAGACCAATAACAAGGTCCAAAATTAAATCATTAGTACAAACTCTACCAACCAGAAAAAGCCCAAGACCAGAGAGATTCACAGCCAAATTCTACCTGATGTATTCTGGTACTATTCCTACTGAAACTATTCGAAAAAATTGAGGAGGAAGAACTCCTCCCTAATTCATTTTATGAGGCCAGCATCATCCTGGTACCAAACCTAGCAAAGACACAACAAAAACAGAAAGCTCAGGCCAATTTACTTGATGAACTTCGATGCAGAAATCCTCAACAAAATATTAGCAAACCAAATCCAGCAGCACATCAGAAAGCTTATCTACCACAATCAAGTAGGCTTTATCCCTGGGATGCAAGGTTGGTTCAACATACACAAATCAATAAATGTAATTCATCACACAAACAGACCTAAAGACAAAAACCACATGATCATTGCAATAGATGCAAAAAAAGGCTTTCAGTAAAGTTCAACATCCCTTCATGTTAAAAACCCTCAGCAAATGCCATTGAGGTAACATATTTCAAAATAGCAAGAGCCATCTATAACAAACCCACAGCCAACATCATACTAAATGGGCAAAAGCTGGAAGCATATGCCTTGAGAACTGGAATAAGATAAGGATGCTCAATCTCACCACTCCTATTCAACATAGCACTGGAAGTCCTTGCCAGAGCAATTAGGCAAGAGAAAGAAATAAAAGACATCCAAATTGGAAGAGAGGAGCTCAAACTATCTCTGTTTGCAGATTATATGACTCTATATCCAGACAACCCCATAGGCTCTGCCTGAAAGCTCCTAGATCTGAAAAACAGCTTCAGCAAAGTTCCAGTATACAAAATCAATGTACAAGAATCAGTAGCATTTCTATACATCAAGAGCATCCAAGTTGAGAGACAAATCAAGAATGCAATAACATTCACAATAGTCTCAAAAAGAATAAAGTACCTATGAATATGGCTAACCAGGGAAGTGAAAGATCTCTACAATGAGAACAATGAAACACTGCTCAAAGAAAACAGAGAGGGGATGGGGCCAAGATGGCAGAATAGAAACAGCAGCAATCAGAGGCTCCCATTGAAAAGAATCATAATAAGACTGTGAATCCTTCACTGGCAACCAGGGTATCCAGGTTCTCTCATCAGAACTGACTAGGTGGCTGGCATGGTCCACGGAGAGGAAGGAAGAACAGTGTGGTGCAGCAGGCCACCTGAGAGCCATACAGGGCAGGGGAGATCCCCTGCCCAGCCAAGGGAGGCGGTGAGTGAGCCTGCTAACCAACCAGGGAAACCATGCTTTTTCCACAGAACTGCAACCCATAGATTGGAAGATCCCACTCACAAACCCACACCACCAGGCCTTAGCATCCCAACTCTGTAGCCACACAGATTTTCAACAGCCTCTTAGCTGGAATCTGCTTAAGCCTACTGAGCTCTCCTAGGGTAAGGGGAGACCAGCACCACAGCTGCAGTTGCCTGCTGTCTAAGCCAGTTGAGCTCCTTGGGGAGGGGCAGCAGCCAGCACTGGGACTCACAACTGCCTAACATGTTAAGCTCCCCGGGTGGGGGAAGGGCAGCATCTATCTCTATTGCTCCAGGCCACGCTTTTCCCCTGTTGGAGCCAGGGAGGCTGGATGGCTTTGTCCCAAGATGTGTCCCCCACAGCGCAACACACTGGCTGTGGCAGACTGCTGCCCGAGTGCCTCTTCAGGCCTGACCCTGACTGTTCCTTCCTCACTTGGTGGGGCTTCCCTGCAGGAACTTCAATAACTCCAGCCAGAGGCTCAGGGACAGAACCCAGAACCCCCTGGGCCTGAGCCCCTAGCAGGAGGGGTGGCTCAGTGTCTGTGGACCAGCAGACTTAATCTTTCCTCCTGGTAGTTCTGAGGAATCTGGGCAGCCCAGATGAGTGGGTTTCCCTCCAGCAAAGCACACTCCCTCCACCAAGGGACAGTCAAAGTGCTTCATTAAATGGGCCCCATTCCCCATGCCACCCAACTAGATGAGACCCTCCAACAGGGGTTGTCAGACACCCTATACAAGAGTGATCCTACTGGCATCAGGTTGGTTCCCCTTGAGGTCAGAGATACCGGAAGAAGGAGCAGGCACCCATATTTGCTGTTCTCCAGCCTCCTTGAGTGACATCTCCAGGCATGGGAGCAAACCAGATGAATAGGGACTGAAGTGAACCCCCAGAAAACCACAGTAGCCCTACAGAAGAGGGACCTGACCACTAAAAAACAAACAAACAGAAAGTAGCAAAAAGAGCATCAACAACAACAAAAAGCCCCCCAAAAAACCCCATCCAAGGGTCAGCAGCCTCAAAGATCAAAACTTGACAAACTCATGAAGATGAAAAAGAATCAATGAAAAAATTTTGAAAGCCCAAAAAGCCAGAGTGCCTCTTTCCTCCAAATGATAGCAATGTCTTTCCAGTAAGGGTGCAGAACTAGACAGAGGATGAGATGGATGAATTGACAGAAGCAGGCTTCCAAAGATGGGTAATAAAAAACTACACTGAGCCAAAGGAGCATTTTCTAACTAATGCAACAAAGCTGAGAACCTTGATAAACTGTTAGAGGAGCTTCTAACTAGAATAACCAGCTTAGAGAGGAACATAAATGACCTGATGGAGCTGAAAAACACAGCACAAGAACTTTGTAAAGCATACACAAGCATCAATAGCCAAATTGACCAAGCAGAAGAAAGGATATTAGAGTTTGAAGACCACCTTGCTGAAATAAGGCATGCAGACAAGACTACAGGAAAAAATAAAAAGGAATGAACAAACCCTCCAAGAAATATGGGACTTCGTAAAAAGACCAAATATACAATTGGAGTAACCGAAGGAGATGGGGAGAATGGAAACAAGCTGGAAAACACAGTTCAGGATATTATCCAGGAGAACTTCCCCAACCTAGCAAGACAGGCCAACATGCAAATTCAGGAAATACAGAAAACACCACTAAGATACTCCACGAGAAGATCAACCCCAAGACACATAATCATCAGATTCTCCAAGGTCGAAATGAAGGAAAAAATATTAAAAGCAGCCAGAGAGAAAGGCCAGGTCTGCTGGGGATAGGCCCCCAAATCTGGCCATAAACTGTCCCCCAAACCGGCCATAAACAAAGTCTCTGCAGCACTGTGACATGTTCGTGATGGCCATGATGCCCACGCTGAAGGTTGTTGGTTTACCAGAACCCCTGGCCCATCCAGGATGGAAAACTGCTTAAAGGGGGTCCTGAACCACAAACAATAGCATGAGTGATCTGTGCCTTATGGGCATGCTCCTGCTGCAGATATCTAGCCAGAGCCCATCCCTTTGTTTCGGCCCATCCCTTTGTTTCCCGTAAGGAATACTTTTAGTTAATCTATAATCTGTAGAAATAATGCTTATCACTGGCTTGCTGTCAATAAACATGTGGGTAAATCTCTGTTCATGGCTCTCAGCTCTGAAGGCTGTGAGTCCCCCTGATTTCCCACTTCACATGCTATATTTCTGTGGGTGTATCTTTAATTCCTCTAGCGCCATTGGGTGAGGGTCTCCCCAGCCGAGCTGGTTTTGGCACAGGTCACCTACAAAGGGAAGCCCATCAAATTAACAGACCTCTCAGCAGAAACTCTACAAGCCAGAGGAGATTAGGGGCCAATATTCAACATTCTTAAAGAAAAGAATTTTCAACCCAGAATTTCATATCCAGCCAAACTAAGCTTCATAAGCGAAGGAGAAATAAAATCCTTTCCAGACAAACAAATGCTGAGGGATTTTGTTACCACCAGGTCTGCCTTGCAAGAACTCCTGAAAGAAGCACTAAATATGGAAAGGAAAAACCAGTACCAGCCACTGCAAAAACACACCAAAATATAAAGACCAATGACACTATGAAGAAACTGCATCAACTAGTGTGCAAAATAACCAGATAGCATCATGATGACAGGATCAAATTCACACATAACAATACTAACATTACATGTAAATGGGCTAAATGCCCCAATTAAAAGACACAGAATGGCAAATTGGATAAAGAGTCTTCAAGACCCATTGGTGTGCTATATTGAAGAGACCCATCTCACATGCAAAGACACACATAGGCTCAAAATAAAGGGATGGAGGGAAATTTTCCAAGCAAATAGAAAGCAAAAAAAGAAGCAGGGGTTTCAATCCCAGTCTCTGATAAGACAGACTTTAAACCAACAAAGATAAAAAACAGACAAAGAAGGGCACTACATAAGAAGGAACAATTCAACAAGAAGAGCTATTATATGCATCTAATACAGGAGCACCCAGATTCATAAAACAAGTTCTTAGAGACCTACAAAGAGACTTAGACTCCCACACAATAATAGTGGGAGACTTGAACACCCCATTGTCAATATTGGACAGATCAACAAGACAGAAAATTAACAAGGATATTCAGGACTTGAATTCGGCTCTGAATCAAGTGGATCTAATAGACTTCTACAGAACTCTCCACCCCAAATCAACAGAATATACATTCTTCTCAGTGTCACATGGCACTTATTCTAAAATCGACCACATAATTGGAAGTAAAACACTTCTCAGCAAGTACAAAAGAACTGAAATCATAACAAACAGTCTCTCAGACCACAGTGCAATCACATTAGAACTCAGGATTAAGAAATTCACTCAAAACCACATAATTACATGGAAATTCAACAACCTGCTCCTGAATGACGCTTGGGTAAATAATGAAATTAAGGCAGAATCAAGAAGTTGTTTGAAACCAATGAGAACAAGGAGACAATGTACCAGAATTTCTGGGACACAGCTAGAGCAGTGTTAAGAGGGAAATTTGTAGCACTAAATGCCGACATCAGAAAGCTAGAATGATCTCAAATCAACACCCTAACATAACAATTAAAAGAGCTAGAGAGGTAAGAGCAAATGAATCCAAAACCTAGCAGAAGACAAGAAATAACTAAAATCAGAGCAGAGTTGAAGGAGATAGAGACACCAAAAAAATTAACAAAATAGATAGACCCCTAGCTAGACTAATGAAGAAGAAAATAGAAAAGAATCAAATAGACACAATACAAAATGACAAAGGGGATATAACCACTGACCCCACAGAAATACAAACTACCTTCAGAGAATGCTATAAAAACACCTCTATGCAAATAAACCAGAAAATCTAGAAGAAATGGATAAATTCTTGGACACATACACCCTCCCAAGACTAAACCAAGAAGAAGTCGAATCCCTGAATAGACCAATAACAAGTTCTCAAATTGAGGCAGTAATAGCCTACCAAGAAAATATAGCCCTGGACAGAAGGATTCACAGCCAAATTCTACCAGAGGTTCAAAGAGGAGCTGGTACCATTCCTTCTGAAACTATTTCAAACAATTGAAAAGGAAGGACTCCTCCCTAACTCATTTTATGGAACTAGCATCATCCTGATACCAAAACCAGGAAGAAATATACACACAAAAAAGAAAACTTCAGGCCAATATTCCTGATGAACATCAACGCAAATATCTTCAATAAAATACTGGCAAACTGAATCCAGGAGCACATCAAAAAACTTATCCACCACAATCACATTGGCTTCATCCCTGGGATGCAAGGCTGGTTCAACATATGCAAATCAATAAACATAGTCCATCACATAAACAGAACCAGAGACAAAAACCATATGATTATCTCAATAGATACAGAAAAGACCTTTGATAAAATTCAAAGTCCCTTCATGTTAAAAACTCTCAGTAAACTAGGTATTGATGGAACATATCTCAAAATAATAAGAGATATTTATGACAAACCCACAGCCAATATAATATTGAATGAGCAAAAGCTGGAGGCATTCCCTTTGAAAACTGGTACAAGACAAATATGCCCTTTATCACCACTCCTATTCAACATAGTATTGGAAGTTTTGGCCAGGACAATCAGGCAAGAGAAAGAAATAAAGCATATTCAATTAGGAAGAAAGGAAGTCAAATGTTCTCTGTTTGCAGATGACATGATTTTATGTCTAGAAAATCCCATCATCTCAGTCCAAAAACTCCTTAAACTGATAAGCAACTTCAGCAAAGTCTCAGGATACAAAACCAATGTGCAAAAATCTCAAGCATTTTTATACACCAACAAAGACAAGCAGAGAGCCAAATCATGAATGAACTCCCATTCACAATTGCTACAAAGAAAATAAAATACCTAGGAATACAGCTAACAAGGGAAGTGAAGGACCTTTTCAAGGAGAAATACAAGTTACTGCTCAAGGAAATAAGAGAGGATACAAACAAATGGAAAAATATTTTATCCTCATGGATAAGAAAAATCAATATCGTGAAAATGGCCATACTGCCCAAAGTAATTTATAGATTCAATGCTATTCCCATCAAACTACCATTGACATTCTTCACAGAATTAGAAAAAAACTGTTTTAAATTTCATATGGAATCAAAGAAGACCCCATATAGCCAAGACAATCCTGAGCAAAAAGAACAAAGCTGGAGGCATCACTCTGCCTGACTTAAAACTATACTACAAGGCTACAGTAACCAAAACAGCATGGTACTGGTACCAAAACAGCATGGTACTGGTACCAAAACAGAAAGATAGACCAATGGAACAGATCAGAGACCTCAGAAATAATACCACACATCTACAACCATCTGATTTTTGACAAACCTGACAAAAACAAGCAATGGGGAAAGGATCTCCTATTCAATAAATGGTGCTGAGAAAACTGGTTAGCCATATGCAGAAAGCTGAAACTGGACCCCTTCCTTACACATTATACAAAAATTAACTCAAGATATATTAAAGATGTAAATGTAAAACCCAAAACCATAAAAACCCTAGAAGAAAATCTAGGCAATACCATTCAGGACATAGGCATGGGCAAAGACTTCATGATGAAAATGCCAAAAGCAATTGCAACAGAAGCCAAAATTGACAAATGGGATCTAATTAAACTAAAGTGCTTCTGCACAGCAAAAGAAACTATCATCAGAGTGAACAGTCAACCTACAGAATGGGAGAAAATTTTTGCAATCTACCCATCTGACATAGGTCTAATATATAGAATTTAAAAGGAACTTAAACACATTTACAAGGAAAAAAAAACCCCATCAAAAAGTGGGCAAAGGATATGAACAGACACTTCTAAAAGAAGACATTTATGTGGCCAACAAACATATGAAAAAAACCTCAACATCACTGATCATTAGAGAAATGCAAATCAAAACCACAATGAAATACCATCTCAGGCCAGTCAGAATGGCGGTTATTAAAAAGTCAAGAAACAATAGATGCTGGTGAGGCTGTGGAGAAATGGGAATGCTTTTACACTGTTGGTGGGAATGTAAATTAGTTCAAACATTGTGGAAGACAGTATGGCAATTCCTCAAGGATCTGGAACCAGAAATACCACTTGACCCAGCAATCCCATTACTGGTTCTATACCCAAAGGAATATAAACCATTTTACTATAAAGACACATGCACATGTATGTTTACTGCAGCACTATTTACAATAGCAAAGATATGGAACCAACCCAAATGCTCATCAATGATAGACTGGACAAAGAAAATGTGGTACATATATACTATGGAATACTACATAGCCATAAAAAGGAATGAGATCATGTCCTTTGCAGGGACGTGGATAAAGCTGGAAGCCATCATTCTCAGCAAACTAACACAGGAATAGAAAACCAAACTCATGTTCTAACTCATAGGTGGGAGTTGAACAATGAGAACACATGGACACAGGTAGGGTACAACACATACCAGGGCCTGTTACAGGTAGAGGGCGAGGGGAGGGAACTTAGAGGATGGGTCAATAGGTGCAGCAGACCACCATGGCACACGTATACCTATGTAACAAACCTGCACATTCTGCACATGTATCCCGAAACTTAAAGTAAAATTAAAAAAAGAAACATCCTTAAAAAAGTAACACATTTGTTTATATGTTTGTGTTTGCATATATATATATATATATATGTCTGCAAATGAGAAGGAATAAAAAAATCACTTCACTGAGAAAAAAAAAACAGAGATGATACAAACAAATAGAAAAACATTCCATGCTCATGGATAAGAAGAATCAATATCATTGAAATGGCCATACTGCTCAAAGCAATTTATAGACTCAGTGCTATTCCTATCAAGCTACCAATGACATTTCTCACATAATTAGAAAAAAACTATTTTAAAAATCACATGGAACCCAAAAGAAAATCCCAAATAGCCAAGGCTATAACAAAGCTGGAGGCATCATGCCACCCTACTTCAACTATACTACAGGGCTACAGTAACCAAAACAACATGATACTGGTATGAAAACAAACACACAGACGAATGGAACACAATAGAGAGCCCAGATATAAAGCTGCACACCTGCAATTATTAGATCTTCGACAAACTGGACACAAACAAGAAATGGGGAAAGGACTCCCTTTTCAATAAATGGTGCTGGGAATACCAGCTATCCATATGCAGAAGATTGAAACTGGACCCCTTCCTTATACCATATACAAAAAAACTCAAGGTGGTTTAAAGACTTAAATGTAAAATATAAAACTATAAGAACCCTGGAAGATAACCTAGGAAATATCATTCTGGACATAGGTCCTGGCAAAGATTTTGTAACAATGATACCTAAAGCAACTGCAATAAAAATAAAAATCAACAAATGGGACCTAATTAAACTAGAGAGTTTCTGCACAGCAAAATAAGCTATCAACAGAATAAACAGACAACTTACAGAACGGGAGAAAATATTTTCAAGCCATGTATCCAACAAAGGTCTAGTATCCAAGAATGTATAAAGAACTTAAACAAATTTACATGAAAAACAAACAACCCCATTAAAAAGTGGGCAAAGGACATGAACAGACACTTTTGAAAAGAAGACATATACATGGCCAACAGGCATATGAAAAAATGCTCAGCATCACTAATCATCAGAAAAATGCAAATCAAAACCACAATGAGACACCATCTCACACCAGTCACAATGACTGTTATTAAAAAGCCAAACAATAACAGATGCTGGTATGGTTGTGGAGAAAAGGGAACACTTAAACACTGCTGGTACAAATATAAATTAGTTCAGCCATTGTGGAAAGCAGTGTGGTGATTTCTGAAAGAACTTAAAACAGAATTACCATTTGACCCAGCAATTCCATTACTGGGTATATACCCAAAGGAATATAAATTGTTCTACCATAAAGACACATGCATGCATATGTTCATCACAGCACTATTCACAATAGCAAAGATATGGAATCAACCTAAATGCCCATCAGTGGTAGACTGGATGAAGAAAATGGGGTACATAAATACCATGGAATACTATGTAGCCATAAAAAATGAGATCATGTCCTTTGCAGCAACATGGATGGAGCCAGAGGCCATTATCCTAAGTGAATTCATGCAGGAACAGAAAACCAAGTACCACATCTTCTCACTTATAAGTGGGAGCTACACTGAGTATACATGGACACAAAGAAGAGAACAACAGATACTGGGGCCTACGTGAGAGTGGAGGGTGTAAGAAGTGAGAAGATTGAAAACTTCTTACTGGGTACTATGCTTATTATTTGAGTGATGAAATAATCCTTCCACCAAACCTCCGTGACATGCAGCTTACCTGTAAAACAAACCTGCACATGTACCCCTGAACCTAAAATAAAAGTTAAAAAAAAAGCGACAACTAAGCTCTATGTGACTCAAGGGCAAGAAATGTGTCTAATATTTTCTTGCTGTTTCCACTGGGCCAGAAGCATGCTCACATTAAGAGCTCCTTGTATGGCTACTACCTAGTTCCATTGAGAAGGACTGGGTATCAGGCAAAGAGCACGGAGGTGGGAAACAGAAGAGCTGGTCCAGTTCTGGCTCTGCTCTATGACCCCGAGCAAGCCCCTCTGCCTCGCTGAGCCCCATGTATCACATATGTGAAAGGACACCACCACCACTCTGCACAATGCTGTGTGAGGTCAGATAAATAATGTGCACTGAAGTCCTGAATACACTAAGCTTAAAGCCCTGGTCACAGGAAAGGTGTTTCTGCTCTGTCTTTCCCTCTCTCCCCACACAGGCCACTGAAGACACATTTTAGAAAAAATCCTGGAACTGATGAGTCAGCACTTTCCAATCACTGGGGACAGGTCTAAAATTTCAAGGCTGTTAGTACAGACAACTGAGAGAAACACAGAGAGGACTTTTTCAGTCTGGAAGATAGGCAGGAGGGTACTTAAAAGAGAAAGTCAGAAGCCCAGAAACAAAATGTATCCCCAAGCCCAGGGTCATTCAGTTCCTTCTGCAGAGGCCCAGGGTTAGAATTAAGTGGGCAGCAATTTAGTGGCAACAAGAGACATAAAGGAGACATTTGCAGGTTTTTACTTTTCCTGCAACCAGATATTTCAGAAATAAGGCCTCATCTGGGGTCTCCCTAAAGTTAATGAGACTGAGCTGACAGTTCATTGACTTGCTTCACGGAATTTATTTTATGAGAGTCTCTAATCCACATGGCTCCTCTTTGCTTTGGGACTCAACCAAAATAAACTCCAGAAATCCCACTAGCTTATTTATACTTACCAGGTCACTTCATACGCCGTGTGCATTCAATCAACATAATTATTATTTAATTCTGAGAGAGAAAACACGATTTTAGTGACTAATTTAATTCAGCTGAGCACACACATGCATGCACATTTGTGTGTGTATGGCTAAGCGCTCAAGTTACAGTTATATAATAAACTTTCCACAGGCACTGGGCTTCCTGTTCAACTTCCTATCATCCAGATTAATTTTATAGGGGAGGGCTCTGAAACTAAAAAGCAAAGATTTCCCAACTGGCCCAGAAGAGGAAGAGAAAAATCTTGGACCACTGCCCTTTTCCAAGACAGTGCCCCTAGGCAAGGGCCAGACCTTCCAGGGGATGGCTGCAAGTCACACTCAGGGAAAGAGACACTAGCACTGAGTTTCTGGCCACAGTGAAGATTTCAATGCCCAACTGTGGTGTGGGAGCTGTGGAGAATGAGCCTGAAGAAACCATGGAGATCTCAGAATTAACCACTCATGGGGACAGAGATGGCTAGTGACCAGTACCATTCCCTGCACCCTATCTCACTTGGGACATAGTGCCTCAAGAATGACTGAGTTAAATTTCCTCCTGCCTCAGTGAAATGGGGACTCAGAATAAAATTAGGTAGAGTTAGAGAGTAAAAAAAGTATTATCTATTCATCCTGAGCTTATGGGTAAGACTCATATCTATTCCAATGAGAAAATGATGTATTACCTAAATAAACAGAGCCAGTTTGCTAGATTAAATCTTTTCAAAACTTAGTGTCCTTGGAGAAAAACCGAAGTGGTTGGTTGAGGGTGGGGTGGGGTGGGGGTAATGGGGATTCCTTGGCAGTGAAGACATTGGAAATGGAGTTTCTGACATAATCCCCAAGCACTCAGCACTTGCTCCTCAGTTGTCTTTTCCTGGATACAGAAAATAACTTGCCTTGGTGTGCTACTCTTAGGCTTTAGGGGGCAATGCTGATTTTCTTTGCTTCAGACTAGTTTTTTCATTGCCTCAGTTACTTTATCACCTCCCCAGGAAAGCAGTCTCAAAAGAACACGTCCAACTAGAAAGGCAGCATAGATGGGTTGGTGTGTTTAGCCGGGTTCTTTGGGCTGCAAAGAACAGAGACCCTTGCCGGTTCGTTCACACTGTGGGAGTCTCTCATGAAGTTACACATGGAAGCAAGGGTATGCCATGAAGCCGAGAAACAGCTGCATACCAGACCTCAAGGGAAGCACCAGAGCACCTCAGACATTCTCTCAGTTGCAGAATGTTATTAATCTGCAATTTGAACTCCACCATTAACATTGACTCAGTTCGTCTCTGTCTTTGCTTCTGCCACCCCGTCTCCACAATCCATGCCAGCCTCTACTCTAGTGACTTTGCTCTATCTTGAAATGTGTATGCTCATGGTAATGATGTCTCCTGGACTCTTCCATATTTTATCTGTGTATTACCTTCTCAGACTGTGCTGTCCCACTTCTGTTACTCCTACAAACTCATCAACTGCCTTCCTCTAATTCCAGTTCAAATTTCTGAGGAAGTTTCATGATGTTCCTATTTGGCAGAGTTTCCATGCTGCATGCTATCACAGGCTGCCGTTCATCAGGCTATGGATTTGCTAATCTATACATCAGACACCTTCTACAGGTCTGATTTGTTTAAGATATAGAAGTGAGGCACTAATGTGTAACTTGACCATTACTTCCATCATGAGAAGCCAGTGCACAGGAATCCCTTAGTATGAGGCTGCAGTCAAGGCAGACTTTTCAAAACTTAGCCTATCTATCCTGAAAAATTAGGAGGTAAGAGCTCAGCTGTCAGTTACCTGAGCATACTTCTGCATATTTCTTGGGTCATAGTAAATAATTTAAAATCCTATTTTACAGAATCTCATTATCTCCATGTTAAGAAAGAATATAACTACAGGCATTTGACCCAATTTCTACTCTCTCTCTGTATATCTATCTATATACAGATAGATATAGATATAGATATAGATATAGATATAGATATAGATATAGATAGATATACAGAAAGAGAGAGAGACAGGGTCTCACTTTGTCATCCATCCTGGAGTGCGGTGGAGCAATTATAGAACACTGCAGCCTTGAATTTCTGAGCTCAAGTGATCCTCTTGCCTCAGCCTCCCAAAGTGCTGGGATTACAGGCAGGAGCCACCAGGCCGGGCCCGATTTCCACTATAAAGTGAAAAGTGAACTTAGATGCCTGACAAGAATTCCAATTTAAAGGGCCTCCTACTTAAAGCATCAGACTTAGCAGGTTTCTCAATGTCAGCAGGAGAGAGCAGTAATTCTCCCTGAATAGGGAACTATCTTTCTTCATAACGAGAGGTTCATGTCTCTAGATCAGTTCAGAAGAAAGCCTGCCAGAGAAGGACTGCCTTTGCCACTCATTTAGTTCTACTGTCTCATAGGGCATCAAGCAGAGCACTGACATGAGTCTGAAACTGTTACCTGCCTTGTACAAGACATGTTCCCAGGAGCAAACATCCTCTTTCATCTGAATCTCAGGTGATGGCTTGGCAGAGAGAGTTGCCGTGGTCACAGAGGCCCAGACAGTGCTGCTGTGGCCTTGCTGGTCCTGTGGATGGGACCACTGGCTCCAGTCTCATCTCCCTGGCAAGTGCCACTTGAGTTGGGCTTGAGGAGGCTGCTGTCAAATGGACCAGCAGAATAAGTGCATTTGTGCTCAGTGGTGCATCTGGAAATTGGCCCTCTTTGGTTTTTAACGGGACATTTCTCCAGCAGTTTTATCATTATCATAGACAATTAGGGCGGCTGGAAACATGGAATATTTGCACTCTTCACTCTACTCGGGCCTCAAGCACTAAAAACATTAAGTAAGTGCCCTAGAGAGCCTGTCCCCTTTAAAGAAAATGTTTAGCAATTGAAAAGCACTGTATGTCTGTACTCATTAATTTTCAAATATAGCCCAGTCAATATTCTTAGCAATAATCATGACTATTTACTGCTTAGTGATGAGCTGGAGAAATGACAACAATCTTCCTTTTACCGTCTTCTATTTTCTATCAGGAATAAATAGTAGCACTCAACTATTCACAATATCTACCAGCTGCCAGTATAATTTTAAATAACATATATAAACACCTAGTTTTGGTTCCATCAACTTTTGGCAGTATTACTTAACTACCACCTACCACTATAAATTGAGGATCTGACTGTCCCTAACTTACTGTTCTCATTTATCTTCTTTCCTTATCCATACTTCTGTTGTATATTTTCTTTTACATGACTGAGGACAATAACATTTAAGTACAATTCCATAAGCTTAATTAAATCTTCCACACTTCCTTTCTAGATTGAGTCTCAACACTAACAAGCCAATAAACACCTTTTACATGGCAATTACTACATAAATATGGTTTATCACAGAGCCAATTGGTATCATATAATTACTCTTCTTTCTCTACAAGTAAAATATTTTAACCCCTGGGACATTTGGAGAAAAACGTTGGTAGAGTCAAGATCAAATAAATTCCCTGTCCTTACACTCAACCCATTCCCCAGTCATATCACAATGTAATGAATTTTCTGTGTGACCCATGACTTTGTTCTATTTGGTTTTTCCAAGATTTCAAATTGCCTTTTTTCTTGTTTAATGAAGATTAATAAGCTATTAGAGTATCCTCAATTTCTCCCTGCCTTTCAATGATAGTCTTGCACAGAACCCTCGTTTCACTCAGACAACCTCCAACAGCTCTCCAATTCTTCCCTCCTTGTAAACTAACTGTTCTCCAGGCCCAATGCACAGCTGCCATGCTGGAACTTTCCTTCAGCACACTGTCAGGTTAGAAACCACTCTGTCCTTAATCGTGGCTTTCTTTACCCTCTGAGTCCCTGAATGCCTAAAACTGTATTAGCCACCCCCCCACCCCCCTCCCACCCCCCCACTTGAGTAACAGTTCCGCAGGATACAGAATTCTAGGTCAAATTAAATTCAAGTCAAAATAATTTTCCCTTAGAATTTTATGGCATTGCTCCACAACTTTTAGTATCCAGAGTTGCTGATGCCAGATTTTTGGTTACAATGTAGGCTACTTGATGTGTTAGTTTGTCTCACTCTGAAACCTTTCGAGTCTTCTTTTTATTTTCACCTTTCTGAGATTGATGAAATTATTCTTACACATGGATCAATTTCCCTTTCATACGGCAAAGCACTTGATGAGCCCCATGAAACTGAAAACTTGTGCCTTTCGTTAACTCTTGGAAATTTTACTCACAATTACAAAATATTCTACCCTATATCACATAGTCTAAATTCTGAAACTACTATTACTCGTATGTTGAACCCTGGATTGATCTTTTGCTTATATTTTTTTCTTATGTTTTCTATTTATCTTCTAGTTCTATAGCTTGGAAGATTGCTTTCACTTTATTACCAAACCTTGCTGTTGATTTTTAAATATTTTAACAGAATTTTTTAATTTCAAGGGTTAATCTTTGACTATTCCTTTTTTATATTGTTGTATTCCTGTCTTGACAACATATTCTCACTTCTCTTTGAGAATATAATTAGATTTTTAAAAAGTTATCTTCTGTTTCCCTAAATAGCTCTGGTTCCTCCAGGGTCAGTTTTATTTATTTGGTCATTCTTTACATATTAGTCTTCTTCCTTATATGTTGTTTATGTATATTCAAGAATGAGGGACAAGGCTGATTATTTTAGGTAGCTGGTATGGTTTCCTTCTCCTGCTTTATAGAAACTCTATAATTATTTTCCCTAACAGTCCTCTGCCCTGGTAAGGCTTATTGTAACCTTTGTGTATCTGAATGGGAAATAGCCAATGGCAGGCTTTGCTTCAGGATGATGAGTGAGAAACAATCTACCCAAATTCCAGAAGAAAAAAATGTTTTATTCTGGAGGAAGTAATAGCCACCTGGAAGTCTCAGTCTCTGAAGATTGTTCTCTTTCTGTATAAGTACAACACGCTAACTGACTGCACCACTGGAGCTCCAAGATTGTTCTCTTTCTTTAGAGGAATGACCATTTTTTTTTGTTTGGTTTGGTTTAGTTTTGGCTTTTATTTGTTTTTCAGTCTTGGAGTGAATCTAAGCTCGTAATTGTTCTGTAACTGGACATCAAGGAGAGAAGGAGTGTGGGGCTGACTTCTGACCCGCTTACCTTCAATAAATCCTCCTTTTTCCTGTTCTCTCTTACTACTGCCTCTTATACCTGTGACCTAGAGCCCAGAGCCTCTTAAGTTTCACAGGTAAGATCAGCTCCCACCTCCTCTCCTGGCCCTACCTGCCCTATAGCTTCCTCTGCATTGCACACTAATCAACACATTTTAATTTGCCCTCTTCTGGGAATTCTGTCTTCTTTTTTTTTTTTTTTTTTTTTTTTTGAGACAGTCTTCAGGCTAGAGTACAGTAGCACAATCATGGCTCACTGCAGCCTCGAACTCATGGGCTCAAGCGATCCTCCTACTTTATCCTCCCAAAGTAGTTGGGATTACAGGTGTGCACCATTGTGCTTGGCTAATTTTCAAATTTTTTTTTAGAGAAGGGATCTTGCTATGTTGCCCAGGCTGGTCTTGAGCTCCTTGGCTCCAGCAATCCTCCCACCTTGGCCTCCCAAGCTGCCAGGATTACAGGCATGAGCCACTGTGCCTGGCCTGGGAATTTCTTGAAATCATGTATTCACCAGTGATCTCTCCTTCCAAACTCTTTTCTGTTATAAGCATATTTCTATTCATGTTTCTCTGAGTCCTGAAATTTCAACAGTGTCTCAGGGAATAGGGGGAGTTTATGAATGAGCAGTTTTTGCATCCTGAATCAGAAGTCCCCAACACTTGTTTTGAGATGTTTAGACAAGAGGAGAGCAGTACTGTCCCTCCCCCGGGGCTAGAGAGGGGACATCAATGGAGGTTGCCTGTGAAGGACAATTGTGCAAAGAGAGCAGAATGGCTCTCTCATAAGATGAGCCACAGGAGCTGTACGGCAGCAGGGCAAAGAGACCAGATTAGAAAACCCTGAGAGACAAGTTCTTCACATGTAAATCAATTGTCCGCAGAGCTCTCATAAATAACCATGGGTCACTTTGAAAGAGAGTATAAGAGGGAGGTTTAATTTCTCAAATTGGCAAGTGAAGCCCATTTCAACATATGTTGCAGATAAGAAAGGAAATGTAACCTTGTATTTCAGTCTGACTTGTTCTTTATAAATGTCCTTCCATTGAAGTGTTAGTAAAGTTCAAGTGAAGATCGACTTTTAGGGCACAGAAGGTCATTTCCAAAGACAAATTTTTGTTTGGTATAAGATGTTTTACCTGTTACAGAAAGCCTTACCAATGTGAGGGCTGGAGGACGGGGAGAGCACCAATATTTGTTAAGATTCTACTGTATGTTAGGAGTATTATGTATCTTATTTTGTTTAATCATCACAAGAACTCTATGAGTTCTTTAAATTGAATGAGCAGCCTATGTATACAAGGAACTGTGCTAGGCATTGGAATCATAATAGTCCATAAAAACAAGCCCTCATGGTATTTATAGCCTAGGGGAGGAGACAGACTTTAAATAATCACAAAAATAAGTAAAACTACACCTGCAAGTGCTACAAAGTACTACATGATGTCCAACAATATATAAATGAGAGACTTACCCAGGATGGGGAAAGGGCCAGAGAAGACATCTCAGAAAATGACATTTGGTCTGGGATCTAAAGAAATAATCATTAATCAGTTGAAGAGGAGGAGGAGGATTTTAGGCAGAAGACATAATATGTGCAAAGGCCCTGGGGTTGGAGAGAACATGGCATTTTAAATTTAAAAGAGTCTTCATTTGGCAACCACCATAGTAAATATTATTTCAGATGAGAATCATCAGTGGATTGTATTATTAAAAGATGAAAGTTTATTTTGTAGTCTCAGAGTATCTCTCCACAAGATATTTTTTATTACAAAGGGAAAAATGGTAACTTTACTGTGGAGATCTGACAGATATCACTTTAATTAAGTGCTCAAAGTTAACATCAACAGTAACAGGATAAATTGATATCACGTGCTTCCCGATTTGATGTACCAAGAACACAGAATCCTTTCTGTGATAGTCCTGTCAAAAATTTATAACCTATCTCTAATCATGAGGAACCATCACACAAACCTAAAATGAGAGACATGTTACAAAATAATTGGCCAAGTCTCTTCAAAAGTGTCAAGATCACAAAAGACAAAAAAAGACTGAGGAACCGTTCCAGATTAAGGAGTTGAAAGAGACATGGCAACTAAGTAGAATCTGTGATTCTGGGGCAGAACATTTTTTCTTTTGCTATAAAAGACATTAATGGGATAATTAGTCAAATTTTAAAGAAGGTTTGTTTATTAGAAAATGGTACTATATTTATATTAATTTCTTCATTATAATACTCCCAAGAAGTTCAGAAAAAAATAGACTAAACAAATGTGGTAAAATTTAGCATTTGAGGAATGTGTGTTAAAGATACACAAGAATTCCTTGTACTATTTTTGCAACATTTCTGTAAGTCTGAAATTACCTCATAATAAAAGTTTGGAAAAAACAAAAAGCTATGAAAGAAAACTCCTATGAGTGGAGCTCAGTAGATAAGAGTATGAGTTGAGATGAGGCCGAACTTACAGGGAAAAGCCAAACCATGCTGTCCTTGAAGATCGTGTTAAAGGTTTTGGTCTTTATCCTGAGAGCAGTGGGAAGCCACCAAAAGGCATAGGCAGGTAAATGACACTACAAGATGAACATATTAAAAAGATCACACTGGCTCCAGGGCAGCGGAGAGAGACTCCAGAGGATCTCGAGTAACTGAAGGCGAGACCTGTTGGATGGGAATGTATCATGGTAAAGTAAAAAAGAGTGGTGGCAGTGGACCTGGGTAGAAGTAGGTGGATTCAAGAGGTTTTGGGAGTTAGCATTTACAAGCTAGGACTGTAAATGAACTGGAAGTGGGAGAGGAGGCAAAGAGAGGGAATGGGAGGAATCAAAATGGACTCTCAGGTTTCTAGTTTCATGAATTGGTAGATAAAGGAAGCCTCTCAGTTAAGAAAGACTAAAAGAAGACCAATTTGGGGGAAAATCAAGAGTCTGATTTTGGTTGTGTTAAGTTCTCTTTGTGACAACTAAAGGAGATGTCAGGTAGGCAGGTGCACCTGCAGGGCATACATGGAAGGTGGGAAATGTGGCTGAGCTCACCTAGGGAGCAGGGAGTTGTTGGAAGAATTGTTCACAAGAAAGAGAGCAGGGCCTAGGATGCACTTTGAAGACTTGTGTTTATCGTCTGTCTGTTGGCATTCTTATCCTCACTTGATAGATGAAGAACACAGGCACAGTGGCCTGCCCAAGGTCACACAACTAGTAAGTGGCAGAGCAGAGATTGAAGCAAAACTCTCACTTCAAATATCTGCCTTCCTCAATAATCTTTCAAAAAATTACAAGATGTATCCTTGTTTTTGGTTCTTATCTAATTGTGTGCACAATCAGCCTGAAGAAATCAAAATGTAGTAAGAAAGAGGAAACATGGAACAAGAGATTTTCATGCCTTCCTTTTTCTGGATGCCTAGTTAATGAGGATTTTTATCAATTAGGAAAAAAAGTAAAAGCCACATTTTTTTTTTGGTATAGGTTTCCATGTTTGCTTGTAGTTTATCTCCAAAAGCATATTGGAAAGACACTCTTCTTTCTAATGTAAACAAATTCTTTGGTGCTGGTATGAAGAGTCAGAATAACAGATCCCAGATTTTGGTATAACTTTTCATGATCAGGCTTTGTTGAGCTGGTTCCTCCTTGAACTTTGACAGTTGTCTCCAGTTAACATGCAAGATATGCAGAGGGAATGGGAGCCAGCCGTGGCCCACTTGGTGGGATCCCAGCCTAACACTGTAGTAATCTTGCTTCCTCTTCTGATTTCTCATGCAGACCATGGCTACATAAAGGGAGTGAGGAATTTCATGTGTTACTTAGAGATTTCATGTCTGAGATTCCATTAACCTTCTCTGAGTTAAGTGAAACAAACTCACAGCTGGCCTTTGAACATCTCGTGAAGCAGCCCGTAATAACTCCTGGCCTATGAAGTTGGCTGATGGAGAATCCCTGGGGTGGAACACTGAAAGGTGAGGCCAGCCTCAGAGCCCAGTCACTGGAAGCATTTGGAGTGACAAGCTAAAGGCGAGAAGGGCAATGCTCAGAGTCTCCTGGGTAACTCAGAAGCCCACTTGTGTTTTTGGATGATTTTTACCCTTTCTAAGTACTTTTATATGAGCTTTTACTGTGCTTTACAAATAGTGAGTATTGCCACACGATAGTTTAGTATAGATATGACCTCAGGTCTAGGACATCTTCTCCAAATTCACATTGATCTTTTTAGGAGGAGTCTAGTTTTTCATTATGCCTGTAATCTCAGCACGTTGAGAGGCTGAGGCTGGTGGATAGCTTGAGCCCAGGAGTTCGAGACAAGCCTGGGCAACATGGTAAAACCTCGTCTCTACAAAAAGTACACAAATTAGCCAGGTGTGGTGGCATGAGCCTGTGGTCCCAGCTATTCAGGAGGTTGAGGTGGGAGGATGTATTGAGCCTGGGAGGTTGAGGCTGCAGTGAGCCATGATTGCACCACTGCACTCCAGCCTGGGTGACAGAGCAAGATCCTGTCTCAGAAAAAAAAAAAAAAAGTCTTATTTTTCAGACAAGCAGATAAACACAGGAGCTTCAGTTCTTGGCCCATGTAAATCTGAACTTACATTTCAGGTATGGCCTTGAGCTCCCTGGCTATGGTGCTGACCGCTTCTCAGCAGGCTTAGATCAAACTCTCCAGTAGAAATATCATCTCTTACTCTCTTTGCAAGCCCAAGAGCCCTCTATTCAATCATCTCCCATGCACGATTGCCAAACCTAGTCTGACCCAGGATGGGCCCTCATCAAAGATCTCGGGTTCCGTGGGTGAACTGGGGTCATGGTGGGGTAGGTGAAGCTGTGCCCAAGCTCCTCTTTATAATATCCCTCCTCTACTTCCTGTTTACATATCACAGAAACACAACTAAATTATAAATCTTGAAAACATGTCAGAACACAAACACAACAAAAACATTAATAGTGAATAACTCCTGAGCATGTACTCAGGCGCCAGGCTCTGCACTGAGCCATTCACATACACTACTTTATTGATTCTTCACAACTCTGTGAGGCAATTACTATTATTAGTCACATCCCACTGATAAGAGAATAGAGACTCAGCAAGATTAACTAATGTCAGTAAGTAGCACCTGGCCAAGGGCACAGAGTAAAACACAACTCTAAATAAGCCACCAACTCTCCAGGTGGGAGCCCCCCAAACACAGTTTCATTCAGTTTCAGTAATAACCAAAGCAGTTTCATGACCGACAGCCAGGACAGCATTTAACGTAAGGAGCCTCATAAAATTTAGATTGCAAGCTCATTTCACATGTGTTCCAGCAATGTGATCCCCTACTAGGACAAGCTTTCCTCATAAATGATTGCAAGTATTTATAACAATATAATTTACATCCTTGCAACAATTATTCTGTACACAAAAATTCTCATTGATTTTTTTCAACATTTTTGTTGAATTATAGCATTCATACAGAAAGTGTGCAAGTCCTAAATGTACAGCTCTGTGGATTTTCACCAAGTGAATCCACCTATGTAACCACCACTGACATCAGGAAAGAAAATATTGTGAACACACAAGTAGGTTTCCTTTCATATCCCTCCCAGTCATAATCCCTCCAGCCCCCCATCCCCAAAGGTAAGCTATTATCTCAACTTCAGTCACCATAGACTTTTCCTGATTTGAGCCCCATATAAATGGAATCATACATCATATACTCTTCACTGCCTGACTTCTTTTGTTCAACAGTATATTTGTTGAGATTCACTGTGCATAGTTGTAGATAATTTTCATTGTCCCACAGTATTTTATTGTATGAATAAACTATGATATACTTACTCATTCAACTCTTGATGGACATTAGAGTTGTTTCTAATTTGGAGTTATCACAAGTAATGTTTCTATGATCATTCTTAAACATGTATTTTGGTACATGTATTGTGCATTTCTGTTGAGCATATATCTAGAAGTAGAAATGGCAAGTCATAGGGTATATAATATTCAACTTTAGTAGATGCTGTCAAACTACTTTCTAAAATAGTTGTGCCAATTTGCACACCCACCAGCAGGATATGCAGTATGTGAAAGTTCTCATTGTTCCACATTCTTATAAATACTTGGTATTTTTAGTCTTTTTCATTCTAGCTATTCTGATAGGTAAGTTGTAGGATCTCACTGTGATTTTTATTTGCATTTCCAATGAGGTGAGGCACTGTTTTAAGAGTAACTTGCATTTCTCTTAATCAGGTATCAAAAGACACACAGACACAGTTTTCATACTCACAGCTCCCTAAAAACAGGAGGCATAGCACACCATAGGGGGGGCCACACAGGAAAGCAACAAGGCAGTCAGGAAAGCAAGGGCAAAACATGGGCAAGTGCCTTTGTTGTGATTTTCATGGGAAGGAACAGGAGAGGCAAGATGAACAGGTTTAAAATTGGCTAGTTTGAATAATATTTGTACTCTCTGGGGTATAGGGGCTGTTCCTAATTGTCTGATACCTGGTCCTGAGGTGACTAGGGTAGGAGAATAGTGGCTCCAAATGTTGGAGACCCACAAAGGAGGAGGTTGAAATATGGGCTCTGGATTGGTTGGTTTACATATGAAACATTCTCAGATTGTTTAATCTATCTCTAGGAATTAGCTAATTCTGGAAGGAAAGGTCCCTCCAAGGTCAGCAAGGCTCTAAGATGTCAAAGCATCAGAATACAAATAATATGAATTTATGATTAATTAAAGCACTTTTTTATTCTTAATGAACATTGGGAGATGTTCTGTTGTAAAGTACCTATTCCAGTCTTTTGCCTATTTTTTAGCTGAATTGCCTGCCTTATATTATTGATTTGCAGGAATTCTTTCTAGTTATTGGGTATGAGAATTTGGTTGGCTGTATGTATTACAAATATCTTTTCTCATTCCATAAATTGCTTTTTCACTCACTTAGAGGTGTCCTATAATAAACAGAGTTCTAAACATTTATGTGTTCCAATTTATCAATCCTTATTTTCCTGGTTAATACCTTTAAGAAATATTTGCCTACTCCAAGGTTATAAAGATACTATTCTATATTATCTTCTAGAAGCATTGTTATTTTAACTTTCATATTTACAACTACAATCCATCTGCAATTTTTATATTTGGTATCATGGGGTAAAAGTTCATTTTTTTCCACTTGGGTATCCAATTTGACCAGTATCTTTTATTGAGAGATAATTTTTTCCCATTATTTTCAACAGCAATTTGGTATAAATTAGGTGAACAATAGAATAGACTTACTATTCTACTGGTCCTTTGTTGAGAAGATTGTGTCAACACCATACTTTATTTCTTACTGGAAATATAAGAACTTTGAGTTTGTTTTTCAGGAGTGTTGTGGTTATTCTTTAAATTTTTATAGAACTTTAGGATCAACTTGTCAACGTCCACACAAAAAAATAGTACTTACTGGGACGCCTTGAATCTAGAGATTAGCGATTCCAGTTGGCATCATTACAATGTTGTGCCTTTGAAGCCATGAACATGCTATATCCTTCTGTTTATTTAGGTCTTCTCTAATTTCTCTTAATATTATTGTGTAGTTTTATGTATACAGGTCTGGCACCTCTTTCATTACATTTATTCCCTAGTTATATGATATGTTTTATTGCTTGTGGCAGTCATGGAGCTGCACCACTTGAATTTCCCTTTACAAAATAACATTACTGTTGAGCTGCAATAAGGTCTGCAAGCTGAGAGCCTGCAGCTGTTAGCACCTTCAGGATTTTGCCTCATCTTTAGAGATATAGTCAAGCTATTCTTGGGCAGTCCCAGGTGATGACTGGACACAGTTAAGGTACTGTGGTGAATTAGTCCGTTCTCATGCTGCTAATAAAGACATACCTGAGACTGGGTAATTTATAAATGAAAGAAGTTTAATTGACTCACAGTTCAGTATGGTTGGGGAGGCCTCAGGAAACTTATAATCATGGCAGAAGAGGAAGCAAACACGTCATTCTTCACATGGTGATACAGTTGGGCTGGGTCCCCACCCAAATCTCATCTTGAATTATAGCTCCCATAATTCCCATGTGTTGTGGGAGGGATCTGGTGGGAGATAATTGAATCATGGGGGCCACTTCCTCGATACTGTTCTCATGGTAGTGAATAAGTCTCATGAGATCTGGTAGTTTTATAAGGGGAAACCCCTTTCGTTTGGTTCTCATTCTCTCTCTTGCCTGTTGCCATGTAAGACATGCCTTTTGCCTTCTGCCTTCCACCATGTTCGTGAGGCCTCCCCGGCCACGTGGAACTGTGAGTCCATTAAACCTCTTTGTCTTTATGAATTACCCAGTCTCAGGTATGTCTTTATCAGCAGCATGAAAACGGACTAACACACATGACAACACTAAGGAGAAGTGCTGAGCAAAAGGCGAAAGCCCCTTATAAAACCATCCGATCTTGTGAGAACTTACTATCATGAGAATAGCATGGGAGAGACTGCCCCCACGATTCAATTACCTTCCACCGGGTCCCTCCCATCACATGTGGGGATTATGGGAACTACAATTCAAGATGAGATTTGGGTGGGGACACAGCCAAACCATATCATGGGATCTGGCCATTTCTGCCCAATATGGATCTTCTGTAACATAATTTTGCTTCAAAGCAACTCCCCAAATGAGTTGATCAAGCATGATAATCTGAGGTTCTCTGTGCCAAATTTTGCTTCCTCTCTCTTTTATCTTGTTAGCCCCCAATAAATCTCTCACCCTCCCAAATCTATGTCAGTGTTTATTTCTCAGAGGATTAAATTGACACAATGCTTTTATTAAGGGCATTGTTAATTAAACTTCAATTCCTAATTGTTTGTTGCTGATATACAATGCAATTGATTTTTGTATAGTGGCTTTGTATAATGACTTTACTAAATTCATTATTAATTCTAATTATTATGCATTTTCCAAGTAAGCAAGCTACAAAATCCTCATATCTTTAGTTTCTTGCTCCTGCTTTATTGCACTGGCTAGGAAAGGTCTATAATGAAATGTTATAAATCCTATAAGACAACGTTATCATTTTTCTTTAAACAGTTATTTGTACCTCAAAGAAATAAAAATAATATTTTATAGTTGCCTAAATAATTATATTTCTGATGTTCTTCATTTCTTTCTAAAGATTCAAGCTTCCATATGGTATAATAGACCAGCAGTCTAAAGAAATGTCTATAGTATTTTGTAGTGCAAGTTTTCTGCCAATAATTTCTCCCAGGGTTTTTTTCTTCAAAAAATGTCTGTACCTCAACATTGTTCTTTTTTCTTAAAATTGTTTTATTTAAATACAATTCACATACCATACAATTCACCCATTTAAGATGTATAATTAAATGGTTATTAGTATATTCACAGAGTTATGCAACCATTACCACAACCAATTTTACATCAACTTCCAAACAAACTCCATATCCATTAGCAGTCACTCCCCACTCTCCTAATCCCTCAACTCTAGGCAATCACTAATCTTTCTAATCTTTCTGTCTCTATGTATTTGCCTATTATGGACATTTCTTTCTTTCTTTCTTTCTTTTTTTTTTTTTTGAGACAGGATCTCACTCTGTCACCCAGGCTGGAGTGCAGTGACATGACCACAGCTCACTACAGCCTCAATCTTCTGGGCTGAAGCAATTCTCCCACCTCAGCCTCCTGAGAGTAGCTGGGACCACAGGCACATGCCACCACACTGTACTAATTATTTTATTGTTTGTAGAGACAGGGTTTCACTATGTTGCCCAGGTTAGTCTCAAAGTCCTGGGCTCAAGTGATCCTCCTGCCTTGGCATCTCAAAGTGCTAGGATTACAGGCATGACCCACTGCACCCAGCTGGACATTTCATAGAAATTGAATTATATAATGTATTGTCTTTAGTGACTGGCTTCTTTCACTTAGCATAACATTATCAAGGTTTATCCATGTTGTAGCATGTATCAGAACTACATTTCTTTTAATGGCCAAATAATATTCCATTGTATGAATATACCATATCTTATTTATTTATTCATCAGTTGATGGACATTTGGGCTGTTTTCACTTTTTGGCTATCGTGAATAATGCTTCTATAAACATTTGTGTTATAAGTTTTTATGTGGACATATGTTTCCATTTTGATTGGGTATATACCTAAAAGTGGAATGGCTGGGCCATATGGTAACTCTACGTTTAATGGTTTGAGGAAATGCCAGACTGTTTTCCAAAGCAGTTGCACCATTTTACATTGCTATCAGCAATCGATGAGGCTTCCAATTTCTTTGTCTTCTTGCCAGCATTTGTTATTATCTGTCTTTTTTATTATAGCCATCCTACTTGGTGTGGAGTGGTATTTCATTATGGCTTTGATTTGAATTTTCTTAGTGGCTCATGATGTTCAGAATCTTTTCATTTGCATATCTTCTTTGGAGAAATGTCCTTTGCCCATTTTTAATTGGGTTATTTCTCTTTTTATTATTGAGTTGTACAATTTTGTTCTTAAAGAATGTTTCTACTGGATGTAATATTTTGGATAAAAATATTTGTTAAATCACTTAAAGGCATTATTTCAGAAAATCACCATTAGGCAAATACCCCAGTAAAAATTGTCACAGGCAAGATCTACAGACAAATGCTAGTGAAAGTTGGAGGAGAAACAGGACACTTGCACCGTCTAAAAGTATCTTGCCACAAGATACTTTTAATTACAAAAGGAAAAGTACTAACTTTTCAGTGAAGAACCATTACCTTAGCTGAGTGATCTAACTTAACACCACCAGGAATGAGATACACTGGCATCATGAACTCCTTGATATGATGCACTGAGAAGAATACAATATTTTTCTGTGATATGCTTGCCAAAAATGCACAGTCTCCTTCTAATCACCAGGAAGCATCAGACTAACCCAAATCGAGAGACATTCCACAAAATAACTGACCAGCATCCTTCTTCAAAAGTGTTAAGATAATGAAAGACAGAAGGGAGTTATGTTAAGATAATGAAAGACAGAAGGGAGTTACTGGGGACCTGACAGAAATTGTAGGAGACAAAACATAATAACTAAATGTAATGTGGGATACTTAACTGGATCCTGCAACAGAAAGAGGATATTAGTGGAAAAATTGGTGAAATTCCAATAAATTGTGTAGTTTAGTGAATGGTACTGTACCAGTGTTGATTTCTTGGCTTTGATAATTAACAATCCTTATGTATGATGTTAATATTATGGGAAACTGTGTGAAAAATAAACAGCAAAACTCTCTGTACTACTTTTGAAAGTTTTCTGTATGTCTAAAATTATTTTAAAATAAAACGTTTTTTTAAAATGTGTTATTCCACTATCTTCTAGCCTCTGTCATTTCTGGCAAGAAGTGAATGATGATTCAAATCATTTCTCTTTGGATATGTCATTTTCTCTGGCTGCTTTCCATATTTCCTCTTTATCTTTGGTTTTCAGCAATTTGCCTTTGATGCACCTAGGCATAGTTTTTTTGTGATTTTTAAGTGTGATTTCGCTGAGACTCTTGAATCTCCACATTTATGCCCTTCAATAAATTTGAGAGCCATTCTATCTTTAAATAGATTTTTCTGTCTCAGTCTCTATCTTCTCTTCTTAGAATTACAATTATATGGATGATACAGTGTTTGTTGACCTCTTGGTGTCTGAGACTAGGTTTATCTTTTTCAAACTTTTTCTCTCTTTTCTTCATATTTTATCATCTCTGTTGCTATTTAGTCACATTCACTGACTCTCTACTCTGTCATTCTTAATTTTTTGAGTTACATACATTCAGTAAATTTTTAATTTCAGATATTATATTTTTAATTCTAGAACTTCCATAATTTCTTTTTGTACAGTACTTATCTGCTGAGATTCTTCTCTTAATTTATTCCAAACATATTTTTCTTCATTCTGCATACACTTAATAGCCTAAAATTTTAAAATCCATGCATGCTAATTCCAAGGGCTGTTCCTAAATCCTCAGGGCTGGTCTTAGTTTATTGATATTTCTCTTAAGGATGGGGCACATTTTCTTGATCCTTCGTATGTCAAGTAATTTTGGATTGAATCATGGACCTTGTCAAGTCTATGTTCTAGAGACATCTTTATATTTTATATTCCCCCAAAGAATGTCAGTGTTTTTGTTTTAGCAGTCAACTTATTTGATTTGGTTCGACCTCTAACATCTCTCTTGGGCAACGGTTCAAATCTCACTTCTCATCTTTTGGGCTTTGCTGAGCTACTTAGAGTCTGTCCCAGGCATGCATGGTGCAGAAGTTTACAGACAGAATCTAGGGCTCCAACACTCTTTTTTCCAGAATACCACTCTCACTTTACAGTCACTGTGAGATTCCTGATCTCTGTCCTCTCTCTTCAAGGCTGAAAGAACACAGTTTCTTATCGGAGTTTTGGTCAGTTCATACAGAACCAACTTTGGTCTGCCCCCAAACCATCAAAATGGAGATCTCCTCCTTATTGGTAACTTCTTGCAGGTTTCAACTCCCCTCAGTTCAGTTTTCTCCCTTGTGAAGGGGAGACAGTAGTACCTTAAGTTGTTATGAGAGAGCTAAAGGAATGATTATCTGTAAAGCCCTTAGTATAAATATCCTTAAGGAATAGCTGTATACTATATACACACATACAGATGTATATATGTAAAACATATATATATACACACACACACACACTATAAGGCACATAGTATAAATACACGAAAAGCATAATAGGATTCAAAAATTAATTTCTTTCAAAAACACAAAAGCTATGGAAAACAGCTTTTTTTAACCCTTCTTTTCCCTCTACAGCACCTAGATAGTACGTGACTCATACATAGCAGTGCCTAAAAATTGTTTATGAATAAAACAGAGGAGAATGCATAGGCCATAGTGTGTTATGTATGTGTTAGTTTCCTGTTACTGCTATAACAAGTTTCTGCAAACTTAGTGGCGTAAAACAACACAGATGCATTATCTTAGAGTTCTGCAGGTCAGAAGTCCAAAACGGATGGATGGCAGGGCTGTGCTGCTTCTAAGGCTCTAGGAGAAAATCCCTTTCCTTGCTTTTTCTAGCTTCTGGAAGTTGGCTGCTTTCCTTGGCACATGGCCCCACATCACTTTGCCCTCTGCTTCTGCTGTCCCAGCTCCTGCTCTGACCCTGACACTCCTGCCTCCCTCTTGTGAGAACCCTTGTGGCTACCTTGGGCTCACCAGATAATACAGGATAACCCCCTTCTCTCAAGATCTTTAATGTAATCACATCTGCAAAGCCCCTGTTGGCATGTAAGGTAACATGTTCACAGGTTTCTGGGCTTAGCGTGTGGACACCTTGGGGGAGGCCATTATCTACCTACCACAATATAATAACAATTTACTGCTATCTTCCTTACAACTAAGCTGAAAATAGCCAAAGACATTGGCTTTTAGATGAATTTAAGTATTCACTTAGATTTACCTGTAACATGGTTAACATAGTTCTAACTCCTAACAAATGGCATTTTAAACCTCAACGCAGCTTCATATCAAATTCCAAACTGCAAGGCAGCAGGCAATCATGTCTTAGAGTCATCATTTCAGATAACATTCTTGCCAGTAACCCAGATTTCACTCTTGATTGAATAGTTTTCAAAAGAATTTTTACTGTCCTGCAAGTGTTAGAAAAATAAAGCAAGGATCCTTTGGCCATTATCCCCACTTTTTTGGAAAAGGTGCTGGCTAGCCCATTTTTTTTTCAGGTAATTTTTTTTTTAGCATACATCTTGAGGTTAGGCAATTAACTTCTCTAATAATTACTATTATCTGTTCTTCATTGATCTATTCCTGTATTTCTATGTTACCTTCTTCCTTTCATGTATGTATGCCCTTCCCTCTCCCACACCCCTTGCTTCCAGAACTTTTAGGAAAAGTGGAAAGGTAATAGCCAAAGGTTCCTTATTTTATTTTTCCAACACTTGCAGGCTAAACTTTTTTTCCCAGACTCCTTTGTAATTAATTAGGTGTGGCAAATCAGTTACAATGCCTGTCAGGAAAAAAAGAAAAATATTTGATGAACAAGTAGTTTATTCAGCAATAAATATTATGTTATATTGTATAATATATGAGAGTTGATCATATTGTGATATTGATGATATAAAAAATTGTATATAATCCATATGCCTGGCTAGATTTTGAGACCTTTTGGGACAGGGATTTTGTATTACTTTTCCTAAAGCAGTGTCTAACATTTACAGTATTTGCTCAATAAATGTTTGATGAATGAATTGTAGTGTATTCAAGCTAAAAGAGTCCTTGGAGATCACCTCATCTAAACCTTTCATTTTAAATGTGAAGAATCAGAAACCTAGAGATTCTAAGCACTTTGCCCATGTTCACTGGCAGAGCTAGGACCCATTTATCTCATATATCATATCCCATATCAAATGGCATGATCTTTTTAAACCAACCTATCTTGTTTCCCAGACCAAATGAGACTCTTTTTGTAACCAACTTATCAGAACTCACATCTAAACAAGTATTATTTGCTCCAACAAAGTCTCTTTGGAGTTGCTATACTAGTCAAATACTACTGCCATTTAAAAGAATTCATGGAGCTTCATTTTAGAAATTACTCTGATAGCCTGTGGCATTTTCTTTAGAATTTCCTTAATTGTGGCTGGTAAATATCCATCCTTTGAAAATGGATTTGATTTTGAGAAACAGAAGTTGTTTGGAGTGCATTTTGATGAATAAAAGTTGAATTTAGATGACGTAGCTATACAATTCTGGCTTTAGTCAAGAAAAAAAAAAAAAGGTGAGACTGTGTGTTACTTTATGACAGGTTTTCCTACATGATTTGCCAACCAGCTTGGGAGACAATTCCAGAAGAGGGGATGTCTGGGCATTTTGAGCAATAGCACTATTGTTGGAATAAATTAATGGAGTCCTATGGCAACTAGAGAAACAACAGTCTTTGGGAATGTATATGTAGCTCACATGTAAGAAATGCCTGTGTTGCAAAACACCTATATGAATTTCAAGTGCTTTGAGATTCTACAAAGAAACTTAGAAGAGTTTTAGGCCTACAGTAGCTCCTTATTCAAAAACCAGCCACAAGATGAAAGAAGTGTTATTAAAATAGTGAGGGAAAGATTTCTGGATAAAATAGTGGAAAGTTAGTAACCTGATACACCCTTTTCTTGGAATATTTAGTAAAATATGAGAACAGAAGACTACAAAATGGTAGAATTTGTGCCTTTCCAACAATGCTCCCGTTCGGGAACTGAGATGATTCTAAAAGTAACCATGTGCACAGTGAGAGGATCCAGGAGGAAAATTTCTGCCCTCCCCATCAACAAGCCCCAGTTTGGAAGAGACCTTTTCACCTGAGAGATGATAAATAAACAAGAAACAATAGGGGCCGTCAATGAAAGCTTGCAACTCCAAAATAAAGAAAACAATGCTCTAACAAAATGTATCCAGGGTCTGCCTTCAATAACCCTAAGTTAAGCTGGGGAAGGGGGAAGCAAGCATTCAGAATTATTGCTTTGGTTTTATACAGGTATACAAAAATTGACATATCGGTCTCATTACTTTATGTTCACACCTGGCCTGTTTTGAGGAACGCCACAGGGTTTCCCCTCACAATCCAATTTAAAGGCTTTTCAGTTGCATAATTACACTCTTTTGGTAAATTACCATCTTGAGCAAGGGCACACGAGGAAGGATGGTTGAGCATGCACTTCCTGGGAAAATACCATTTTTCTGTAATAGAAATATTTTCTGAAGTAAACATTCATTTGAGGAAATAGAAACATGTGAATATGTGGCCAGAAAGTAATTATCTAAGGATTCAACAAACATCCCAGCCTAGAAAGCCTTTCGCCAGCCTCCTCTGCCTACAGAATTACAGAAAACCAGAAACCCCACCTGATTCGACCACGTCCGTGCTACTCTTTCTTCAGGCTGAGCCCCCATGCCACTTGGCTGTTGCATTTCCAGGAAAGTGGGAGATATCCACCAGTGTGGATAAGTTGTCCCACCACGACAGCGCAGCATACTTGCCTCACTGCAACAGCTGAGCTTCTTAAAACGTTTCGTCCCTTGGCTTTTTGGAGCACACTTTATTGAGGAAGTGCTAAACCCTGACGTGCACTCTTGAGTGTAGTTATTCACAGAATCCAACATAAGGGGGTTTCAAATATCATCTGCCCACAAGCACCTCCAGACTAAATTGTCCTCAGTTAACAGTCAAAAGCTGATCCTTCTATGTGCCAGTCCTGCAAACTCCGCCTGTGATAAAGGACCCAGCTGTGCTCTTTTCTGCCTCTCACACCTTCAAAAGTAATAAAGCCTCCGCAATTGGAATTTAGCTGTCAATTCTGCTGATGAGGCAGCAAGAAAATTAGAAGCCGTTTCCTACCCCATAGCTGTGTTGAACTCAACAAACACTAACTGGGGCAAAAAGTTGTGGCTGCACAGTTGAGTCAGCAGCCAGGACCAAGACTCCGGGAGCCAGTATATTGACTGAGAAAGGGATATTTCAAAATAGTGGTTTTGCTGCCAAGAACTCCAGTTTTAAAGGAGAATTCTCTGATAATTGAGGGTTGTTTAAAATTTGATATCCTTTGTTAAAACAAACAACTTGGAAATGCCTAAAGCAGGTTCCCTGGAGACCAATATAACCCAGAAAATGTAATAATGCAAAGCCTAGGCAGCTGAGTTTTCATTTGTGCCTAGCTTCAGAAAGCAAAACCCCTAAGGGGTCTGAACCCAAGGCTCATTTGTTCTTAATAAGCTCAGTTCCAGGGGCCCTGTCTGCCTCCAGCTAATGACAACACCACCAGCAGCTGGGGTAGCTGAATTCCAAAGAAGAGTGAGAACCAGAGATAAGAAAAAAGTGTGGATCCACGTCAGCATTTGTTAATATCTGGAGCCCACATCTTATATTTTTAAAAGTTCATTCAGCATGGATTCTCTAGCCCCCTAACAGAGGGCATTTCTTGGTGCTAATCAAGATGGCACTGGAGACAGGTAGTAACAGGCAGTTCCTCACACCTTTCCCTGCACTCCATCCACTGATCTGGTACCATAGCTCTCAGAGAAGCTGCTTCTGCTCCACAGTACACAGAGGGGGATTGCTAACATCATTCCCCAATACTATCTCCTGATCATGAGAGTCTTCAACACAGACAGTAAGTCATGAACTCACATTTCCCTCCTTTCCCAAGGATTTAGGTGTTTCTTCTCTGAGGAATCCTGGGCTACTGGACCCCATGTCCTTGTAAAGGATCTGGGGCAGCAACTTCACTGCACCTCTGGTCTGCTTGCTCTTGTAAGGCAACCATCCTCACACAGGCCTTGCTCAAATCACCTTCTCTGGATTCCCAGACTTAGTAATTCAAGGGATCCTTCCTATTGTCTTGGTCAGCCCCATCCGTAACAAAAGCAATGCATTTTCAAAATGATGGCAGCAGTACAGATGGTGCAAAGGAACCATTGGTTTCCGCTTTAGGTGGGCCTGGATTGTGTTTCCCTAACAGGACATGAGAAGGAACTTCCTGGTTGGGGAGACATTAAAAGACACAGAGGGACATTCTTCATGGAAATAGCAGTGTAGTCATATTAAATCTTACTATGTCTAGGAGGCTTTTCTGATTTCTGGTTCTTGCCTATTTTCAGTCTAGTTCAAGAACAGAGCCTTATAGCTCTAGGAAGTTCTAGGGCTTCACTTTCCAGGGAACTGAGGATTTGGTAGCCTCCCAGGGCACTCACCACAGAACCAGATCTGGAACTGGACTGATAATTGGGCCTAACTGTCCCAAGCAATAGGGTCACCCTGTTCTGCAGCCTAATCCCAGGGGTGTTCAATCAAATTCAAGCATCCAGTATGCTCAGATGTTTAAACTGGAGTCTATCATCATAGTGCGGTAGACAACACAGAATGTTCAATGAAGTTCTCCTGGCTGGCATGGTCACTTTAGTTGTGGGAGGGGTCCTTCTCTGTGCTAGGAGTGAGGGTAGTTTTGTCTGGTTGCTTCTGGTCAGAGGAATGAATCAGGTCTCAGTTGGCTTCCAAGGGAAGAGTGCCTATCTGCTGCTGCCCCAGGATCTTTTCCAGGATTCAGTTCTCTTTCCCTAAAGTTGCCTCGTCAGAAGAGGAGGCTTATTTTCTTCTGATTGTACTATTCCTGTCTTGGTATAGCAAAGTATAGCACACATATTTTGCATTTCAGAAATGTTGACAAACCAAGGTTTCATTTGTTGCATCAAAATGGCACTAAAGTTAGATAAACATCTTCTTCATTTACTGTCATGTAGTCATCTTCCAAGATAAGCATTTTTTTTAAAAAACTTTCTATACATTCGTTGACCTTGTTATTAAATAACAGCTACAATTTATTGAGCACATATCATGTACCAAGCATGACTGGTATAAGCAGAGAGGGGAGGAGAGATCAAGAAAACATGAAGGAAAGGACAGAGACAGAAACAAACAGAAAGCAGGTGATGAGAAATAACATTTAGCTATATGTATTCTGTAAAAGTAGCATGTAACAGAAACCCAACTATCGCAGCTTGAGCAAATACAAACCTCCCAAGACCTCAGTCAGAAAGTAACCACAAGCTTTAAGAACTCACCTTTATCTTCCCACATTCATCACCTACAACTGTATATACTCATAAATACATACAAGCACACACAAACGCACAACAGTGTGCATTGTACATACTCGTCTCTGCTAGCTAATAAGATGCCTTTGTGCAAATTAAAGTCACCTCCTCTGGAGAACCAAATAACAAAGAGTCTCCCTTCATCTGAGACAAGGCTTGACAAGGGAGCTTGAGCTGAAGCAAGGCTTGACAAGGGAGCCGGCCCCCTTGGCTCTGCCGAACCTGCACCACCATATGTGATTTAGCGGCCTTGGTTGAGTTTCCCATCCCTCAGGATTGCTAAGGGGCTCCATTAGCCTTAGTCCCTTGGTACCTTTTTTTCCCTCTGCACACTAGACCACTGAAATCTTAAGCTTCCTGAGGCCAGCATCTTCAATAGTTGATAGCCAAAACTCCTTTTGTGGGTCATGTATTAATTCATATCAAGAGAGATGAAGGCTTCCAATTTAAATCACATCTAACTAACAGCCCCTATGCAACCTCTCCAAAATTCCCACTAAAATACATACACTAGAACTCGTAGTGATAATGAAAACACTGACAGAAAAAAAATTGTCAGAATATGGGAGGAATGTTTACTAACTATAGAAAGCTAAACTGAGAAAAATAATCGATTTTATGCTTCATTTCTCTCTTCCTGGCAACCAAAACCACCTGAAAAAAATAATAACCTGTTCCACCTCCCCGTCCCTGCATCCTGATTCCAGGACCCAGTGTCTGTACCAACCAGGAACATGAACAGCCAGCCTTGCACTGGGGTAGCCCTCCTTTCCCCATGTTTCCCACAGGCACACAGGAGGTTTAATATGTTGGTGACTCTTCAAACAAAATTTTTTCTTAAGACTAGTCAAATGCAGTGGTGAGAAGGGGGGAAGATTAGAACAAGGAGTTTGATCTGTAATGGACTGAGCAATCAATTGAGATAACTCACTACCTCAAGCAAATATTTATTAAATATCTGTCTCATATTTATTTAGATGGGCAAGAAAAAAAATTGATATTCTATTTTAAAATTATATACCTCATTCTTAATATTCAAAATAAGGAATCTACTTGATGTACTGAATTAACATTTTAACTGATTGAAAATGCCTGCCTATTCAGTTTTTAATCACTTGTAAATGTATTAGTTATTCATATTCATTAAGAATAAAGATAAAATAAGTCTTACTTGAAATTTGTTTACATTCTCTTTTCTCATTTTTATGCCAGAAAAAAAATCTTTCCCACTTAAAACTTTTTCTTTTTCAATTTTAAGTTTTAATTTTCCAAACCAGATATACTTTCTTGGCAGGTATATTTAAAACTTATACTAAAAATCAATTCTCTGGTTCTTAATAAACAAATTCTGCTGCATAACAAATCACTCCAAACTTAGTGGTATGAAATAAGTTTATTAGTCCTCATGGTTCTGGGAACTGGCTGGGCTCAGCAGGGTGGTTCTCACTCAAGGTTTCCCAGGCAGTTGCAGACAGTGGTGAGGCTGGAGCTGCCTGAAAGGTATTCTTACTCACACGTCTGGTGCCTGGGCTAAGAAGACAAGTATAGCTGGCACCCCTCAGGCATCTACCTATCTCTACATGGCTCCCATCTCTCCACATGGCTTCTTCAGCATGGTGGTTTCAGGGTATCCAGATTTCTTATATGATGGCTCAGGGTCCTAAAGGCACGTATTTTGAGAGACAGCCAAGTGGAAGCTTTATTCCTAGCCTCAGAAGTCATGTAGCGTCAATTCCATAATATTCTATTCATCAGAAGCAAGCCACTAAGTCGCCAGCCCATATTTAAGGAGACGGTAACTGGACTCCACCTTTTATTGGGAAAATTGTCAAATGTGTTAAAACCTCCACAACATAGTACTATGCCATACATTATTTAGTTTCCAGATTTTTTAACTGATTACAACCACTGAATCCAGGTGACAGTTATCTATCTGGTTCTAGGGTTAAAGCATGCTAGTACTATAGTCTCAGCACTTTGGCAGGCTGGGTCAGGCAGATCGCTTGAGCCTAGGAGTTTGAGACCAGCCTGGACAACATAATGAAACCCCATCTCTATAAAAAATACAAAAATTAGCCAGGTCTGGTGGCACACATGCTTGTAGTCCCAGGTACTCAGGAGGCTGAGGTGGGAGGATCACTTGAGCCCTGGAAGTTGAGGTTGCAGTGAGTGGAGATCATGCTACTGCACTTCAGCCTGGACAATAGAGTGAGACCCTGTCTCAAAAAAAAAAAAAATCCTTAAGCAGCCAGATGGAAATCACAAGGAATCTACAATGGAATGTATTGTACAAATTGGTCTCTGATTCCACCTCTTTAACAGTAAATGAAGCAGCAACATGGAGACAACCTATCCCTAAATGCACTATGACCTTGTCAAAGAGAAAGAAATGTCACCCACAGGCCTAGTGCTCACCCTTCTAAAAAAGACTGAAGGTGAATCCACCATATCCAGTATCTCTGTTTTTATCAGTTAAGGTCCAATGTATAAATCTTGTCCACTCTTTGTGCTCTTTATCCCCATCCCCAGCTTTGCCTCTCAACTGGATAAACCTCAGCAGTTTTTAAACAAGCTTAGATATCTCCCGATTTAATACTCTTTCTTCACCCACATTCTCATCTGGCCATTTACTTGTCTTTCTCCTTTCATTCATAGCAAAAATTCTTAAGTTCTCTATTCTTACTTCTATTTCTGCCTCCCACTTACTCCTCAGCCCACTCTAACCTGAGTTTTGCATACACTACTTTATGAAAACATCTCTCATCAAGATTGCTAATGAGGTTGGGCATGGGCTCATGCCTGTAATCCCAGCACTTTGGGAGGCTGTAGTAGGAGGATCACTTGAGCCCAGGAGTTGGAGACCAGCCTGGATGACACAGTAGAACCCCATCTCCATTAGAAAAAAAAGATTGCTAATGACTCCTCATATCACTAAACCCCCAAAACACTTTAGATTTTAATCTCTCAGAACCGCTTAATACTGTTGATCAGTGTCTCCTAGAAACCCTCTTTCCTTGGCTTCCATAACCCAGCACCCCTCTAATTTCCCTCTTACTTTTCTGACAGCTCCTCCAATATACCCTTTTTCAGTATTCTCCTCTGGCAGGCCATTGAATGTTGAAGCTCTTCAAGGTTGGGTTTGGGGCCATCTTCCCTCTTTGTACTCACTCTCCAGCAATGTCATCCAGACACAGGGATTTACTTACCACCTTTATACCACTGATTCACAGAATCAAATCTCCAGTTGAGACCTCTCCTTGGGTCTGGGTCTGTAGAATCCCTGTCTACTTGACATCTCTGCTTACACATTTTAAATGGTTGTTGAATTCAACTCATGCAAAATGAAATTATTATACTCTCTCCAAACCTAGTTCTCTTCATGTGACATCTCCACAGATGCCATCATCATCATTTGCTCCAGTCACTTTATCCAGAAACTATGAGTTATTTTTGACACATTCCTCTCCCTCACTCCTCCCCATATCCAATTGATTGCAGAGTCCTGTATATGTTATCTCCGAAAAGTCTCTCAAATATACCCCCCTCCATCTCTACGGCTACTCTCACTCTAGTCCTAGCAACTATCATCTCTCTCCAAGCCTACTGCTTTTGAATCCTCCTTGGTCTTTCTATTCTCACCCTCACTCCTGTGCATTCAATTCTCCACACAATATCCAGAGTGACCACCTTGTAATGCAAATCTGATGTCACTTCCACATTTACACTTTGCAATGGATTCCAGTGGCTCTTAGGATAAAACCAAATTCTTAACTTGGCTTCCAAGACTTTCCATAATTTGATTTCTACCTACCCCTCCAGCTCCACTCTCTGCTCTCTAGACACAGCAAACTTTTCTCAGTCCCTCCTAAGTGCTATGCTTAGCTCCTATCATAAGAATTTACACTCACAGCTCCCTCTACCTGAAAGGTCCTTCTCCTACTTCACATAGTCATTTCTACAGGGGCTCCCCTCTGACCCCTTGACCAGGACCTTTCTCCTGTTACCTGCTCTCATAAGCAACATGTATCTATCTCCTTTTCAGACCACTTACTGTAGTGGTTTATTTTGGTTTTGGTTTTGTATTGGGAGGGACTGGGTCTCACTCTGTCACCCAGGCTGAAGTGCAGCGGTGCAATCACAGCTCACTGCAACCTTGAATTCCTGGGCTCGAGCAATCCTTCCACCTCAGCCTCCCATGCAGCTGGGCCTATAAGGGCAAGCCATCATGCCTGGCCCAAAAACCTTTTTCAAGAAAAAAAAGGCATATATTTACCAGCTTTCCTAATTCTGCTGCATCTGCTGCTGTTGTCATCCAACCAGTTGCCAACTGGGAAGTGGAAAAGGAAAAGAAAATTTATCCTCCCCTCCATTACCTCCTATTGCACATCCTTTCTTGGTAGCTTTTTCTCTTTTCCCTTTTTCATTTACTTTTTGACTTACATCTTACCCTTTTTGGAAGGCCTAATTAGACGGAAGCTTTGGGACTGGCATGGTGTTGGAAACCTGGGTCTGCGAAGGGAGTTCATATTACATTGGACATTTTGGTGGTGGATCACATGGCAGGAGTGAGAAGCAGGGTGAAATCCTGGAGGCCCTGCATGGACAATGATGCCACTTATTGTTGCCAGCACCAGGCAGGCTCAAATCTCCTCTTTAGAGAAGTATCAGGAGCAGCAGCTGGTTGGTTTAGAGCTGCTATTTCAATGGTTAAAGCAAGAAATGATATATATCATGTTATTCAATGTAACATGAAAATATGTCTTGAAAACGAGGCTTCATTTTTTCCTTTTCTTTCCACCTTATCCATATATAAGTGATAATACAGTGGCTGATGCAAATGTCATAAAAGCATAAAGATGAAAATGGAGCAAGTGACTGGGGTTAGCTGAGAAGAAGATGTAGCCAAGGGAAAGACAGGAATCTGGCATCAGCAATTAATCATGGCCAAATAAATCTGATATTTGACCGCAAGGATACCATCAGACACCCATTGAGAGCTTCAAGGAGTTCAGTTCCCTCAGTGATTACTAAAGCCAGCTTTGATCATTTAAAAATCACATTTTGTTTTTCCAGAGGAGTTTGGTCTTTATTCCTTAAGCAAACATTGATTTATCCCTCTTTTCTGGGCAGAGATTCCTGTCATATAACCGCTCTGGCTAAAACAACTATTTCTGTGCTCCAAAGTCTCAGTAGCCTGCTTGTAGGAAGAGAATATTTTAGTCTCTTGGAGCCGCCAACAGGCAAATAGAAGGTAAAGAAAAGACTGCCACCCCCACCTGCTAGGTTTGGAACCATCAGAAACCAGAGCTCAAACTTTATAAATAGAGGCAGCAACAGGGGTGTCACATTCACGAAAACCACTGGATGCTACAGCCTTTGGAAATCCTTGTTTGGATGATCTCAGTCAATAAATATCGTCAAGGTCAAAACCCAGACTTTGAAGGTATGGTGGAATCAAATGATCTTTTATTTGCAACTGCTGAAGGCAGGCTCCTCATATGTGGGAGAAGAAGAGCCCATGGCCTTGAGATCTCAGATCTAGGAAACTCCTGAGAGAAAAGAAAAAGGAAGGCCGACTGAGAAGGGGGTGTTCCCTGAGCTGAACCTGGAGGGTTGCAGCTGACATCTCTGCTCCTCCAAGCAGGGCTCCTGGAGGAGGGCACACGTGAGCAGCTTGGAGAACCACCAGACCAGGTGTGGTCTAGAGACTGAGTAGATCCCTGAGGCTGGAAGTTGATATAATTGCCAGAAAGCCACAGTCCTCCCCTGGAAGTGGGATAGCATCTCAGTCATAGATTGCTTTTCATGTATGTTAAAGATATCTGCTTCTGGCTTTTGGAATATATTTGCCAGCAAAGGCAAGTTTAATTAGGGTTAGAGGAAAGGTCCCTACTATCTCTTGCAAACATCCTCAGCCTGAAATGAGTAAAGGCAAGAGTGGGAAACTTTACCCAATCAAGCCCTGCAGGTGATTCTGCTGTAGGGAGCAGTGATCCAGGTGAATCTCTTTACCATCAGAGTTCAACAGCACACACCATTCAAAGCCTGGGTAGCCTCTTCCTTTCTGGTGAAAAGAGCTCCAGCCACATACCAGGCACTGTGATGGGCTCCAAGGTGCAAAAATAAGTAAGATTCTCTTTTGCTTTTGCCTTCACTGAACTAGTGACAAACAGACACATCCAAACTAAGTCCTAACATGATGGGATTAGAACTATGACAGGGGCATTACAAAGTGCTATGGAAATACAAAGGGAGGCTAAGTTAGTTCTAATGGGAGGAGTAGGGCCAGGCAGGCTAGCAGGAAAAGCCTATCATGAACTCTTTATTGAATTAACATGTTCAGTAATTTTAAATTAAGAGGTAGGATTTGAGCTGATAACCAAGAATTCTCCTGCTCAAGAAGGAAATGGCACCCCTAGCAGAAAGAAAACTTGAGCAAAAGACAACTAACATTTAAGATCGTGCTTCCCAAATTAGACATCTTATGCTCAGGAAGCCACTGAGTGGGTCAAGGCACACTCAAAGCCACAGAAAAAGGATGGTGCATCTTTCAGGGATGTTAATTTTGCTTAACTATTTGGGTAAAATAAGCTATATAAAAAGTAATTGAGGGTATTTTTAAAATTAAAATAGAATGAATGTTATAAAATAGAAGCCAAAATTGACTTGAACTTTTTTTTTAATTTTTATTTTTTTTAGACAGGGTCTAATTCTGTCACCCAGGCTGCAGTGCAGTGAATAGCACATCAAATTTCACTGTAACCTCAAGCTCCTGGGCTCAAGCAATCCTTCTGCCTCAACTTGCTGGTAGCTGGGACTACAAGCTTATGCCACTATGCCTGGCTATTTTCTTTATATGTGTGTGTGTGTGTGTGTTTTTGAGACGGAGTCTCACTCTGTCACCCAGGCTGGAGTGCAGTGGCATGATCTCAGATCACTGCAAGCTCCGCCTCCTGGATTCACGCCATTCTTCTGCCTCAGCCTCCCGAGTAGCTGGGACTACAGGTGCCCGCCACTACACCCGGCTAATTTTGTGTGTGTGTGTGGTTTTTTTTAAAATACTTTAAGTTTTAGGGTACATGTGCACAATGTGCAGGTTTGTTACATATGTCTACATGTGCCATGTTGGTGTGCTGCACCCATTAACTCATCGTTTACATTAGGTATGTCACCTAATGCTATCCCTCCCTCCTCCCCCCACCCCACAACAGGCCCCAGTGTGTGATGTTCCCTTTCCTGTGTCCAAGTGTTCTCATTGTTCAATTCCCACCTATGAGTGAGAACATCCGGTGTTTGGTTTTTTGTCCTTGCGATAGTTTGCTGAGAATGATGGTTTCCAGCTTTATCCATGTCCCTACAAAGGACATGAACTCATCATTTTTTATGGCTGCATAGTATTCCTTGGTGTATATGTGCCACATTTTCTTAATCCAGTCTATCATTGTTGGACATTTGGGTTGGTTCCAAGTCTTTGCTGTTGTGAATAGTGCTGCAATAAACATACGTGTGCATGTGTCTTTATAGCAGCATGATTTATAATCCTTTGGGTATATACCCAGTAATGGGATGGCTGGGTCAAATGGTATTTCTAGTTCTAGATCCCTGAGGAATCGCCACACTGACTTCCACAATGGTTGAACTAGTTTACAGTCCCACCAACAGTGTAAAAGTGTTCCTATTTCTCCACATCCTCTCCAGCACCTGCTGTTTCCTGACTTTTTAATGATCGCCATTCTAACTGGTGTGAGATGGTATCTCATTGTGGTTTTGATTTGCATTTCTCTAATGGCCAGTGATGATGAGCATTTTTTCATGTGTTTGTTGGCTGCATAAATGTCTTCTTTTGAGAAGTGTCTGTTCATATCCTTTGCTCACTTGTTGATGGTGTTGTTTGTTTTTTTCTTGTAAATTTGTTTGAGTTATTTGTAGATTCTGGATATTAGCCCTTTGTCAGATGAGTAGATTGCAAAAATTTTCTCCCATTCTGTAGGTTGCCTGTTCACTCTGATGGTAGTTTCTTTTGCTGTGCAGAAGCTCTTTAGTTTAATTAGATCCCATTTGTCAATTTTGGCTTTTGTTGCCATTGCTTTTGGTGTTTTAGACATGAAGTCCTTGCCCATGCCTATGTCCTGAATGGTATTGTCTAGCTTTTCTTCTAGGGTTTTTATGGTTTTAGGTCTAACATGTAAGTCTTTAATCCATCTTGAATTAATTTTTGTATAAGGTGTAAGGAAGGGATCCAGATTCAGCTTTCTACATATGGCTAGTCAGTTTTCCCAGCACCATTTATTAAATAGGGAATCCTTTCCCCATTTCTTGTTTTTGTCAGATTTGTCCAAGATCAGATGGTTGTAGATGTGTGGTATTATTTCTGAGGGCTCTGTTCTATTCCATTGGTCTATATCTCTGTTTTGGTACAAGTACCATGCTGTTTTGGTTACTGTAGCCTTGTAGTATAGTTTGAGGTCAGGTAGTGTGATGCCTCCAGCTTTGTTCTTTTGGCTTAGGATTGACTTGGCAATGCGAGCTCTTCTGTGGTTCCACATGAACTTTAAAGTAGTTTTTTCCAATTCTGTGAAGAAAGTCATTGGTAGCTTGATGGGGATGGAATTGACTCTGAAAATTACCTTGGGCACTATGGCCATTTTCATGATATTGATTCTTCCTACCCATGAGCATGGAACGTTCTTCCATTTGTTTGTATCCTCTTTTATTTCGTTGAGCAGTGGTTTGTAGTTCTCCTTGAAGAGGTCCTTCACATCCCTTATAAGTTGGATTGCTAGGTATTTTATTCTCTTTGTAGCAATTGTGAATGGGAGTTCACTCATGATTTGGCTCTCTGTTTGTCTGTTATTAGTGCATAAGAATGCTTGTGATTTTTGTATATTGATTTTGTATCCTGAGACTTTGCTGAAGTTGCTTATCAGCTTAAGGAGATTTGGGGCTGAGACAATGGGGTTTTCTAAATATACAATCATGTCATGTGCAAACAGGGACAGTTTGACTTCCTCTTTTCCTAATTGAATACGCTTTATTTCCTTCTCCTGCCTGGTTGCCCTGGCCAGGACTTCCAACACTATGTTGAATAGGAGTGGTGAGAGAGGGCATCCCTGTCTTGTGCCAGTTTTCCAAGGGAATGCTTTCAGTTGTTGCCCATTCAGTATGATATCAGCTGTGGGTCTGTCATAGATAGCTCTTATTATTTTGAGATACATCCCATCAATACCTAATTTATTGAGACGTTTTAGCATGAAGGGCTGCTGAATTTTGTCAAAGGCCTTCTCTGCATCTATTGAGATAATCATGTGGTTTTTGTTGTTGGTTCTGTTTATATGCTGGATTACATTTATTGATTTGCATATGTTGAACCAGCCTTGCATCCCAGGGATGAAGCCCACTTGATCATGGTGGATAAGCTTTTTGATGTGCTGCTGGATTTGGTTTGCCAGTATTTTACTGAGGATTGTTGCATTGATGTTCATCAGGGATATTGGTCTAAAATTCTCTTTTTCTGTTGTGTCTCTGCCAGGCTTTGGTATCAGGATGATGCTGGCCTTATAAAATGAGTTAGGGAGGATTGCCTCTTTTTCTATTGATTGGAATAGTTTAGAAGGAATGGTACCAGCTCTCCTTGTACATCTGGTAGAATTCAGCTGTGAATCCGTCTGTTCCTGGACTTTTATTCGTTGGTAAGCTATTAATTATTGCCTCACTTTCAGAGCCTGTTATTGGTCTATTCAGAGATTCAACTTCTTCCTGGTTTAGTCTTGGGAGGGTGTATGTGTCCAGGAATTTGTCCATTTCTTCTAGATTTTCTAATTTATTTGCATAGAGGTGTTTATAGTATTCTCTGATGGTAGTTTGTATTTCTGTGGGATTGGTGGTGATATCTCCTTTTTCATTTTTTATTACGTCCATTTGATTCTTCTCTCTTTTCTTCTTTATTAGTCTTGCTAGCGGTCTATCAATTTTGTTGATCTTTTCAAAAAACCAGCTCCTGGATTCATTGATTTTTTGAACGGTTTTTGTGTCTCTATCTCCTTCAGTTCTGCTCTGATCTTAGTTATTTCTTGCCTTCTGCTAGCTTTTGAATGTGTTTGCTCTTGCTTCTCTAGTTCTTTTAATTCTGATGTTAGGGTGTCAATTTTAGATCTTTCCTGCTTTCTCTTGTGGGTATTTAGTGCTATAAATTTCCCTCTACACACTGCTTTAAATGTGTACCAGAGATTCTGGTATGTTGTGTCTTTGTTCTCGTTGGTTTCAAAGAACATCTTTATTTCTGCCTTCATTTCTTTATGTACCCAGTAGTCATTCAGGAGCAGATTGTTCAGTTTCCATGTAGTTGAGCGGTTTTGAGTGAGTTTCTTAATCCTGAGTTCTAGTTTGATTGCACTGTGGTCTGAGAGACAGTTTGTTGTAATTTCTGTTCTTTTACATTTGCTGAGTGCTTTACTTCCAACTATGTGGTCAATTTTGGAATAAGTGCAATGTGGTGCTGAGAAAAAGTATATTCTGTTGATTTGGGGTGGAGAGTTCTTTAGATGTCTATTAGGTCTGCTTGGTGCAGAGCTGAGTTCAATTCCTGGATATCCTTGTTAACTTTCTGTCTTCTTGATCTGTCTAATGTTGAAAGTGGGGTGCTAAAGTCTCCCATTATTATTGTGTGGGAGTCTAAGTCTCTTTGTAGGTCTCCAAGGACTTGCTTTATGAATCTGGGTGCTCCTGTATTGGGTGCATATATATTTAGTATAGCTAGCTCTTCTTGTTGAATTGATCCCTTTACCATTACATAATGGCCTTCTTTGTCTCTTTTGATCTTTGTTGGTTTAAAGTCTGTTTTATCAGAGATTTGGATGGCAACTCCTGCCTTTTTTTGTTTTCCATTTGCTTGGAAGATCTTCCTCCATCCCTTTATTTTGAGCCTATGTGTGTCTCTGCACGTGAGATGGGTTTCCTGAATACAGCACACTGATGGGTCTTGACTCTTTATCCAGCTTGCCAGTCTGTGTCTTTTAATTGGAGCATTTAGCCCATTTACATTTAAAGTTAATCTTGTTATGTGTGAATTTGATCCTGTCATTATGATGTTAGCTGGTTATTTTGCTCATTAGTTGATGCAGTTTCTTCCTAGCCTTGATGGTCTTTACAATTTGGCATGTTTTTGCAGTGGCTGGTACCGGTTGTTCCTTTCCATGTTTAGTGCTTCCTTCAGGAGCTCTTTTAGGGCAGGCCTGGTGGTGACAAAATCTCTCAGCATTTGCTTGTCTGTAAAGTATTTTGTTTCTCCTTCACTTATGAAGCTTAGTTTGGCTGGATATGAAATTCTGGGTTGAAGATTATTTTCTTTAAGAATGTGGAATATTGGCCCCCACTCTCTTCTGGCTTGTAGGGTTTCTGCCGAGAGATCAGCTGTTAGTCTGATGGGCTTCCCTTTGTGGGTAACCCGACCTTTCTCTCTGGCTGCCCTTAACATTTTTTCCTTCATTTCAACTTTGGTGAATCTGGCAATTATGTGTCTTGGAGTTGCTCTTCTCGAGGAGTATCTTTGTGGCGTTCTCTGTATTTCCTGAATCTGAATGTTGGGCTGCCTTGCTAGATTGGGGAAGTTCTCCTGGATAATGTCCTGCAGGGTGTTTTCCAACTTGGTTCCATTCTCCCCGTCACTTTCAGGTACACCAATCAGACGTTGATTTGGTCTTTTCACATAGTCCCATATTTCTTGGAGGCTTTGTTCGTTTCTTTCTATTTTTTTTTTCTCTAAACTTCTCTTCTTGCTTCATTTCATTCATTTTGTCTTCCATCACTGATACCCTTTCTTCCAGTTGATCGCATCGGTTACTGAGGCTTGTGCATTCGTCACGTAGTTGTCGTGCCATGATTTTCAGCTCCATCAGGTCCTTTAAGGACTTCTCTGTATTGGTTATTCTAGTTAGCCATTCATCTAATTTTTTTTCAAGGTTTTTAACATCCTTGCCATTGGTTCAAACTTCCTCCTTTAGCTCGGAGTAGTTTGATGTTCTGAAGCCTTCTTCTCTCAACTCGTCAAAGTCATTCTCCGTCCAGCTTCGTTCCATTGCTGGTGAGGAGCTGCGTTCCTTTGGAGGAGGAGAGGCGCTCTGATTTTTAGAGTTTCTGGTTTTTCTGCTCTGTTTTTTCCCCATCTTTGTGGTTTTATCTACCTTTGGTCTTTGATGATGGTGATGTACAGATGGGGTTTTGGTGTGGATGTCCTTTCCGTTTGTTAGTTTTCCTTCTAACAGTCAGGACCCTCAGCTGCAGGTCTGTTGGAGTTTGCCGGAGGTACACTCCAGACCCCGTTTGCCTGGGTATCAGAAGTGGAGGCTGCAGAACAGCAAATATTGGTGTACAGCAAATGTTGCTGCCTGATCGTTCCTCTGGAAGTTTTGTCTCAGAGGGGTATCCGGCCATGTGAGATGTCAGTCTGCCCCTACTAGGGGGTGCCTCCCACTTAGGCTACTCGGGGGTCAGGGACCCACTTGAGGAGGCAGTCTGTCTGTTCTCAGATCTCAAGCTGTGTGCTGGGAGAGCCACTACTGTCTTCCAAGCTGTCAGACAGGGACATTTAAGTCTGCAGAGGTTTCTGCTGCCTTTTGTTTGGCTATGCCCTGCCCCCAGAGGTGGAGTCTACAGAGGCAGGCAGGCCTCCTTGAGCTGTGGTGGGCTCCACCCAGTTCGGGCTTCCCAGCTGTTTGTTTACCTGCTTAAGCCTCAGCAATGGCGGGCGCCCCTCCCCCAGCCTCACTTCCACCTTGCAGTTTGATCTCAGACTGCTGTGCTAGCAATGAGCAAGGCTCCATGGATGTAGGACCCTCCCAGCCAGGCACGGGATATAATCTCCTGGTATGCCATTTGCTAAGACCGTCAGAAAAATGCAGTATTAGGGCGGGAGTGACCCGATTTTCCAGGTGCCGTCTGTCACCCCTTTCCTTGGCTAGGAAAGGGAATTCCCTGACCCCTTGAGCTTCCCGGGCGAGGCGATGCCTCGCCCTGCTTAGGCTCATGCTTGGTGTGTTGCACCCACTGTCTTGCACCCACTGTCGGACAATCCCAAGTGTGATGAACCCAGTACCTCAGCTGGAAATGCAGAAATCATCCGTCTTCTGCGTCGCTCATGCTGGGAGCTGTAGACTGGAGCTGTTCCTATTTGGCCATCTTGGAACCACCCCCCAGTTTTTTGTGTTTTAGTAGAGATGGGGTTTCACCGTGTTAGCCAGGATGGTCTTGATCTCCTGACCTTGTGATCCGCCTGCCTCAGCCTCCCAAAGTGCTGGGGTTACAGGCATGAGCCACCACACCTGGCTAAATGTTTTTATAGAGAAGGGGTGTTGCTCTGTTGCCCAGGCTGATCTCAAACTCTGGGGCTCAAGTGTTCCTCCTGCCTTGGCATCCCAAAGTGTTGGGATTGCAGGCATGAGCCACTGTGCCTGACCTGCTTTTGTTTTTATGATTACTTGATCAGGTCTCTGTCTTCCAGTTTGCCGTAAGCTCAGTGAAGACCATTTTTCGTCATTTTTGTATCCCCTGTACAATGATGCATGGTTGGCATTCAAAACTTATTAAAGAAATTTATTGAATCAAGTGCCAGAAGGCAATAAAACAATGTCTATAAAATCACGAAGGAAAAATGTTATGACCCACAAGATTAAGCTTTAATTGTACTGGTAATGTTTCACTCCCTCCTTCATTAGAAAAATTTAAATACTACAGGTAACATTAATGGGGTGTTTGACCACTGCCCACTCCCAACACCACACACATGCACACACACACACACGCATGCACACATATGTGCACACAGTGAAAATACCTTTCTTAAGAGAGATAACTACTGTTGAAAATTTAGTATGTATCCTTTCAGAATTTTCTCTATACATTTACATATATACACATGTATCTAAAAAAATACATAATACTAGTTTGTGAGAATGAGAGAGTAGGATCCTTGAGAATTTTCTACTTGGGTAAGTTGCCTTTCATTTGGGAAAGCAACAAAAAGACATTCCCAGATAAACAAGTACTATGTGTGTGTGTGTGTGTGTGTGTATATATATATATATACACACACACTATATATATATATTTAGTGTATATATACTATATATACTGTATATATAGTGTGTATAAATATATATATCACACATGTATTCTTTTCAAAGGAAGTTTTTTGAAAAACCGTTTCATTGAAGGGAAGATACAGAAAAGTTATGATAACAAAGAATTCATGGATTATCTCCACTGATTTTAAATCCCAGAATTGTATTGTGTGTTTTCAGATGAGGTCTGTGGTCAGAGGAAATCTTTCTTTACACTGTCTCACACGATGTTTGCCTTTTTGTTTCAATGCCTTTCAGTGTGCCAGGAAATTGGGGTCTTAAGGCATATTCTCCCCTCTCCAGTGACTGCAAATCTTGTTTAATAACATCATTAATAATAATGCCATTCCAGTCTTTGCTAAAAATAATCAAACACCATGTGGCTAGGATGCTGTCCTAGAATAATTGCTAGAAAAAAATCTCTCTTCTTTTCGTCACAAAAGCGTAGTTGTATGAATAACATATTGTTCATTTTATTGCCAAGGAAATTTAGATATGATTAGCTGCTATAATAATAATAAAAAATATGCTGTCTGTCATTACACTTTATCATTTTTATCTAGTATCTGTAAATGTATCTGTAATATTGATGCTTAAAATCAATATAAAAATAAATGATGTTTTAAAACATAAATAAAAATAAGTACACCAAAATGTTAACAGTTATTGTGTCTAATTTTAATTATGTGACCCTACTGTGTGACAAGTACTAAGGACAAAGCAATGGACAAGACAGACAAGAAAGAGTAGCAGAATTTTGGCTGCTTTATCCATATTTTATATTTTATGAAAATTTATACTTTCTACAAATTTGAACATTTCTCATGCTTTCACTTTCATTGCCATTAAGCTATTCATACTATTCTTCTGTAATATTCTTAAGCTTGCCTGCTTCCATAGTTTTGTCTTGTTTCATTCTTCATATTTCTTTATAGCTTATATTATAGTTTATTTGTAGCTTCTGCTTTTTTTCTTAAGCAGTTCTGCCAGAGATTTGTCAATTTCTTAAGGCTTTTCAAAGGAAAATGTTTAGTTTTGTTGGTCCCTCTACTGTAGCTTTCTTTCATAGTTCATTAATTTCTGTCCTTTCATTATTTTTTTTCTTCTATGTTAGAAGTTTAGTCTATTTTTTAACTTTATAACTTCATAATTTGGGTGCTTAGCTTATTTATTTTCAGCCTTTCTTCTTTTCTAATGTAAGCATAATAGGCTATGCATTTCCCTCTAAGTATAATATACATTTAAGACTATAAATTTCCCTCTGAGTATCACCAAATTCCATATTTTATTTTGTAGTTTTTTTATTGTTCAGTTCTAAATGCAAAAGAACTCTGAAAATAATACCTACAATCTGTACTTTGCTAACAATTTGCAATGACCACAGTCTGTCACAGTCCATATACCTTATCAAAATTTTCCAATAATCCCCAAGCTAGAAGCCATGGAGTACCTACTAGTACTAACAGTATTATGAATAATCTAAACATAAACTCTGCCTTATTTCCTGAATACAAAGGCTGTTGGCCAAACAGGCTAAGACTGCATAGCATTCATTTCCTGTGAAGTTGCCAATCCATTAATTTGGTAAATAACCTGATTTTAAATTTACCTGAATAAAAATTATTTCCTATGTATTCTTGGGAAGTCAATTTTCTGATTGTGTGTCACGTATACATCTATACACGTATTTATGTATACAAATATTAAATGAAAATTTGGATAGTGTTCAATTTAGTTACTGCTTTTGGCTTTACCACAAATTTTTTAATACTCATTATTTCTGAAAGGATTATTTAGAGGTAAGCGTTAAAATGTACAAACACATGTTTCTTAAGTTATCTCTTTGGTTTTTATTTCTAATTTGTTAGCATTGCAGTCATAGAATATGGTCTGAATAATACCAAATCTTTAAAACTTGTAAAGATTTGCTTAATTGATCAGAATCCATTTTTATAAATGTTCCATGAAACCTTGATTCAAACGTATGTTCTCCATTTGTTGGGTGAAGCACTCTATATGGCTAATAGAGTTGCTTTTTGTATTATTCAAAAATTCTAAGTTTTGAATTTTGTTCTGTTTGACTTATTGATTATTGAGAGATGTATATTTAAATCCTCCACTTTATTGTAGCTTTGTCTATTTCTCCTCAGAGTTTCATCAACTAAGAGCCATGTAATTAGGTATATGCAAGATTAAAATTGTTGTATCTTTGTAGTGAATTAAAGCTTTAACTATTATTTAGATACTCTATCTCTAGTAAAGCCTTTTGCTTTAAAGTCTGTTTTATCTGATAATAATATACATAGCTATGCCAAATTGTTTTTGGTTACTATTTGCCTGCATATACTTTTTCTCATGCTTTTAGTTTCAACTTTTCTGTGTTCTTATGTTTAAAGTCTCATATAAACAGTCATTGGATAGATTATTTAAAATTCAGTGGGACCAGCTTTGTCCTTTAACTAAAAGGTTCAATTTGTGATTTTTTTCCCACTGCCTTCTGGCTTCTGTTGTTATTGAAAGATTACCTATCTTTTTGTAGGTAATATCTTTTTTTCTCTTGCTGCTTTTAAGATCTTTTGTTTGATTATTGTGTTCTGCCATTTTACAACAGCAGATGCATATGGGTGTAAACACAATGAGTTTATAAGTGGGTTTTCTTTTAGTTGTTATGCTTGGAATTCATTGAATGTATAGAATCTGGGATTGGTATCTTTTATTATTTCTGGAATATTTTCAGCTATTATATTTCCTAATTTTCTCTCTCCATTCTTTCAACCCACTCCTTCTGAGACTATGATTAGACATGTATTGCAGCTTCTCTTTCAATTATCCATATCCTTTACCTTCTCTTTTATATTTCACATCTTCATGTCTCCCTATGAGTTCTAGAAAATTTCCTTACATCTAACTTCCAGCTTACTAAATCTCCCCTCAATTGTGTCACATCTGCTACTTAACCAATCCATAATTTTCATCGTTATATTTTTCATTTCTACAAATTCTATTCAGTTATTTTTTAAATCAGAAACTGTATATTGTCCCTTAATGTACTTTCAGTAACCTCTATTTAATTTCTTTAAACATTGAACATACCTGTTCTATATTTTAATCAGTGATAACTTCAACATATACAGACTTTGCTGGTCTAATTCTATGGTTTGGTTTCTGCTAACGCTCTCTTGCTTCCTGATATGCTCGGCGATTTATACTTGCGAGCCAAGATTCCTTGGAACTTTACCTGTGGAATTTGTTGAGGCTTGAGTTTAAAGTGAGTGTCTTCAGAGATCATTTGCATTTATCCCTACCAAATACCTGAGGACACAACCATCCAGGACCATTTTATATTAACTTTTCAGGCCTCGTGTGGTGGCTCAAACCTATAATCCCAGCACTTTGGGTGGCCAAGGTGGGGAGGATTGCTTGGGCCCATGAGTTTAGGAGTTTAAATTTAGCCTGGGTAACATAGTAAGACCCTGTCGCTACAAAAAATTTAAAATTTATTTAAAAAAGAAAAAAAATAAATTTTCAACTTGGGTGTTTTTAGGCCAAATAATAGCATGAATTCTAGTCCTGAACCTTTTCAAGTATAAACTTATGGCTCAGCAATTCTTAGAGAGTTATGTCTTTGCCCTCTAACTTAGTCCACCAACAGAGCAGGTTTTTTTCCTAGTTTTGTTCCACTCTGAGTATGTTGCCTTTCAGGGAGTTTCAGCTTTACTGAGGGGGATGTTCTCTGACCTTTCATCTGTCAAAGACCCCTATCTTACCTCTTGTTCTGAGTGTAAAGTGGTCTTTTGAACCCTGACTCTGGCTTACAGAGATCAGCAGGTATTCTTAAGGCAAACACCAGCACATGAGCAAGGTTCTCTTTAGTTTTATGTTTTTCTGTGATTTTGCCTCAGATATATTCCCTTAGTGTCTCCTACATCAACTGTACATTAAAAACAATAGGATTAGGGTTTTTCTTCTTTTATCTAGCATTTTTAAAGTGCTGCACTAGTAGGAATTTCTCTGAATGTGTACTCTGCCATATTGCCAGAATCTGAACCTTTTGATACTTTTTTGTATTTTCACATTTTCTACAAAGAATATGTTTTACTTTTATACTCTTCAAACCAGATATTTTTTCCAAAAGAGGTTATATACACCATTTTGAATATGATCACAGTAACACTGAAACATAGGACCCAGAAATATTAGAAGGAAATATGCTGAAATGTATATAGGTAGGAGAATTATAGAGAGATTTTTCTTTCTACTTTTCTGTATTTTCTGAATTTTTAATAATAAATATTTATTTTAGAGATGAAGAAAGAAAACTAGTTTTTAAGAAAAAGAATGAGAGTAAAAGACAAAAATATTATATCAAGAAACTACCCATGTAGGTAACCATATATTAGGTAAGCATTATCAGTATAACCAACTGTCAGGATATATGAAAGCATTCAAAAACATTCTCTGTGTTGTTCCATATTGACATATTGATGCTGGAATTTTCTGTCAGCCCCTTTGCCAGACTTACAGCAGGGGTGTCCTGTCTACTTGGCCTGCTGCACTTAGCTCCTTACAGGAGGGAGAACATAAGTGAGCAAGTGCAATATCTGGGCAGCCACTCTGAGCACTGACACAGGAGCAAGCTCTGCGCAGGGCCCATGGCCAGACAAGGCATGTCACCTCAAGGGGAATAAGGTAGCACCCAGGCAAGGGTGCCCACAACCCTGAAGCTCCAGAGGGGGTGTTAGTGTGCTAATTAGCTCTTTTATTTCCACCGTCCACAGCCCAATGGAGGATGGGGTGTTAGCAGCGCAGTTGGCACCTGGCCTCATTGTGTGGGGTGGCTGCCCTCCACTGGTGGGGGAAAAGGCCACTGTGACAGTCTTTCTGGGTACCTGCACTTGGTGGGTCCCAAGCATAAAAGAAGGATGAAAATATACTGATAATCAAAGGGTGAGCAAGACGGGGAGTTTCACTGAGTGATGACACAGCTTTCCATGGAGAGGGGACATGGAGGTGGTCCTCCTACCTGAAGGTGGGAAAGTCCCCCCAGTGTGGCTGAGTCTGGGACTTTTATGGGCCCAGAATAAGGGAGGCGCAGGCCATACATAGTATTGGAAAAGGCAATATTTGACTGGTTAAAAGGCATTATTCAGAAAGAATCAATTGGGAAAGGGCTGGCAAATAGGAACAGACGTTCTCACTCTGGGTCATGGGTTTAATCTGGGACCAGCAGTCTGGTCTTTCAGCCTTCAGGCTGTTTTTTCGCTTGAAGGTGGAGTTTCACTGGGGACCCGCCCCTATCTGCCTAGGCATTTGGCTATCTCCTCTCACTATCAATAGGGCTGGTTATAGATGTTTTTTTTTTTTTTTTTACTGAACCCTTGTACCATATGGTTATGCATCTCTGGGCTTGGAAGGGTCTGATTTGCATGTATTTATTTGTATGTACTTACATGTATTGACCTACTTACCTATCTTTCTCTGCCTGCTTACCTGACTGCATCCTCACCTGCTCCTGGGCTATGGCCTGCCATTGGCTGATTCCTTTGGCCTCTTCCTTAGGAACCCCTTCAGGCTAAGCACTAAGGATGCTCATCTTTATCTTAAAGGAAGGCTTAACACAGTAATTGAGGTGTAGAAGGCCTTTAACAAATGTCTGGTGGAGAGAAGGACAATTCCCATGATTATATGAATAATAGGCTTTATGGTACAACTGGAAGATTGTTTTCCTCTCATATACATACAAAAAACTCCCCAAAACAACTAGACATAAAGCCTCAAACTTCACTATCACAGAAAGTTTTTTTTTAAATAAAAGACCTGTTATTTGAGGTCTTTATTGAAAACAAAATGCAAGAAGGCAAGTAGCCCTGACAGGTGCTCATTTTCAAAATCAAGCCCATTTTCACTCACAGCTGCCTTACCTCTAATGGGTTAAACTAATTAGACAACTGAGAGAGACCTGTGGGCCTGGTTTCAATTCACAACAATCCACACAATGCTTGAGACTGCATTGTGTAGGCACCAGAAGAAAGCAGGAATAGGCCAGCTAACATCTATAGGCAGGCCCAGGAGTAGCAGGTAGGAGGCAGCAGCCTCACTGTGGGGAGGAGTGAGCCTAGAAAGTTGTTTGAGGTTCAAATGACACAAACTAAGTAAGAGCCTTGGTGAACTGGAAAGCCCTAGGCAAAGCTTGGGGGCTAATATTATTGTAGAGAGAAAGTGTCTGTGAACTTCCAGAAAGTCGATTGCCTTATTCACTATTCAGCTGGGGCTGGCCCTGTTCAGCCATGGGTGGAGAGAAAGCAAGGACCCCAGGGTGTTTTTGAGAGGCCTCAAACTTAATGCTTGTCTAAGCTACCACCCTCCTGGTTGACCATGGACAGAAGAAATAAGCTTCTTTTTAATGCATATCCTAGGGAGTGATTACAACAAATCCCACAGTGCTCTTAGGGATTTTGAGTCAATTGTTGTGCTTCCTTCATGCTGTTTAGTTTGCTCTCAGAAACCTGAGCAGCAAGCAGGTAAGTCTCCAGCAATCCACCCCACTCACCCCACCCCTTCCTCTTAAAGACATCTTAAGGGGCAATTGCTCCAACAATCTGCCCTTCTGGGCTGAATGAGGCCTCAGCTTCCAAATGCTTAACAGCATGCCAGGGTAAGGAGAACACATAAGGCACAAAATCTGCTTCCCCAAGAAGAGCAGCTCTGGGAATTCTCTCAGTTTCACAGTCTCCCTCTCTCACAACTCTTGGTTAATTTTTTTAGGACAAAGACAAAACTAACAGATGATTTTTAAAAATATCCAATGCTTTATTTGTTCAATATGAATATAGGAGTTTAGCATAGATGGAAGGAATTAATCAAAGAGGCAATTGCATTTGTAGTCATCTATTTGACGAATCCCAACTGAAGTTCAAAACAGTAGAAAAAAGGACAAAGAGGGCAAAGAGAAGGAGAGGTGCAACCCTCCAAATAAGCAGACATTGCCCAGAGGTATATAGGCAGGATGTTCTAAACAGGAATTTTAAGTATCAGATACTGACATATTTGTAAAGTCCTTTTCCCCTTGTCTACAAAAATGACATCCACGTTGCCACAGCCTTTTCTCAAGTGACAAGTACAAACCAACACAGGTGTTAGTGAAAGAAGGGCCCACCAAAAAATGGGGAAAAGTTAAAAATATATGCATAGAGATAAAAGATAACAGTTTGGCAAGGATGACAGCTTGTTTGCAGCCGAGGCCCCATTGTCACATCATATATCCTTCTACAAGCTTGCTCTCATGCTCCAGCTGTGCCCCTCTACCACTGTTTCATTTGACCAAAGAAAACCCAAGTGCCTATGTTTGGCTTTCAAGTACCTGCTTGATCTGATCCTCTACTTACTTTTCTAGCCTTCTCTCACGTGGACTCTGGAACTGGACTGCTGGTGCTGAATCTGGCCTCTGCCACTTAGACCTTGGGTAGGTAACTGGGTTTTTCTGTGCCTCAGGGTAATATAATGTTTCACAAATGCTGTCTTGACCCAGTTTTGAGATTATGGCTAAAAATCTGTCAATTCTCCTTTGCAGGTAGTTTCCTAAATCCACATTCCAACCTCCTTTATTGGGCTCTAATTTACATAGGTTGCAACTTACACATCCAGCTGCCTGATGCCGAAGCTCTAAGGATGTGGCCCCTTCTTCCTTGCCCTTGCAGAAGCATTAAAAATATCCAAACCACAAGAAGCCTGAGAAACCTAGCTAACCCCATCCACTTGCCATACACGAGCCCCCTTTTAACAGTTCCAGCTGCTGTTACCCTTTCCCTGGGGGTAGCACCCTGTGTGACTCTGTGCAGCAGCCTTTTCTCATAAGGAGCTATAAGGAATAAAGTGTCTGCCTTTCACCTGTCCAGGGGTCCTTGTGTTCTGCCCCACCCATCATCCAAACTTAACAAATGTTTAAATAATAAAACACTCTGTTTCCTCATCTATAACATGAGTATGATTAGTACTATTGATTATAACTGCCTCATGGTAATGTTATGAGAATTAAATAAGTTAATATTTGTAAAGTGCTTAGAAGCTAGGCCAGTGTTTGTTAAATAAATAAAATAAATGGTGAAATCTAACTACTGGAGGCTGCCTGAATGTGGCATATATATACTATCTCTGTGACTTTCTCACACTGCTGCTTCCTCCGAGGGTACTGTTTTTTCCATCCAAGCTTTTTTGTGTCCAAATCCTTCCTATTCTTTAAGTTCCAGTTTTAATGTCATATCATTACATGGATTGGGTTGTCTGTCTTGTTCCAGTTAGTTTTCTCACAGAAACCTAAGCACCAAGCAGGCCAGTCTCCAGCAATCCAATCCCCACCTTCCTTTCAAAGACATCTTAAGAGTAATTGTGCCAGCAATGATGACATCGATACACACAACTGGAAGTAACTTGTCCATTTAACTCTCATAGTACCTATTTCTTGGTTGCATAAAATCATAGACTTATGGAGCTAAAAGAAAGCCAAAGTCAGCATGTATCAAGTAGGAGGTCTGTCCAAATTCTCAGCCTCTGCTCAAATCTTCTTCAGGCATTCATTTTTGGCCTCATGCAGCTGGTTGTGGAGGAAGCCACTGAGTGTGGCAGAGCACCACCCAATACCCTCTAAAATTTCAAAATGTCTCATGCTTTCCTCTTCTCTTAACCCAAATCCTGGTTTTACCTTCACTCTATAAAGTTCTAGAGTAGAGGTTGCAAAATGGCAGCCTGCAGTGCCAAGTCTGTGTTTTGTTTATCCTACATGTGGGTTTTTTTTTTCTACAGAGTGTTTTACACTTTTTAAAATTAGCTGCCAGCATTCAAAAATTCAGAGCTTTCATATAAATTTCTGGATTTCTGGATCCTCTTGAAAAATTAAAAGATATAGTTATATTGAATCTCCAATTCCAGGAGGCAAAAATTAACTGAGGCTAAATAGGGGCAGTCCCTAAAGAGAGGCATGTGCCTTGCACAGTTCTCACTTTATATGGTTTGGCCTTGTCCCCACCCAAATCTCATCTCAAACTGTAATCCCCATAATCCCCACATGTCTAGGGAGAGGCCTGGTGGGAGAAAATTGAATCATGGGGTCAGTTTCCCCATGCTGTTTTTGTGATAGTGAGTGAGTTCTCATGGGATCTGATGGCTTTATAAGGGGATCTTTCCCCTTTCCTCCTAGCACTTCTCTGTCCTGCTCCCTTGTGAGGGAGGACGTGTTAGCTTCCCTTTCTGCCATGATTGTAATGCAGCAATGCAGCAATGCAGCAATGCAGAACTGTGAGTCAATTAGACCTCTTTCCTTTATAAATTACCCAGTCTCAAGTAGTATCTTTATAGCAGTATGACAATGGACTGAAACAGTAAATTGGTACCACAGAGACTGGGGTACTGCTATAAAGATACTTGAAAATGTGGAAGTGACTTTGGAACTGGATAACAGGGAGAGATTGAAACAGTTTGGATGGCTCAGAAGAAAACAGGAAGATGTGAGGAAAGTGGGTAACTTCCTAGAGATTTGTTGAATGGTTTTGACCAAAATCCTGATAGTGATGTGAACAATGAAGTCTAGGCTAAGGTGGTCTTAGATGGAGATGAGAAACTTGTTGGGAACTGGAGTAAAGATCACTCTTGCTATGTTTTAGCAAAGACACTGGCAACATTTTGCTCCTGTTCTAGAGATCTGTGGAACTTTGAACTTGAGAGGGATGAATTAGGGTATCTGGTGGAAGAAACTTCTAAGCAGCAAAGTGTTCAAAAGGTGACAGAGCATAAAAGTTTGGAAAATTCTCAGCCTGACCATGCAATAGAAAAGAAAAATCCATTTTCTCGGAAAAATTCAAGCCAGCTAAAGGAATCTGCATAAGTAATGAGGAGCTGAATGTTAATCACCAAGACAATGGGGAAGCTGTCTCCAGGGCATGTCAGAGAACTTCATGGCAGCCTCCGCCATCATAGGCCCAGGGGCCTAAAAGAAAAAAAATGGTTTTGCAGGCCGGGTCCAGGGCCCTTCTGCTGCTCTGTGCAGCCTCAGGACGTGGCGTTCCGTGTCCCAGCCTTGGTTATAAGGGGCCAATATACAGCTCAGGTTGCTGCTTCAGAGGGTGCAAGCTCCAAGCCTTGGCAGATTGCATGTGGTTTGGGGTCTGGGGGTGTACAGAAGTCAAGAATTGAGATTTGGGGAAGGTGGAGCCAAGATGGCCAAATAGGAGCAGCTCCAGTCTACAGCTCCCAGCGTGAGCGACACAGAAGATGGGTGATTTCAGCATTTCCAACTGAGCTTTGAAGAGAGTAGTGGTTCTCCCAGCACGCAGCTTGAGACCTGAGAACGGGCAGACTGCCTGCTCAAGTGGGTCCTTGACCACCAAGCAGACTAACTGGGAGGCACCCCCTAGTAGGGGCAGACTGACACTTCACACGGCTGGCTATACCTCTGAGACAAACTTCCAGAGGAACAATCAGGAAACAGCATTTGCGGTTCACCAATATCTGCTGTTCTGCAGCCACCGTTGCTAATACACAGGCAAACGGGGTCTGGAGTGGACTTCCAGCAAGCTCCAACAGACCTGCAGCTGAGGGTCCTGACTGTTAGAAGGAAAACTAACAAACAGAAAGGACTTCCACACCAAAAACCCACCTGTACATCACCATCATGAAAGACGAAAGGTAGATAAAACCACAAAGATGGGGAAAAAACAGAGCAGAAAAACCAGAAACTCTAAAAATCAGAGCGCCTCTCCTCCTCCAAAGGAACGCAGCTCCTCACCAGCAATGGAACGAAGCTGGACGGAGAATGACTTTGACGAGTTGAGAGAAGAAGGCTTCAGAACATCAAACTACTCCGAGCTAGAGGAGGAAGTTCGAACCAATGGCAAGGAAGTTAAAAACCTTGAAAAAAAATTAGATGAATGGCTAACTAGAATAACCAATGCAGAGAAGTCCTTAAAGGACCTGATGGAGCTAAAAACCATGGCACGACAACTACGTGACGAATGCACAAGCCTCAGTAACTGATGCGAACAACTGGAAGAAAGGGTATCAGCGATGGAAGACAAAATGAATGAAATGAAGCAAGAAGAGAAGTTTACAGAAAAAAGAATAGAAAGAAATGAACAAAGCCTCCAAGAAATATGGGAGTATGTGAAAAGACCAAATCTACGTCTGATTGGTGTACCTGAAAGTGACGGGGAGAATGGAACCAAGTTGGAAAACACTCTGCAGGACATTATCCAGGAGAACTTCCCCAATCTAGCAAGGCAGCCCAACATTCAGATTCAGGAAATACAGAGAACGCCACAAAGATACTCCTCGAGAAGAGCAACTCCAAGACACATAATTGCCAGATTCACCAAAGTTGAAATGAAGGAAAAAATGTTAAGGGCAGCCAGAGAGAAAGGTCGGGTTACCCACAAAGGGAAGCCCATCAGACTAACAGCTGATCTCTCGGCAGAAACCCTACAAGCCAGAAGAGAGTGGGGGCCAATATTCCACATTCTTAAAGAAAAGAATCTTCAACCCAGAATTTCATATCCAGCCAAACTAAGCTTCATAAGTGAAGGAGAAACAAAACACTTTACAGACAAGCAAATGCTGAGAGATTTTGTCACCACCAGGCCTGCCCTAAAAGAGCTCCTGAAGGAAGCACTAAACATGGAAAGGAACAACCGGTACCAGCCACTGGAAAAACATGCCAAATTGTAAAGACCATTGATGCTAGGAAGAAACTGCATCAACTAACGAGCAAAATAACCAGCTAATATCATAATGACAGGATCAAATTCACACAAAACAATATTAACTTTAAATGTAAATGGGCTAAATGCTCCAATTAAAAGACACAGACTGGCAAGCTGGATAAAGAGTCAAGACCCATCAGTGTGCTGTATTCAGGAAACCCATCTCACGTGCAGAGACACACATAGGCTCAAAATAAAGAGATGGAGAAAGATCTACCAAGCAAATGGAAAACAAAAAAAGGCAGGAGTTGCAATCTGAATCTCTGATAAAACAGACTTTAAACCAACAAAGATCAAAAGAGACAAAGAAGACCATTACATAATGGTAAAGGGATCAATTCAACAAGAAGAGCTAACTATCCTAAATATATATGCATCCAATACAGGAGCACCCAGATTCATAAAGCAAGTCCTTAGAGACCTACAAAGAGACTTAGACTCCCACACAATAATAATGGGAGACTTTAACACCCCACTGTCAACATTAGACAGATCAAGAAGACAGATAGTTCACAAGGATATCCAGGAATTGAACTCAGCTCTGCACCAAGCAGACCTAATAGACATCTAAAGAACTCTCCACCCCAAATCAACAGAATATACATTCTTCTCAGCACCACATTGTACTTATTCCAAAATTGACCACATAGTTGGAAGTAAAGCATTCCTCAGCAAATGTAAAAGAACAGAAATTATAACAAACTGTCTCTCAGACCACAGTGCAATCAAACTAGAACTCGGGATTAAGAAACTCACTCAAAACTGCTCAACTACATGGAAACTGAACAATCTGCTCCTGAATGACTACTGGGTACATAATGAAATGAAGGCAGAAATAAAGATGTTCTTTGAAACCAACGAGAACAAAGACACAACATACCAGAATCTCTGGTACACATTTAAAGCGGTGTGTAGAGGGAAATTTATAGCACTAAATACCCACAAGAGAAAGCAGGAAACATCTAAAATTGACACCCTAACATCAGAATTAAAAGAACTAGAGAAGCAAGAGCAAACACATTCAAAAGCTAGCAGAAGGCAAGAAATAACTAAGATCAGAGCAGAACTGAAGGAGACAGAGACACAAAAACCGTTCAAAAAATCAATGAATCCAGGAGCTGGTTTTTTGAAAAGATCAACAAAATTGATAGACCGCTAGCAAGACTAATAAAGAAGAAAAGAGAGAAGAATCAAATGGACGTAATAAAAAATGAAAAAGGAGATATCACCACCAATCCCACAGAAATACAAACTACCATCAGAGAATACTATAAACACCTCTATGCAAATAAATTAGAAAATCTAGAAGAAATGGACAAATTCCTGGACACATACACCCTCCCAAGACTAAACCAGGAAGAAGTTGAATCTCTGAATAGACCAATAACAGGCTCTGAAAGTGAGGCAATAATTAATAGCTTACCAACGAATAAAAGTCCAGGAACAGATGGATTCACAGCTGAATTCTACCAGAGGTAAAAGGAGAGCTGGTACCATTCCTTCTAAACTATTCCAATCAATAGAAAAAGAGGCAATCCTCTCTAACTCATTTTATAAGGCCAGCATCATCCTGATACCAAAGCCTGGCAGAGACACAACAGAAAAAGAGAATTTTAGACCAATATCCCTGATGAACATCAATGCAACAATCCTCAATAAAATACTGGCAAACCAAATCCAGCAGCACATCAAAAAGCTTATCCACCATGATCAAGTGGGCTTCATCCCTGGGATGCAAGGCTGGTTCAACATATGCAAATCAATAAACATAATCCAGCATATAAACAGAACCAACAACAAAAACCACATGATGATCTCAATAGATGCAGAAAAGGCCTTTGACAAAATTCACGAGCCCTTCAGGCTAAAAACTCTCAATAAATTAGGTATTGATGGGATGTATCTCAAAATAATAAGAGCTATCTATGACAAACCCACAGGTGATATCATACTGAATGGGCAACAACTGGAAGCATTCCCTTGGAAAACTGGCACAAGACAGGGATGCCCTCTCTTACCACACCTATTCAACATAGTGCTAGAAGTCCTGGCCAGGGCAACCAGGCAGGAGAAGGAAATAAAGCGTATTCAATTAGGAAAAGAGGAAGTCAAATTTTCCCTGTTTGCACATGACATGATTGTATATTTAGAAAACCCCATTGTCTCAGCCCCAAATCTCCTTAAGCTGATAAGCAACTTCAGCAAAGTCTCAGGATACAAAATCAATGTGCAAAAATCACAAGCATTCTTATACACTAATAACAGACAAACAGAGAGCCAAATCATGAGTGAACTCCCATTCACAATTGCTACAAAGAGAATAAAATACCTAGGAATCCAACTTACAGGGGATGTGAAGGACCTCTTCAAGGAGAACTACAAACCACTGCTCAACGAAATAAAAGAGGATACAAACAAATGGAAGAACATTCCATGCTCATGGGTAGGAAGAATCAATATCATGAAAATGGCCATAGTGCCCAAGGTAATTTATAGATTCAATGCCATCCCCATCAAGCTACCAATGACTTTCTTCACAGAATTGGAAAAAACTACTTTAAAATTCATGTGGAACCAAAGAAGAGCTTGCATTGCCAAGTCAATCCTAAGCCAAAAGAACAAAGCTGGAGGCATCACGCTACCTGACTTCAAACTATACTACAAGGCTACAGTAACCAAAACAGCATGGTACTTTTTACCAAAACAGAGATATAGACCAATGGAACAGAACAGAGCCCTCAGAAATAATACCACACATCTACAACCATCTGATCTCGGACAAACCTGACAAAAAGAAGCAATGGGAAAAGGATTCCCTATTTAATAAATGGTGCTGGGAAAACTGACTAGCCATATGTAGAAAGCTGAAACTGGATCCCTTCCTTACACCTTATACAAAAATTAATTCAAGATGGATTAAAGACTTACATGTTAGACCTAAAACCATAAAAACCCTAGATGAAAACCTAGGCAGTACCATTCAGAACATAGGCATGGGCAAGGACTTCATGTCTAAAACACCAAAAGCAATGGCAACAAAAGCCAAAATTGACAAATGAGATCTAATTAAACTAAAGAGCTTCTGCACAGCAAAAGAAATTACCATCAGAGTGAACAGGCAACCTACAGAATGGGAGAAAATTTTTGCAACCTACTCATCTGACAAAGGGCTAATATGCAGAATCTACAGTGAACTCAAACAAATTTACAAGAAAAAAACAAACAACCCCATCAAAAAATGGGTGAAGGATATGAACAGACACTTCTCAAAAGAAGACATTTATGCAGCCAAAAAACACATGAAAAAATGCTCATCATCACTGGCCATCAGAGAAATGCAAATCAAAACCACAATGAGATACCATCTCACACCAGTTAGAATGTCAATCATTAAAAAGTCAGGAAACAACAGGTGCTGAAGAGGATGTAGGGAAATAGGAATGCTTTTACACCGTTGGTGGGACTATAGACTAGTTCAACCATTGTGGAAGTCAGTGTGGCAATTCCTCAGGGATCTAGAACTAGAAATACCATTTGACACAGCCATCCCATTACTGGGTATATACCCAAAGGATTATAAATCATGCTGCTATAAAGACACCCGCACACATATGTTTATTGCGGCATTATTCACAATAGCAAAGACTTGCAACCAACCCAAATGTCCAACATTGATAGACTGGAATAAGAAAATGTGGCACATATACACCATGGAATACTATGCAGCCATAAGAAATGAGTTCATGTCCTTTGTAGGGACATGGATGAAGCTGAAAACCATCATTCTCAGCAAACTTTCACAAGGAAAAAAACCATACACCACATGTTCTCACTCATAGGTGGGAACTGAACAATGAGAACACATGGACACAGGAAGGGGAACTTCACACACTCGGGACTGTGGTGGGGTGGGGAGAGGGGGGAGGGATAGCATTAGGAGAGATACCTAATGCTAAATGATGTGTTAATGGGTACAGCACACCAACATGGCACAAGTATACATATGTAACAAACCTGCACGTTGTGCACATGTACCCTAAAACTTAAAGTATTTTAAAAAAAGGATTAGATTAAACTTGTCTCTAAGGAAATTAAAAAAAAAAAAGAATTGCAATTTGGGAACCTCTACTTAGATTTCAGAGGAGGTATGGCAATGCCTGGATGTCCAGGCAGAAGTTTGCTTCAGGGGTGGAGCCCTCATGAAGAACCTCTGCTAAGGCAGTATGGAAGGGAAATGTGAGGTTGGAGACCCCACACAGAGTCCCCCCTGTGGCACTGCCTAGTGGAGCTGTGAGAAGTGGCCACCGTCCTCCAGACCTCAGAATGGTAGATCCAACAACTGCTTGCACCATATGTCTGGAGAAGCTGCAGATGCTCAATGCCAGCCTGTGAAAGCAGCCAGGCAGGGGGCTGTACCCTGCAAAGCCACAGGGGTGGAGTTGCTCAACACTGTGGGAGCCCACCTCTTGCATCAGTGTGACTTGAATGTGAGATATGGAGTCAAAGGAGACAATTTTGGAGCTTTAAGATTTAATGACTCCCCTGTTGGATTTTGGACTTGTATGGGTGGGACATGTAGTCCCTTTGTTTTGGCCAATTTCTCCCATTTGGAATGGGAGCATTTATCTAATGCCTGTACCCACATTGTATCTTGTAAGTAACTAACTTGCTTTTGATTTCAGGCTCCTAGGCAGAAGAGACTTGCCTTGTCTCAGATGAGACTTTGGACTTGGATTTTTGAGTTAATGCTGGAATGAGTTAAGACTTTAGGGAACTGTAGGGAAGGCATGATTGATTTTGAAACATGAGGAAATGGGATTTGGGAGGGGCCAGGGGTGAAATGATATGATTTGGCTGTGTCCCCACCCAAATCTCATCTTGAATTATAATCCCCATAATCCCCACGTGTCTAGGGAGAGACCTGTGGGAGGTAATTGGATCATGGAGACAGTTTTCTCCATGCTGTTCTTGTGATAGTGAGTGAATTCTCACAAGATCTGATGGTTTTATAAGGAGCTCTTTCCCCTTCACTCCTCGCACTTCTCTCTCCTGCTGCCTTGTGAGGAAAAATGTGTTTGCTTCCGCTTCCAGTATGATTATAAGTTTTCTGAGGCTTCTCTAGCCATGTGGAACTATAAGTCAATTAAACCTTTTTCCTTTATAAATTACCCAGTCTTGGGTAGTATCTTTATAGCAGTGTGAGAACAGACTAATACATCACCCATCTCCATTATCTCCCTGAGCAGGGCACTTCAGTTTGGTTATGTCACCTGATTATTCATTGTGGACTTTGAGTTTGAAACTCTTGACTATGAGAGTCTGGCTACATCTATTTGCGCATTCAAATTCAAAACATAACTGAGAATAAATGTGAGAGGAGCATGTTTCTTCTTCCTTTGTTGCTAAAATTTTTTCATTCAAAATAGAGAAAACCATAGGGACACTGTTTGAAACCCCCAACTTCTAAGAATTTGAAACAATGTTTTGATGGAGACATAATCAAGGATCTAAGAATGCCAAAGTCCCATCCCAGCAGTTATACTAGTCCCTTCCTTCTGCCCTCTCCAGCCCCTCCTAAGGGAACGTTGTATAATCACACAGTGTTGCATGGGAAAAATAGGGCAATAGGATTAGAGATGTAGGTTGAATGGGACTTTCTTCCTCATGTTGTTTTCTATTTGGGTTGCAATTAGACAAATATAATGAATTTTCAGCTTTAGCCAGAAACACTTGCAGATTTAGCTTTCTGGAACAGTCTCTAATTGCATTAGAAATAAAGATGGGGATGTAATTTAAAGAAGGAAAGGAAAAAACGACTTGAACTCAAGGAGAAAAAATAAATTATTCACAAAGCCAAAATGAGGCTTGGGGATAGGCAGTGATTCACAAAGGCACCTAGAGGCTACCTCCACTGGAAAAGTTATCCTCACAGAACCCTAGTACATTTCCATGTAACCCCAGGGTTCCAGAAGCCTTTGAAAAGGGATGCATTAGATGTTATAATAGTGTAGGGAAGGAAAAGTAATTTTCTGTCTTCCCTTCATAGTTCTTAGCTGGGATAGACTCCTGTAACAAAAGAGAGATTAACAAGATAACAACAACCATAAGTTTATTAACATGTATACCTCATGTATACATGGAAGATTTACAGGGAATGAATACTTCTCAAAGAAGTGGCTTAGAAATCCAGATTATATAGCATTTTTAACAAAAAAATAGTAGATTTTTAGAGAAGTGACAGGACAAAGGAAAAATATGTTGAGTCTCCACGGATAACCAATTGAGGGAAGGCAGAAAAATGGGAGTTATTTAGATTCATCTGGTGTAGCCTCCAAGCTGATCAGGATCAAAAGTTTTCTTTAGTGATCAACTTTTGTCTTCTCTGGTAGAGAGGGAGGGAGGCTACCTTTGCCATTGTAAATTTATGTCCTACTCAGAGGCAATGGGGGAAGGGCAGAGAGTTTTCCTTGTATTTATTTCTGTTCAATTGCCTTCAGCTCAAAATAATTATCATGCCAAAGTGACATATATTGGAGTGGCATATTCTGGTCTCTTATAATAGTGATGGTAGCAGCTGTGCAGAGTGAGGCCATAGCCTCCTGACAAGAAGTGGAGACACCAGAGCAAAGCAGTTGAAAGTACAACCTCTAGAGTCAGATAAGGCACAAAAGAATAACCTCCCTGGATCTGACAGAACACTTCAATTACTCCATTGCCACAAATCTCACTGTTCTTCAATGGGCAGGTCTATGCAAACCTATCCCAAAGTCCAAGGAAGCTAAGACTTCAAAGAAAGAGACTGACATAGCCAGTTTAAACACACACACACACACACACACACACACACACACACACACACCACATTTAATAGGGACTTACAAACAGAATCCATGTTTGTATCTCGGTAGACAGTGAGACAAGATGGTGGATCCCCACATTATTACCCTCCAGACCCAGGGCTTATATACCATAGGGGAGGGGTGATTCAGGAGGGACATCTAGGACAATTGAACTACAATAGCATCAAGATTGTTTGACCTAAGGGCAGGATTTACAGTAAGTATCTGCTTTTACACAAGGAACAATAGATAAACTGGAGATCTTAAAGTCCTTTCAGGAACAGGGGTTAATCAGAAGCTAATATGGTGGATTATCATCCAAGATAGAGTTGCCTTAGCCTCCACATCCCGCTACAGATATGGATGCAAATCCTGACAACCTAACTCATTCACTTTGAGAACTCAAGCAAATAACTTCTCTGAGCCTTGGTTTCTTTGTTAATAATAATACGGCCTATGTGATAGGGCAGTTGTGAAGGTCAAATGAAGAAAGCACTTAAACATTATAGTTAGCCATCTGCATTCAATAAATCTTGGCTAATCAATTTAATTATTATTGTTAGTGTTATCAGGAACTGAAACACTACTTGGGTCAAAGAGGGATAACTCTATTTACCTTGCAGTTTAAAGCCATATTTTTATCTCTTCCCTGCTCCAACAAGTCCACAATCATAATGTCAGGGTCTCTCTCTCTTTTGGTTCACTGGCCTTTTTGTTCACTGATCTTTTCCTCAACTGGCCTGAAGTTTAGAGATATTGTTTGGGCTCAGAAAATGATATCTGAAAATACGCAGCTTTGGACTTCAAACTGAGAGCCCCTGGGGAGCAGCAAATGCAGGGAGGGGCTTTCTCTCAAGTTCCTTTACCTGTTTAGTGGAAGTTCCTCCAGAAGAAATGCAATTGTGCTCAGCACCCTCCCTATATGCTCATCAAACAAAGAAGGTTAATTCCCAGGAAAATAGACTAAAGGTTGATACTACCTATTCTTCTGAGGACTTCTACCGGAGAGACTTTATCTGTGTACAACATCAGCCTTTGTTCATCACACATTTCCTCCTCTTAACATCCCAGACCTATTGCTACCTCCCTTAAAGATACCCCAGTCTCCTATTTCTTTACGTAGTTCAAAATGCTATTTAAGTTTTGACTATCTGGTCCTTCTTTGAGTCTCCTATATTGTGGGATTCCTGTGCACATGCACATAATAAATTTGTGTGCCTTTTCTCCTGTTAATCTGTCTACTGTCTGGTTTATTCCAGAGACTCAAATTATCAAACTTTCAGAGGGTGGAAGCAAAGTTTCCTTTGCCCCTACAGTTTCTATTCTTGATGGTCTAAGATCTTTGTTTCAGCATGTGTCTGCTATCTGAGAGTTGAGCTCCTGCTTTTTAATTTTTGGGGGGACAAGGGATAAAAGATGGGAGATAAAGTCCCTATGCCATCTTATATCTTTTGAAGTTTCTCTTTTGAAGGTGGTTAAGTTTCTTTGAATCCATCACTCTAAGAATGCATGAGAACCAGTATGGGATATTCCAGTCTGACATAATAATAAAAACCTTTTTTGAGACCAACTACAAAGCACTGCTACTCCTTAATGTAATGTTGGCACTGCATTTTCAATTCCTGTCATATTAAACATTCCTTATGGGAACCAGTCTTCAAAGAACATCCTTGCTCTTCTGCGGGCTCTGCTGGTATAGTTCACTGAGAATAGAAACCTCTAGGGTATCAAAATCATGTGTTTCTAGCTGGAGACTGTAGATATAATAATTTTAAACAGTAAAGCCCAGAGAAGTAATAGAAAGTAAGACCTGCACATCTAATCAGAGGAAAAGGCAAGACAAGAACTAAATCTCTTCATTTTGGGTTCACGGCCCTTTCCACAATCCACATTAAGATAGAGAATGGTCTGGATCTCCTATTCTCACTGAACACTCATTTACTCCCAGTTTGCTCATGGGAGCCTTGGAGGAACCCCTTGGCCATAACTGTTCACCTTAGCTGTGGTTGTTGGGGAACCCCAGTGGCATCTCCAGCCAGCTCCTTCTCTTTACCCCTTTTATACTGGTACTGACATTTCCCAGACAGCCAGTCATTCTCCAGCTCCTCATTATTCATCAGAATGTAAATAGACAATTTGTATTACTCCCATGTGGAAGATTAAAAGCCCCAAGGCATATTTTCCCTGGTCTCTTCAGGGTGCTGATCAGTAGACAGCCTTTGAACTTCAGAGGTTTGGATCCCTGCAGGCCTCTGCAACTGGCTGTGGCTATAGATATTTTGAAGCAAAGAAAGCTACCTGGTTTTGCTTCTAAAAAGCAAGAATTCCCAGAAATGGAGGGTCTGTTTCCTGAGGAGGTCGTTCTTCTGATTGCATTCTGAGAGGAAATAGAAACCCTCTCACTGTGAGAGCAAGAAGAGGGGCTTTAAAAAAAAAGCAAACAAAACTGAGATATTGATACTAAGACAAGAAAAGGCACAGGAATGTAGGAGACCAGAATATGCCACCCCAAAATATGCCTCTTTGACATCAAGATTATTTTGAGCTGATTATTTTGAGAAACAGCAAAGACATGAGTATAAGCTTCTCTTTTGTAAGTGAAATTTACATTTATGAAGGAAATCTCCATCTGTAAGGGTATCTCCCTCTCCGTATCAGAATACTCTTATTAAAGGACTCTGCTTAAGTCTGCACTACAAATCTTACCCTTGTTTACCATACTTTTCCTGGTTACTTTCCCAAAACTTGCCCCCAACAACCAGAAGCCCAAAAGCTCATTTTCTTTGGTTGAAATTTAAACTGAAGTTTTGACCACCCCTTTGAATTACTCATCCTGAGTTTCTTCCATGTATGTGTGAAATATACATGTAAACTTCTGTTTGTTTTTCTCTTATTAATCTGTCTTTCATTACAGAGACCCAGCCAAGAACCTGGAAGGGCAGAAGCAAAGGATTATTTTCTCCCTTTCCTACAGAGAAAGGAGAGGAGGAAAATGGACATAGAGAAACAGGGGGAATAAGAGAGCTGAAAACTAGAACTGGGAGCCAGTGAGGCTCACATAGCAAGGAGAATATCAAGGACAAAGGTGCTGTGAAAGATGAAAGCTGTTCCACAGAAGAGACTGTTTGGGGCTCAGAAACACATACCCCAAAATATGGCATTTTGACATGCTGAACTTAAGAAAGCTCAGGTTCTGTCTGATCTCCCCACTGACTCTACCACCACCGTCTTTCCCAAAAAAAGTTGAAGATCCTCTATCTGCCTAAGATCCAGGCCCACCAAGAACAATTTATTTTTTCTTCCTCTTCCTATAAGACCAAGCATGTAACCACACCTGAAAAGATCCTTTCACTGTCAACAGAACTATTGTAACCACTGGAGGGGTTTTTCCTGCCCGCTGCACAAGTATAGACCACAGCATTATAGTAGAGAAAGAGTTTAATAGACACAAGGCCAGCCACGCCAGGTGGGAGATGGAGTTAATTCTCAAATCATTCTCGTCCAAAGTTCATAGGTTAGGGGTTTCTCAAAGGCAGTTTGGGAAAGGGGTGGCTGTGGCTATGCTTGCTATTGATTGGTTGGGGCATAGACAAAATCATGGGAAGCTGAAGCTGTCCTCCTGTAAGCTGAATCACTTCTGGGTGGGGCCACGGGAATGGGGTTGGCAGATCCAGATGAGTCCAGGTGGAGCCATGGGTGTCAGACATGCAAAAACCCTGAAAAGATACTCAAAAGGCCAATCTTAGGTGATACAATAGTGATGTTATGTGCAGGGGTAATTGGGGAAGTTGCATATCTTATAACCTCCAGGATAAGGACTGACAATTGCTTATGTCTGAGCCTTAGCAGGACTCAGGCTCCTCTCCTCCCCCCAGCCTGAAGGCCTCCCATTAACTTTACAAAAGCAGTTGAGTTTAGGGGGAGGCCTCTTATCATGTAAATTATAATCTAAATGTCTTCCAAAGTTAGCTCTGCCTAATAATCCAGTAATACTTAAGGGAAAGGCAAGATCGGGGGATGGGTTAGCTCAGATCTCTTTCACTGTTCTAATTTTCTCACTGATATAATTTTTTATCTCTCACTGTCTATTTAGGTTAAAATAATAATAATTTTTGCAAAGACAGTTTCACTACTTATAAATTAATTTCTGTTCTCAGTCCATTCATTCTCTGCAGTAATCCCCTCAATAGAATTCATCTTCCCCCCTCTCCCGTAACCAGTTTTGCCAGAATAGTATATAAGTTTCTGAACCATGTTGGGGGTGTTGGGTCTCCATTGTGAAGACTCCCATGCCTACATGTTAAATACATTTATATGGCCTTTCTCCTGTTAATCAATCTGCCTCATGTCAGTAATTTTTCAGTGAACCTTTAGGGGCCAAGGGCCTTGGCCTTCACAAGACCATCAGTAACATCATGGGTAACACCAGCCAGGGAAGATGGTCTAGCCTTCAGACAGAAAGGAGTCACACATTGAGCTTTCCATGGCTGGAAAACTCTTACCACTTACCTGAGTGAGGAGGGATGGATTGGTACAAGACTTGTGGAACTGGTTGTAGACACCTAAATAATAACACGAAGTAAGTCATAGCTATAATGTCAAATGTCATTTGAGACATTTTCTTGGGACAGCAGGCTAACCTTTACTGAAACCAGTTCTCAAGGAGAAGCTAACTACCTGTACCTCTTACTCACAGAAAGCTGAGACAGGGACTACAGAATAGAAATTTGGATGTAGAAGGCTGCAGTGACACATGTAAATGGGATTGAGTCCTTCTGTTCCCAAAGTGGAAGGTAAACTATTCCAGATGGCAGGTAAGCCTTTCCTGAGCACTACCTAGGAACATGTGGCTCACACATCTGGCCTCTTTCTCTACCAAAAAGAATAGAAAATCTAAGAGAAAAAGCACAAAAGAATAACGCTGCTGGCTCAAACACAACACTTCAAATATTTCATTCCTACAAATTCCATCTACATTCACAAAAGCCCCAGCAGTTGCACCTGCAACATTTTGGTGGCCCCAATGGGGATTGCTCGGCCACTGCTTGGGGAATGCACGGGAACTGCTTGGGGACTGCTCCCCTATTCTCTCCCTTTCCTCTCCTGCAACCCAACCTCTCAGTAGATAGCATCCAAGCCCAGAGACAACTGAAGGTCCCTAGCTGGGGCCACTCCCCAGTGGACCAGAAGGTCCCAGTAGAAAAACGTCTGACCACTGCTGCCCTGTTAGGTTCTGTACTAGTTTGTTTTTATGCCGCTGATAAAGGCATACCAGAGACTGGGTAATTTACAAAAGAAAGAGGTTTAATGAACTTACAATTTCACGTGGCTGGGGAAACCTTACAATTATGGTGGAAAGCAAGGAGGAGCAAGTTATGTTTTACATAGATGGCAGCAGGTAAAGACAGAGCTTGTGCAGGGGAACTCCTCTTTTTAAAACCATTAGATTTTGTGAGACTTATTTACTATCACAAGAACAGCATGGGAAAGACTTGCCTCCATGATTTAATTACCTCCCACCGGGTCCCTCCCACAACACATGGGAATTTAAGATGAGATTTGGGTGGGAACACAGCCAAACCATATCATTCCACCCTGTCCCCTCCTAAATTTTATGTCCTCACATTTTAACACTAATTATGCCTTCCCAACAGTCCCCCAAAGTCTTAACCTATTTTAGCATTAACTTAAAAGTTTACAGTTTAACATTTTATTTGAGACAAGGCAAGTCCCTTTCACCTGTGAGCCTGTAAAATTAAAAGCAAGTTGTTACTTCCTAGACAGAATGGGTGTATAGGCATTATGTAAATATAGCTGTTTAAAATGGGAGAAATTGGCCAAAACGAAGGGGTTACAGGGCCCACGCGAGTCTGAAATCCAGCAGGGCAGTTACATTTTAAAGCTCCAGAATGATCTCCTTTGACTCCATGTCTTACATCCAGGTTATGCTGATGCAAGAGGGGGTTCCCATGGTCTTGGGCAGCTCTGCCCCTGTGGCTTTTCAGGATACAGCCTTCCTCCTGGCTGCCTTTACAGGCTGGTGTTGAGTATCTGCAGCTTTTCCAAGTGCATGGTGTAAGCTGTTGGTGGATTTACCATTCTGCGGTTTGGAGGATGATGGCCCTCTTTTCATAGCTCAACTAGGCAGCACCCCAATGGGGACTCTGTGTGGAGGCTCTGACCCCACATTTCCCTTCCACACTGTCCTAGCAGAGGTTTTCCATGAGGGCCCTGCCCCTGCAGCAAACTTCCTCCTAGACATCTAGGCATTTCCATAAATCCTTTGAAACCTAGGCAGAGGTTCCCAAACCTCAATTCTTGACTTCTGTGCACTCGCAGTCTCAAAACATATGTGTCAGTTGCACTACTCATAGGTATTGGGAACTTTTGACCAGAAAGGATAGGAGAAAACCTCCCTCGCTTCCAGGAAAAGTAGCCAAATGTTGTCTTTTCCAATACTACCTATATAGCCTGCCCTGCCCCCATCCCAGATTCAGTTTGTAGAGCGAAATGGCCTGACTTTGGGGGAAGAGATGGCCTAACTTTGGGGAGGAGATGGCCTGACTTCAGTGGGGAGACAGCCTGACTTTGGGGAAGAGACCTTCTGACTTTGAGGAAAGATGACCTGCCCTTCCAGCTCCCCTCTCTGCTGAGAACTGTTTTCATTGCTCAGTAAAATTCTCATCCTCACCATCCTTTAATCATCAAGCATGACTTCATTCTTCTTGGATGCTGAACAAGAGCTCAGGACCCACTGAGTGCAGGTACACAGAAAGGCTGTCACATTGGCCCTTTGCCTTCACCAGCAGGAGGCAGCTGCCCCGTGCAATGGGGCCAGGGGATGACTGAGCTGCTAACACACTGCCATCCATCAGGGTGTGGATAGCAGAACAAAAGAGCTAATTAGCACACTAACAACCCCCCCGGGGTTTTGGGGTCATGGGCACCCTTGCCAGGGCAACACGGTGCTCCCCTTGAGGTGACATACCTGTTCTGGCTATGGGCCCTGGTTGTGGGCCCTGCACAGAGCTTGCTCCTGTGTTGGTAGAGTGACCAGATGGATCCTGCACTCACTTGCTCACGTGCTCCCTCCCACAAGGGGTTAAGCGTGGTGAGCTAAGTAGACAAGGAGCCCCTTCTGGGAGTTTGGCAAAGGGGCCAAGAAAAATCCTGCATCATCTTCAACTTGAATAGTCCTAAGTAGGGGTTTAAAAAAGAGCCCACACTTATTCAGACAAGCCCTAGCAAGAAGTCTAACTGAACAATCTCTTGAGGGGGGATAACTTCTGAAGTATGTAGACAACTTTCTTATCTGCCCCTCCTTCACAGGACTTGCACAGCAACATATATTATAATACAAACCATAACTTCCTAACATAAGAAAAATGACTTTTGTCTAAAGAGGTATTTTTGGTAAGGAAAGTTATAAAGAAGAAAGATTTTATAAGAGAAAGAATCTTGTACGGTAAATTCTTGTCCTAAAGTAAAATGACTGGTTGTTTAAAAACAGAGATGTTTAGGACAAGTCAGAAAGTCCAAACATGTCATAGACAGTCTGTGTAAGTCATGATAAAGTTCATGAAGGGGAATTTACTAAAGGAATTTTGTATGTGATTAAGCTGGTTATAATTAAAAGGGAATTATTTACAATGGTCTTTAAAGATTGGTCCCCTATGTTAAAACAAGGTTTTCTTAAGGTATTGATTTGCTCTTAATGAAACTAAAATAAAATTTACTTTTTATTTTGTAACATCTTAAAAATGTATCAGAATCTTATCTCAGAAATTCACCTTTTGCTGTTTCTCTCATTGCTTTCAGCTTTTCTCTTCCCTTGAAAAGGCCTAAAATAATAATTCTCTCTTTCAGCATTTTTGTCAGCTCCTGTAACTTTTTTCCTCCAGTTCTAACTGTTGTTATGACTTACTGCTAAAATGTTTTATTTTGAATGTCTAGAGAAGTAAAGATTTCCTCCATTAAAACTTAATTCTGTGCTCTTAACTTTTCTTAATATGTCTAAATTTTCAATGTAATCCAGAAACTTCTCATGCTTTAAGAGTCATATATTCCCCTGTTATACTCACAACCTTAAACACACTCTTCCTGTGTCAGATTAAATTCAAGCACATTTTTTCAAGTTTAACTTCCAGGTTATCTAAATGGGCTTCCAATAAGGAAAAACAGTCATACTGCAAAAAGTTTTGTTTTGTTTTGTTTTGTTTTTTGCCTTTTCAGTAACTGGCTTAAAAAACAAAATTTTATCTTCTAGAATTCAACAGTTTCACCTTCAAATAATGCTGCGAACAGGATATCACTCTCTCCCTAATGATGCTTGCTACCTTTACGAATCTCCACTGGATTCAGCTGGACATCAGTTTTGCCTTGACATGCTCCCCCTCTCTAATGAGTTACTTCCTCCAGCAAAATTCAATATCCCAAGTCCCACAGTCTGGGAAAATAGTCCACAGGGTCTCCTGACAGAACAACAATCACAGGTAAGGGCAACTCTATGCCCCAGACCAGTGGGAAATAGTTGGAAGATAAGACCTTCACCCCAATGCCAAAGATCTGTCATTGTTTTCTGTCATGAGAGAATGTGGAGTCCTGAAAAGATAAGTAAGCAACAAGAGGGAAGAGGTCCCACGTTGGGGAGAACAATTGTTCTGAGAGACAGCTTATCACAGACAACCTGCTGGCACAACATCCTGTTCCCAAATACCTCGTTCCACATGTGACATCTCCAGCATAAACTTACATAAAACTTCCCTCCAGCCCCTACCTCTCTGCAGACAGCCCCTTCTCTACCATGCTGCCTGTTGCTTCTTTACAACAAACTTTCCCTCTAATAAATCTTCCTTTCTTTCCTCACAACTGTCTTGGTAAATTCCTTTACTGCCTGTGACACTGGCCCCAGCAGTTGTGCCCATGACGCTAAGGATGTGTAGGGAAGTTTAAATTTTCCCTCTGAAGGTTCAATTAATTGAGTCTGCTGAAATAAATTGACAATAAACAGGAGAAAAGGCATACATATTTATTAATGTGCACCTGTGCACAGGAGCCACACAAAATGTAAGACTCAAAGAAGGGCCAGATGGCTGAAGCTTAAATAGCATAAAGGAATAAAGGCTTGAGGCTTTCATGGGAGGTGGTGACAAATTAGGGGATGTAAAGGGGAGGAACTGCATGGTGAACAAAGGTTGTCTTATAAGGCAGAGAAAAGTGTCTCCAGTAATAAAAGTTGTTGTGGAGCAGCCTCCAGAAGAATAGACAATAGCCTGTCTAGGCATGCTGATAACTTTTAATCTCTTCTCTGGTGATTAATCTTCCCTGGTTGTTTGATGAGATTTCTAGAGAGGGGGTTCAAGATAATTGCATTCCTTTTGGAAGAATTTCCCTTGATCAGAGAAAAGAACTTCAGAGACAGCCCCTCATGGAAAGAAAAGGAGGGAGCAGGAAAAGGTCAGAGAGAGACCTTGGTACTAAGGCTTATTTCAGAGGCTGTTCCATCTCCTTTGTTCAAAGCACTCAGCATGCACCAAAGCACCATATTTTGGGATATCATGTTCTGAGTCCCAACAGATAAAAAGCAGGAGATAGAAGGAGACAGGATATAACGCACCTAGGCCACTGTACAAGCTTTGGACTGGTGTTGAGATATAGGAAAACAAAACTGCTCTTCCTACTCTATTCTCTTACAGTCACTCAACACAACACTTTTGACACCAGATTCTCCAGCAGACACCAGCTGGATGTCCTCTAGTTCAATTCACATCTGACACTGTCTGCTGGAGATAGTGTCAGGTCCCACATGTTAAGAGCTCACTCCCACAAGACTTCCCCCCACTTTAGATGCAAACCATAAGTCCCAGTTGTGATCTGTACTTCTCACCAATTGGCTGTAAATCAGGGTTCCCACAAACCTCTTGTCAAGTTCACTTAATTTGCTAGAATAGCTCACAGAATTTGGGGAAGCACTTTACTTACCTTTACCCATTTATTATAAAGGATGTTATAAAGGATACAGATAAACAGCCAGATGGAAGAGATGCACAGGGCAAGGCAGGTGGGAAGTAGGGCTGAACTTCCATGCCCTCTCCAGGCACATCATCCTCCAGGCATCTCCATGTGTTCAGCCAAAAGCTCTCCCTACCTATCCCTTTTGTTTTTTAATGGAGGCTTCAATATGTAGGCATGATTTATTAAATCATTGATCATTTGTGATAACTCAACCTTTAGCCCCTCTCCCCTCCCTGCAGTTTGGGGAGGGCTGTAAGTCTCAACCCTCCAATCACACTTTGGGTTCCCCTGGCAACCAACCACCATCCAAGAGTCCCCTAGTCATCAGTCATCTCATTAGCATACAAAAAGACATGTCATTTTGGAGATTCCAAGGGTTCTAGGAGCTATGTGCCAGGAAATGAGGAAGACCAAATGTGCATATCTTAATATAAATCACAATGTCATATCGCTTATCTCCAGACTATTTGGTACATGAGAAAAATAAACTTACTGGTTTACGCCACTGAAGGATAAAGCTAAAAATTCTGAAAGACTTTAAAATAGACAAATGACCTTCAAAGGAAAGCTAGGCACTGTTTAGTGCACTCTTTCAGGTTATCTGATTCTATGGGGTCTCTGCACCTTTCTGTGTTGTTGAACTATTTTACAACTCTGTAGATTATATGTAGCTGCCAGCAATGCAAATAACTCTTGTCCATAAACATGCAAATGAATTTTGTCTGGCAAAAGTATGACTAATCTCCCATAGTTTTGTTCTACTAAGTAAATTCATTTTAGTTTATTTATTTATTATTATTATTATTTTTTGAGACAGAGTCTAGCTCTGTCGCCCAGGTTGGAGTGCAGTAGCAGGATCTCGGCTCACTGCAACTTCTACCTCCTGGGTCCAAGCAATTCTTGTGCCTCAGCCTCCTGAGTAGCTGAGACTACAGGCATGCACCACCATGCCCAGCTAATTTTTTTTTATTTTTAGTAGATACTGGGTTTTGCCATGTTGTCCAGGCTGGTCTTGAACTCCTGGCCTCAAGCAATCTGCCCATCTTGGCCTCCCAAAGTGCTGGGATTACAGGCATGCACCATTGCGACCAGCCTCATTTTTGTATTTCTGATTGCTTACATACGTCTCTACTCCTTGGGTTTTCCTTTAAATTGGTTATAATATCTTACTAGTTACCTCTTTAATTAATGAGCTCAATAAAATATTTGGCATGTGTTCATTCTATATTTGTATGAAAATCAAAATTTTACCCCTTTTAAGAAGGCATATCCTTTGGCAAGGGTTTTCTGTTATTTGCAGCCTTACTAACATCAGCTTAATTGCTGCCTATACCTAGCATGACTATATCCAAGTAAAATGACATAAAGGAGGAAAATAATTACTTCTTTCAATAACCAATCCAAGGAACTAATGTTTACAAATGGTTTTCTCCTGCTAATCTGAATTTGAAAAGAAATGGACCTGGATAAATTTTTTTGTTTCTTTGTTTTTTGAGATGGTCTTGCTCTGTTGCCCAGGCTGAAGTGCAGTGGCACTTAGCTGCCTGAGTAGCTGAGTGGTGGCACCATACTTGGCTAATTCTTTTTTTTTTTTTTGGTAGAGATGGCATCTCACTATATTACCCAGGTTGATTTCGAACACCTGAGCTCAAGGGATCCTCTCACTTTGGCCTCCCAGAGTGCTGGGATTACAGGCATGAGCCACCAAGCTTGGCCAAAGACAAGGAGAAATTTTTATTTTCTTCTACCTTCTTCCTCATAGATTTGGGAAGTGAAGCTGATGTGGTAAGAATTCTTACCTTCTGACACACTTTTGTCAGTTATCCCCGATCTAAACTGCAATTTCTAAGGTGAATGGATGTCCCAGTCTCTTATTTTCCCTTCATCATTACCAGAAACTGTAGGAAAGGAAAAAAATATTTTCTTTTCTAGGTTCTTGGCTGGGGCCCCTGTAAACAAAGACAGATTAACACAGAAAACCATATAAGTTTATTTAATATAAGTTTTATGTGACACAGAAGACTTCACAAGGAAGTGAGGACCAGAAGAAATGGATAAACCTGAGTGTTTTTATACTATGTTTCATCAATAGTGGAAAGTTACAGGAAAATGTGATAGGACAAAGGGCTATGAGCCAAGGATAGTAACCTGGGAGAAAAATTAAGTCCTTTTTGTTCAGATTCCTCTTAGCGTCTCTCCATCTTTTCCAATAAGGATCCTTTCCTCTAGCACCTCTCACATGAGGGTATTATGACCTTTTTCAGGGGAAGATTGGAGAGTCCTTCCTGCATCTCCCTTTTCTCAAATTCCTTCAGCTTAAAATACTCAATATTGCAAACCGCCATATTTTGTGGGAGTGTGCCCTGAACTCTGCCACTAGAACCTAGGCAAGAGCTGGGGCCACCATTACCACCACCACTGCTGAAAAGCACAGCAGGAGAAATAATTCATTCTACCCAACTGTAAACAAACCAGTGTTGTCCATAGTTCCCACACATTACTATTGATATCAAACCAATATCAATTTGTTCTGCCCCCATGCAGCAAGCAAGACAACAGGTTTTACAAAAGACAAAAGATTTTATTCCATCTCCTTGCTCAGCAGTGAGGAGATCACTTTTAGAAGTACATGATTAAAAGCAAGCAAAGCATGTTAAATGTGGCAGGCTTAATCAGGTTAGGCCTTGGTTTCACTATTCCCCTATTCATTATTCCCTATAGCAGAGAATGAGCAGGGACAGTGACTCAAAAGGAGTTGACTTTCCTTACAAATTTCTGGGATATTTGGTAGGAGAGAGAATTGGCCATAAAAAAATCTTGAGCCTGTGTGGCCTTTACTTTATCTTGTAGGCACTGAAGGTTTGATTTTGGGGTGAGCTTGCGCACACTAAAAGAAAGGAAGTATTAACTCCTGTTCCAAACATTCTATTTCTCTATCCACAGCAAGAGACGCCATAAAAGGGAAGAAAGGTTAATCAGGGCCCAGTCTCTTTGGTCTCTGCCATAGGAAAAAATGGTTCAAGGGCCCTTCCTCTTCTTCCTTGTATTATTTGGCCCTTGATAGCCCCAGAATGTGTCATATCTTTTCTTGATGGAAGTTCCTTGAGGGCTGGAGCATGTCTTTGTGATGGATCTCATAAAGCATCCAACACACTGAGGGCATTCTATTTAAATTAAAGAGCACCCTGGTAATTGGGATAAGAAATTAGCATTTTTCTTTCTTACAGGGATTTCTCTGCTACAATCCCAGGAGATGACCTAAATTATATCCTAATAAGCACAGGCGAATTTTGCATGAGACTATTAGATTATGTCATATGCCACCTCACCCCCAACCCCATCTGACCTTCAGGAGGCTCTAGGGGGAACTGAATTCCATTGTCTGTATTTAAAGATGTACTTTCTTGTGTATTAACATGTTAAGGATTGGTGCCAGTCCAGAAAGCACTTTCTAGAGACTTGAATAAGCAAGAAATCAGAGTTTGAATGAATATATCTTAATATTTGAAAGAGAATATTTAAACACAATATTTCAGCCTAGGTATACTTGACCTAAGGGGCAATTAAAAAAAAAAAAAACTCCCCAGGGAGAAAGAATGCTTAAAAACTACCTTTTTTCCAAAGATGTGTATATGTATATTCTAAAGTAACTCTTTAGTGGCCAGAAGTACTTTAATAGGAAAGTAAATTAGGCTTTTAAGATGCTAGTATTTCAGCGACTGTAAAATTGTCCAGGCCAGGGCTTTGGAGTCAGATAAACCATGATGTTGTTGTGGGATATCAGAAGATGCCACCCCAAAATATGAAGGATAATTGAGATGAAGGCACTTAGGAAGCAGATGCAGGAAAGCTCTTTGCCCATCCTCTATTTGCCTAAAAGCAGAACATAGATTTATAAAGACAAGAGCTATCCTGATGTTGTAGAAAAAACTGGGTTCTTGTCACATGACCAGGAAAGATTAGGCTCACAGACACTTTGAAGGGTGAGGGGAACAGAATTTATTGGGCAAAAAGGAAAAAACTCAGCAAAGTGAGAGGGGTTCCTATTAACAGGCCCTCATCTCACAGATTGAATCCCAAGTAATCACACAGGAACAGGAGAGGCCAGGCTCCACCCCTCTGCAAATGGCACAAACTTCCTGAGGTCCCACCCCATCCTCCCAGTGTGCAGGTGGGCATTATTCAGAAAAAATTAGTCGGGAAAGGGCGGGCTTCATCAGGGACTAGCAGTCTGGTTTTTCAGCCTTCAGGCTGTTTTAGGCTTGAAGGTGGAGTTTCTCCAGGGAACCATTGGCTGTCTCCTGTCTCTATCACTGACCCCCTTTCTACCAGGAAAACAAAGTTCAGCCACAGAAGACAACTTTAGACCCTTATCAGCCTGGAGATGTACCAGAGGATTTACATTAACAAGCTTTACTAACTTTACTGGCCTCTCTGTCTGCCATTTATTTGCCTTCTCACAAGTTGTTGCCCCTAGATGCTCAAAGTTCTTTTCCTTTGTCTTGTCACTTCTCTAAAAATTTACTGTTCTTTGTTGAAGATGTTTTATAAACTGTAATTAAAAGCCACCCCTTTGAGAGCTACTTGTTACCTGGGTGCCCCCCATGTGTATGTTGTAGGGGCAAAAGGAAATTTCCTTTCATCCCCTGAAGTTTAGAGAAGTTGAGTCTATAAAACAATACAATAGACAGGTTAACAGCATAAAAGACAGACAAATTTGTCACTTGAATATGCACAGGAGTCACACAAAATATGAAACTCAAATAAGGGGCAGATGGTTGAAGCTCACATGACCTCTTCAGAGGGGAGAAGTAAGTAGGGGGCATGTAGGCAATTTTAGAGGCAGAAGAAATGATTTTTAGGGGAGATGAATGGGTGTGAAGAATAGATAATAGCCTGGGACAAAATTTATCTGGGCTCTGAGTGTGGTGTCAACTCTGGTTTTTCTTCCTAGGAATTACAATTCTATTTGATAAGATTATAGGGAGGGATCCAAGACAATTGCATTTTGTTTTCTTTTTTCTTTTTTAAACGTCCCTGGACAATCTAAAGACAACTGCATTCTTTCTGGAGGAACTTCCCTTAATCAAATAAAGGAGCTTCAGGGAAAACCCCTCCCTCTGTCTTTGAAGAGGCAGAGGGGCAAGAGAGAAGGGCACTGGAGAAGGTCAGAGAACCTTGGCCTGATGGCTGCCTCCTTAGTTCAAAGTGCTCAGCATATTTGTAATAAGACAACCTTTGTTCCTGCACAACCCTGCCTCTCACCTTCCCTCCTCTCACGTTCCTGTAGTATTTGCCTTCTACTTCCTTGTGGTATGGGAGAGGGGCAGGGAAGTGCTGGGTAGAGAAAGCTAGGGTTCCTGATGAGGGCTCCACCCTTGGGCCTGTGCCCACGGACCTAAGTGAGGACAAGCACTCCTGTTTTCATGCCCAAATGTTGTATTTTCCAAGACCACTGTGCCCCACCTTGCCCCTTGCCCCATCTTGTGCTCATAAAACCCCCAAGACCCTAGTGGGCACACACAAAAGTGTATGGACATTGAGAGGAGCAGAGGAACAGAAGAGCCCACTGACAGACACCAACAGGTGCCAGCAGACCATTGAGATGGGATGACATGGAACTCAGTCTGTCGGAGGCAGTAGGAGGAGAGCCCAGCTGCTGGGCAGCCTGACTCCAGGGGAAGACCGCCTTCCCACTCCACCCCTCTTCTGGTTCTCCGGAGCTACTTCCCCAACTCAATAAAACCTTGCACTCATTCTCTAAGCCCACATGTGATCCAATTTTTCCGGTACACTAGGGCAAGAGCTCGGGATCCAGAAAGCCCTCTGTCCTTGTGATAAGGCAGAGGGTCTAATTGAGTTGATTAATACAAGCCACCTGCAGATGGCAAAACTAAAAGAGTGCACTGTAACACCTACCCACTGGGGCTTCGGGAGCTGTAAACACTCAATCCTGGAGGCTGCCATGGGGTTGGAGCCCAAAAATGCTTCCAATGACCTGCCCATCTGCATGCTCCCTCTATGGGTTTGAGCCACTCCCCTGTCACACACCCTGCAAGGGGGATAAGGGAACTCCACCCATTTCACTGGGTCCATTCATTCTCCCTAATGATTTACTGCCACTCAAAAGAATTGTCTACACTCCCTATCTCTTCCTCCCATATGAAAATGGGTATATAAGCTTCTATACCACACTGGATTATTGAATAATTATCCTCTTGTGATCCCCCAGTGTTACCCATGTTACAACAATATTTGGTATGCCTTTTCTCCTACTTAAAAAAAGGGTGTCAAAAATAGCATACTTTGGGATATCATTTCCTGAGCCCCAACAATATGAAATGTACATGTTAATAAACTTGTTTATTTTTCTCTTGTTTTTTTTAAATTTTATTATTGTTATACTTTAAGTTTTAGGGTACATGTGCACAACGTGCATGTCTGTTACATAGGTATACATGTGCCAGGTTGGTATCTTTCATTATAAGGATTTGTTCCAACTAAGAACTTATGAGGGGTGAAGAAAAAATATTTTTCTTCCCCTACATTGTCACAATAAATTAGATATATAAGGAGCTTGACAGGATGCCGGGCATGTAGCACCCAATAAAAGGACTTTATTGATGAAGTCAACAGAAGGGTATCTGGCTTCTATGACCTCACCCTTGAGGGCTGGTGTCATAAACTTAGCTCATGGGATTAATTAGATGAAAGAAAACCTTTTAAAGAGATTCTGGCTAGTAAGACACTGTAGTCATTTGAGAGAAACAAAATAAGGAAAAAGACTTTGTCTTATTTAGTCTTGTGTCTCCAGGGCCTAGACAATGTCCAGCACATAGAAGGCATTCCATAAATACTTGTTGAATCAATGAGAGAACAAATAGCAGCATACTCAGCTCCCTCCCCAATATTTATGAGCACTTTGGGGAAGAAGGGTGCTTCCATTTTCAGGGTGGTTGTCACTTACTCACTCTGAGCTCTAGCAAGTGGTCACCACTCCAGCCGCTTTTCCTCTCATGAGTCTTGTTCACCAAACTGGGACACTTACCTCTTTCTCTTCTAGTTCCTCTAACATCTCTAACACATGGCTGGTATGTGAAGGTGACCTTTTCTCTTCTGTGTTGTATTAGTTTGTTCTTGCACCACTATAAAGAACTACCTGAGACTGGATAGTTTATTAAAAAAAGAGGTTCAATTGACTCACAGTTCCACAGGCTGTACAGGAAGCATGGCTGAGGAAGCCTCAGGAAACTTATGATTATGGTGGAAGGTGAAGGGGAAGCTGGCACATCCTTACATGGCTGGAGAAGGAGGAAGAGAGAGCAGGTGGGGTGGGGTGCTACACACTTTTAAACAACCAGATCTTGTGAGAACTCACTCACTATCACAAGAATAGCGAGGGAAAAATCTATCCCCATGGTGTAATTACCTCCCACCAAGCCACTCCTCCAACACTGGGGATTACAATTCAACAAGAGATTTGGGCAGGAACACAAATCCAAACCGTATCATGTGTGAAGCAGAAGAGAATTATAGCACTGTTCAGGACAACATTCCCCTTGTAAATTTAGCCTCTAGACCATTTCTGCCACGGAAGATTCCATTTTGGATCAGTTCTCTCCAGAGTTCTGATGTCCCATCAGGTACTTGGGGCTGGTCCTCACATCTCCTCACTCCCTAGAGATCTGCACTCGCCCAGCCTTGGCTCTTACACTGACAGATTGGTGTGGGGCTGAGAGTCATAAGAAGGGGGAACTCAATTCTGTTCAAGCAGAGCAGTAGGCCTCATTGTCATAATCGCTCTCTTTCAAACAATACCAAATCCTTGTCTTTCAGAACCAAAAGCCATTAACCTGCTGCTTAAAGAAAATTACCATGCCCTTCTTCTTTATCTCCTCTGGCCTCTTAGTTGTACCAAGAACTAGCAGAAGCTGTGGAGGTACAGATTTTCTTTAAGAGCTTCATAGGAGCCCTTGCCAGCTCTCAAGCAAAATTCAAGATCTAAGAACCTTTGCTTTACTCCCTTTCAAGTATCTTTGCAAGTATAATACTTAAAATTTCATAGAATCTATAGTTTCCTTCCGTTTCCAGAGCAAACCCCAAGACTTGTGCCTTTTCTGTCTTTTCTCACTATACAGATAGTAAACTGCATTTCTATAAATTTCCCAGATCAGGCCAACCTTGCTTGTGCCTAAAGATCTTTGCTCACTGTGCTGATACATTCTGTGTGGTGACAGAACAGGGCTGAAAAGCAATGTTGTGGGGAAGGGATACTACTGAGAATTATCAATGGTGCACCTGTTATGTATGTTTAGCTCTGAAACCCTGACTTTTCACTGCATCCCCTACATGAGAAACAAAGGCATGGAGTTAACTCTATGGTTTCTTCATTTGGAGTTTTACTAAAGTTTGGCTAGATCAGAACTATTAGGGTGGTCTCTATTTGGGAAAGTCCCTGGAACCTGTTTCAAAGTTAGGAGATAGGAGACAACTGAGGGTCTGGAGCTAGAGGAAAAAGAAAAAGAAGGGAGGGGAAGAAGAGAGAAGTTTAAAGGTGAATTGTTTGGGAAGATTACCATTGTAGAAGATTATGCCAGTCCTGTGGTGGTAGAATCAGGACTTTGAGAGATGGTACAAGATTCAGGCTGCATGAGGGAAGCTGAGAGGGAAATACCTCTAATGGAAGTCTTCCAACTTTGAAGTGGTGTTGTTTTAATTTTTCCCATTTATCTTTGTCTGTAAGTGTTAACTAGGAGGGTCCATATGCTTCAATGTTATCATGGCCCATTCTGCAATGGGGCATAGTGTACACCTGACAGATCATCTTCCCCACTGCTCAGATAGAGCCAATTTATCAAAAACAAGGGAATTGCAACAGAGAAAGAGTTTAATACACATACAGCAGGCTAAATGGAAGCTGCAGTTTTATGATTACTCAAATCGGCCTTCCTGAAAATTTGGAGGCTAGGGTTCTTTAAAGATAGTTTGGCAGGCAGAGGGCTAGGGAATGGGAAATGCTGATTGGCTGGGTCAGGGATGAAATCATAGTGAGTCAGAGCTGTCTTCTTGCTCTGAGTCAGTTCCTGGGTGGAAGCCCCAAGATCAGATGAGCCAGTTTACTGGTCTAGGTGATGCCAGCTGATTCATCAGAATTCAGAGTTTGAAAAATATCTTGAACACCAATCTTAGGTTTTATAATAGTGATATTATCCATAGGAGCAACTGGGGAGGTTAGAAATCTTGTGTCCTCCAGTTGCATGACTCCTAAACCATAATTTCTGTTCTTGTACCTACTTCGTTAGTTTTATAAGGTGATGTGGTCCCTGGGCAATGAAGCGTTTTGTTTTGGGAAAGGGCTGTTATCATCTTTGTTTCTAAGTTAAACTATAAACTAAATTCTTCTTATGGTTACCAGGAATGAACAAGGGCAGTCTGGAGGTTAAAGGCAAGATGGAGTCAGTAGGTCAGGTCTCTTTCACTGTCATAATTTTCTCAGTGCTATAATTTTTGCAAAGGTGGTTTCAGCAAGAAAGAGTCAAGCATGACAATCCTACTCCTGGGCTGAGGCTTGCTTGTGATGGTGTTTGCCTGTACTAATGGCCAGAGGGCCAGGCCAGGAGTCACCATAGAATTCTTGCCTTTCAAGCTTAAGGTAGAAGAAAGTGGAATACTCCCTCCCCAGCCTATCTCTTCCACCTATCAGAACTAAGAAACTTCTGTGCACTATGCCTTTTGCTATGTGCTAGGAAAATGAAATATGGTATTTGTGTGTGTGTGAGATCCAAGTAAAACAATCCATGAAAGCAATATTTCCAAGTGAATACCTACATCAGATGAGCAATCTAGGTCTCCTCCTCTGCAACCTATTATCAGCCTAGAGGAGGTCCCCACGCTCACCGGAATCTTTTTTTTTTTTTTTTATTTAGACAGAGTCTCACTCTGTCACCAGGTTGGAGTGCAGTGGCTTGATCTCGGCTCACTGCAACCTCTCCGACTCCCTGGTTCAAGTGATTCTCCTGCCTCAGCCTCCCAAGTAGCTGGGATTATAGGCATGTGCCACCATGCCCAGCTAATTTTGTATTTTTAGTAGAGACGGGGTTTCACCATGTTGGCCAGGATGGTCTCGATCTCCTGACCTCGTGATCTGCCCGCCTCGGCCTCCTGAAGTGCTAGGATTACAGGTGTGAGCCACCGCGCCAGGCCTCACCAGAATCTTTAACTTGCTGGTGTTCCTGATCTGTGGTAATGTTGGACCCGGTGATCAGACTCGTTTTCAGGTTGACAAATAAGTCAGTGAATTTTTCTGTATTTATTTTTTAAAGTAATATATACACCTAGTTTAAAGCCAAATAATATTATAAAAGATTTATAACAAAAACAACATTCCCCTAATATATCCCTCTCTCCCCGACCTGCATCTCCAAGTTCTTCCCCTCAGAGGCAAATAATTTCAACTCCTTCCTTCTTTTTTTTCACCTGGTATTTACTCCCATATTTCTAACATGATGCTTACGCTGCTATTTCTTGATTTATTGATTTTAGAATTATTAATTGACTGACCAGTCAGACTCCATATACTCATGCCAGATAACTCAATAGAGGGAGATTTAATATAGGGTATTAGTTAGAAAGTGTTAGAATTGCTGAAAAAAGCAAACAGAAATCGGTAAGTTCAGCTGCTGCCTCTCCCAACGCTGGAGGAACAAAGGGAAAGGAGGTGTTCCAGGGCTGCCCAGCAAGAGGGGAACCCTGCAGCCACCTGGCGATTATGTAAATATTACCCACTCTTGAGTCAGTGCTGTAATTACATTTTCTTTGTCACACAACTTTTTTGTTTTTCCTGAAATAACTGCATTTTTTGTGATTTTCTTAGTTTATTGAATAACCAGCACCAAGAGTTCCCAAACACTCAGTGGTCAGTGCTCTGCTCCACTGGGTCCAGCACATAGATAAACCATTGGTTCTTTTTTTTTCCCTGGAGACCTCAGCCCTGGCCAACTCAGTTCTGCTCCAACCTGGACCAGTTGCTCTCTGGGCCTGGAGCCCAGCTGTCTTTCTAGGATCTCCTGTCACTGTCCTGCCCACAGTCCTCCATATCTTTCATGTCTTGGTTTATTTCCTTATTGCACTGAATCATCTCCTCTGCAGAAGACAAAAAGTACAATTTTTGAGACATGGCTGTCTAAAAACACTCTATTCTATCCTTACACTGGATTAAATTCCACGTTGAAAGTTGTTTTCCCTGCAGTATATTGAGGGCAATGCTCTACTTTCTTGTACTCTCCACTGCTGGTTTTGAGAAGTTCAATCCCATTCTCATTTCTGATCCTTTGTAAAATGACCTTCGTTTCTCTGTGGAATCTCAGGTTTTTCTCTTTATCTCTGATGTTCTGAAAACTCACAGTAATGTCCTTGGTCTGGTTCTTTTTTTATTCATGGTATTGGTCAAAGGAGGAATATTTCAATTCAGACCAAGAGTCAGCCAACTTTTCCTGTAAAGGGTAAGACAGTAAACATTTTAGGCTTTGTGGACCATATGGCCCCATCTTAACTTCTCAACTCTACTGTTGTAGCAAAGTGGTCATGAACCATATATAAACAAATGAGCATGGTTGTGTTCCAATAAAACTTTATTTACAAAACAGACAGGCTGAATTTGGCCCATGGACCATAGTTTGTTAACCCCTGATCTAGATTCTAAATATTCATGTCTTTCAGTTCAGGGACATTTTCTTGTGTTATTTCTTTGAAAATATGCTCCCTTCCATTTTCTCTATTCTTCTTTTCTGTTGGCCCTGAGATTGTTTCTCTAATTTTTTAAATCTGTTCTTTCTTTTTTGTCCGCATCTGGGTTGTTTTTTGTTTGTTTTGCTTCATAGGAGATTTCTTTCACTATTAAATATTTCTGTAATCCTATTTTTTAAATTTCTAGAATTTTGTTTTTCTCTCATTGCTTTTTTGAAAATGGTAGCCTGCTTTTGTTTTGCAGGTGAAATGTTTTTGTCTCTCTGAGAATGTTATTTTGGAGGGTTTATTTTTGCATTTTGTTCTGCTCTCGGCAGTATCTCTGTTTCCTCTGAGAACATCCCTCCCCAAACTTTCCCCATGGTTATTGTTTTGTTTTGCTTCTCCATCTTTTATGTTGGATGCTTTCCTCAAACTTCTGCTGATCCTTGGATGTTATTCATAGTTAAAAGTAAGGTGGAAAAAGTGACTGGAGAATAAACGTTACCAAAAAATAATGGCTAACAAAAATCAGCTCCGATCAGCTTCTACCAGAGCAGCCCTCCCCCAAAAGATGACTATAACCCTGAACTTAAAAAAAAAAAACCCAGAAAACTCTCTGAAATTGGTGAAGCATGACCAAAGGTAGACGAATACTGAAGAGCTGACATTTGGAACCATTAGGTCATTTTTCCTTCTTTCACAGCTTCTATCCTGAGAACAAGTCCCATTCTGCACCAGGGGGTAAAAATTCTAATAGAAATCTGCAGGCTTGCTGGCTTTAATAATCAGACTATCAATTATTTCACAACAGCAAAAAGAGAGGAAAGGAGAGAGCCAGAGGGAAGCCCCATATTCTGTGCATAAACTCCCACGTGATCTCTGGCTGCCCCTGAGCCACACATATGCGGGGCAGATGCTAAGCCACTCAGCTAAGGCTGAAACATGGAACTGAGATTGCAGCCCCTGCCCACGGGGAGATGGAGTTTGCAGTTTGAGTTCAGACAAGTTAACTTCCTGATAATTTTAAAATAAACAAACAAATAAAAAAAAAGAAGCGATGGGAAGCTCTGAATGCCTGGACCTGACTTACCAACTTCTGAGGTTTAAGAGGGTCCTGCGGTAGGCTGAGGCAGGAGAATCACTTGAACCCAGGAGGCGGAGGTTGCAGTGAGCAGAGATTGTGCCACTGCACTCCAGCCTGGCGAACAAGTGAGACTCCGTCTCAAAAAAAAAAAAAAAAAAAAAAAAAAGAGGGTCCTCAAACAACCGGGTCTGTAAGTGTTTCCTGTTAAGCCTCTCTAGAGAATAGGCAACCACTGCATTCAGCAGTACGTTTCCTCTGCAAATACCCTTCCCCAAACTTCCCCCATTGTTTTTGTTTGTTTTGCTTCTCCGTCTTTTATGTTGAATGCTTACTTCAAGTTCGTGCTGATCCTCGATTGTTCATTCATATTTAAAAATAAGGTGGGAAAAAGTGATTGGAGAATAAAAGTTATGAAAACATAATGGTTACCAAAAATTAGCTCTGATCAGCTTCTATCAGACCAGTCCTCCCCCAAAAGACAACTATAACCCTGCACTTAATTTAAAAAACAAACAAACAATAAAACCACACAAAACTTTCTGAAATTAGTAAAGAGTGACCAAAGGCTGTCAGCATTTGGAGGGCAGAGCAGAGTAGGTGGAGGCCCCCACATTCAGAATCCCCACATTCAACCTATGTGATAGCTCCACTATCTCTGGTATAGGATGTCCTCTTGTCTTGAGCCTAGCCTCTCCAGATTCAATTCTAAATAGAGAAGTTGAGAGTGTCAGAGGGGAGGAGGTCTAGTTATCTTCAGATTCAATTCTAAATAGAGAAGTGGAGAATGAGGGATCTAGTTACTGCCTCTGCAGGGGTGGGGTGGATCTGGGGCTCTAATTGAACCTAGACAGATTTCCAAACAACCCCCTGGCTTCAGCCTATGTGGCGGGCCTGCCTGCTACACTGCTGGGGCCATTGGCTTGCTTCTCATCCGCACTCTTCTTCCTGGCACTGAAGGCATCGCTTTCCCCTCCCTGGTGAGTGGAGGCTCCTTCATCTACTTTCCATCCTTCAACAATGCATCAACCTCTTTCACAGTTTCCCACATTAACATTTTATTTCTTGGCCATCATTTTAGTGAGGTAAGAAGAGTGGACTGTAGAGGTTTAACTGTTGTGTTTAACTGGAAGTAACTATGATTTTGGAAAGTGCCTGGCCTCTTGGTACAGTACAACTGTGGCATAGGGCTGCCCAAGAGAGAACATCAGGCCACCTAGGAAGAGACTGGCACTGTCAAGCTCAGCAAATGACTGCCCTGGAAAGACAGTCATGAACCAAGAGAGATTTACAGAGTCACCTTCGGCTGTCCAGAGCTATCCTTTATTTTTATTTGAAAAGGGTAAGTGAGGGCCAGGGTTTTCAGCTCTCAAGAGTCTGATCTGGAGGCAAAGGAAAAGGAAACACAACCCAGTTCCCTGGCAGGTCATCGATTCATAAACACTGAGAGTGTTTTCATGTGATAGTTGAACCTGCCCTGCCTTCCTGGCTCTCTGTGATTTATGCTGTGGCCTCTCCCAGGTGACAGCTGCCTCACTGTCCTCCTAGAGGCATCTGGCTGCTTTCAGACTCTGTTTGAAAAAAGATAAAATGGCGTTTTTCACAGAACGCTAGGGGCCACCTTGGGTCCAAGTTTTTTCCCCAATTAAACGGCTAGAAAGGAAAGCCAGGCAGCCTCCCTCCCATCTGTACCTTTGGCTCTTTTCACATATCCAGAACATAAATGGAGCCAGACATGCCTCACAGTTGTAGAAAGATGCAGAGATTTCCCAGGTGCTCAGAAAAAAATGTTTTAATACAAAAATGAATGAGAGGAGGTTAAGTACCTGGTCAAGTCCATATAGCTAGTAAATGAGGAAGGGGAATTTGAAGCCAGGGCTGTTTGATTCCCACGCTGAGATCTGAACCACGGTGCTGTGTAGACAGGGGCCAGGCCCAGGGAGAAGGATCCCCCTACTTAAGCCACTGAAAACCTGCAGCCTTGACCCACACCTGACCCCATCCCAGCTTGAATCTGCTTAGCTGAGCCACCTCTCTGCTTCCTTAGGTAGCCAATTGTGTGGAGTTTTTCTACAACCTGAGCAGACCAGCTGTAGCAAATCGATACTATTGGATCAAGAGCTGCCACCTTCCATTTAGGGGAAGGCTGAATTTCAGCAGTGAAATAAACCAATCCCTTCTGTAGTTACTTTAGGCAGCCCTCCTGGGACAAAAAGGCAGCATCACCTGCCCAGATTAAGGAGCTTCACCCAGCAGGAGACAGGGAGGGCATCTGCCAGCAAGCCTCAGGAGGGCTCTCTGGGACACTTTCTGGTAGGAATAGACACTTAAACTGCAGACCCCTGAAGGGTAGACAAACACTATAGGTGCTCCAGCCTCTGTGCCCACAGCTCATGCTGATCAACAAACCATTCCACTGGCCTGCCTTTCCCCTGCAGGGACAGCTCTCATTGTGTCCTCATTTAGGAGCCAGAGATAATCTATCAGAGATAACGATATCTTTTTTTTTTGTTTTTCTGGCAATAAGCAGAAAACCAGCCAGTCCAAAACAACCCAGCCGCTCTAGGAAGCTTCTGGATGTGAAGAGAAAAGTATCAGATATAACCAACAGCATCCCTGTCAAAGGACAGGCTGGAAATGGGCTTCTCTTCAGCATAAAGAAAGATTAGCTGACCTATCTTGCCTTTCTTTCTCCTTTCCACTCTTTCTCCTGCTCACAGGCCATGCCTATCTGCTCAAGGGAAAAAAATATCTTTATTGTTAATCCTTCATGGTGGGGGATTATCCATCTGCCATTCCAGGTGTCTGAAAAACCTGAACCTCATATCAAAAAAGACCCGAATCTCAAGGATCAAATGGATCATGCAGTATAGAGATAAAATAGGATTTATAGAGGGAAACTTACACGCAGAGAAGCAGTTGAGCACATGTTAGCTCTGGACCTCTCATCATCCCAGAGCTCAGGCCACACACAGATGGACCCTGTGCTCCACAGCAAGGTTCCCATCGAAGGAGGCTTACCCTTGGAAAGCTCCACATGTTTACAGAGGCAGGCAACAGCGTTGTCACTATAGAACAGTAGGAGCTTCCTGGTGGCCCAGGAAGCCTTGTTGGGGATGGGGCCTTCAAATCCCAGTGGCCTATTCACCTGTTAAACTGACTCAGAACTATGAGCCAGTGCTCTGCAAAGTTGCCAGAAGCCAGACAGAATGAGCTCCGGGATCATCAAGACTGTAGGGATGTGCAATATCAGTCTCCAAAGAAAGCTTAACCAAAAGATTAAAATGCTCTTCTTTTTCAAAATCAAGAGACAAGAGAGTCCCTCTCAGCTACAATAAGGGAGAAAACTGCAGCTTCCCTCACTCCCCATCTCTGTTCTCTTTCCCTGCTTTCAGCAGCCTTGCTCATCCCCAATCCCATCCCACCTCCCTCCTGGAAATGAAACTGATAAATCATTAATATCCATTAATTATCTATGATATCTAACCTTTTTAGATTTTTGTAGAGATGGGATCTAGCTATGTTGCCCAGGCTGATCACAAACCCCCTGACCCCAAGCTATACTCCCACCTTGGTCTCCCAAAGTGCTGGGATTACAAGCACAAGCCACCACGCCTGTGTAGCACTTTAATGTAGCACTTACTACTCATAGGATACCTTTGTGTCCCATTCTCATTTTATATGCACAATGGTTATTTAATGCACACCTAGCAGGTACCAAACACTGCTCTAAGTGGTTGGGAGCCCCTAGCATGATAATATGTATGTGTCACTCAGATTCCTGCTATCTGTGTGTCCCAAATTCTCTAGCTTTGACAGATTACCCTTCCCTTCAATTTGAAAAATAAGATGAATTGAGCATCTCTCCCTCATTCCATTAAATGAGAAGGCTTCTATGTATTTCTGAAAGGCTTTTGTCCTCATGGGCATCCCTCTATCTGGTTTTCCCTCCCAACTAAACTCTCAAATAATCCCCTCTGAGAGTTTCCTGCAGAAGCTACTCTCCAAGTCGGTGTTCCTTCATTACTCCTACCCCTCCTCCCTCAAGATTTTGGGCAACAGTTTCCCATTAGAATAAACTCCAAGTAATTGTCTACATTTTTATTTAGGACAAAGTTTCACCTCATTGAATACTGCCTGGTACAAACAGGCCATTGAGAATCATTGGAATGTGGAGATTTCCATGGCATTTGCTATATGGGATTGCACACATGTTTGAAAATTTCCATTGGCTTCAAATCGAATTTCTTTCTCTGACCTTCTAGAAAGTGAGATGCAATTGCCCCAAAACATCATCACAGTTTTTAATAATATGGAGCCATTCACTTCCTCCTCTAAAATAAATTACCTCCCTTAGGGTTCCAGGAAAATCTAGTAAAGACATAAATGTCCCTGGCTTGCACAATATTGGGAAAATTTACTGACCTCATGATGCACAATAGGATCTCCAGAAGTAGCCAATACAATGTCTCAAGCTTACTTCAAAATAGTACATTATGTACCCCAAATATATATATGCCAAGTTCTCTATATTATATTTTTATAATATTCACCCAGTTCAGCATTTCTCCAATTTCCAACACATTTTGTTAAAATCCATAGCCATGTTATAAAAAGATCTAGAATAAGCCTTCAGATGAAGTTTGTGCCTTGATCCAAAAGAATTGTCTTCCAGGAATAGTATAGCAGTCTCTCCCCTTATCCAAAGGGGATATCTTCCAAGTCCCCCAGTGGATACCTGAAATCACGAATAGCACCAAACCCTATATATACTAATTTTTTTTTCCTACACACACATACCTATGATGAAGTTTAATTTATAAATTAGGCACAGTAAAGAATGAACAACAACAATAATAAAATAGAACAATTTTAACAATATATTGTAGTAAAAGTTATGTGAACGTGGTCTCTCTTTCTCAAAACATCGAATTTACTGCACCATGGGTAACTGGAACTATGGAAAGCAAAACCTCAGAAAAGGAGGGACTACTGTGTCTTATGTTGTTATTTGAGTTTTTGTTTTCTTCTGAGAATATGTTGCCTACAGAAGTCCTCAGATGGCTACAAGCATCCCTAATGTCTTGGATATCAAAGCTATATATCCTCCCCATCACACACACATATATACACAGACACACACACACACTCCCCAAAATTGTTGAGCAAATGTCAAGTTCACAGAAATTCTAAGAATCAAAGTTTTGAGAATCTACTTCTCCCCACTCAAAACTGAGTCTATAAAATGCTCTAAGTAATCCAAAGGGCAATTATAAAAAGTCATGGGGGCAGAGAATTGTTTACTCCAAGAGCATCCATGGAACAGAAATAAAAGGGAAGGGAATAAAGCCAAAGGATATGCAAAATATCTACTCACTGCAGGGCATGCTCCTCAAGCTTGGTACTCAGTATCATTTACCTCAATTAAGTGTGAGCAGCTCACCTTGTAAGACTCCCCAGCCCATGTCACCTGGCTTTGAGACTGTCAACTATCTCTGGGTTCAGTCACATCAAGAATCTGTTCATAGGAATAATCAGGTTGTGCTGGCTGAGAGCATGTGAGCAATTTCTGGTGCGTGAGCCTGTGTGCGTGGGATGCCTTCAAATCCATTTCATTTGGGCAGCTGCTTATCAAGACTTTTCCCCAGAAACCGATTTAGTCTAATGATTGTGAGTAGCAATGACTTCTGCTTAATTAGTATGGTAATCAGTGCAAATTCTCCCTAAATGGTAGAGACCCATTTGGCAGGTGCCAAATGATGCTTAACCAGGTGCTAAATAGGTGTGAAAGCCTCAGTTCTGGTCTTTCCCAGCTAGTTGCCAAATACATAACGATGAAATGGGGTCCTAAGTATGCCTGAATGGATGAGCTGTTTAAAACTTCCTCTAATTGCTGGCAAGACCCACCTACTCCCACACCCTGCCCCAGTGAGTCCTGCGAAGGCAGAGATAGCACTAGGAACACAGCTGAGAGGAGCAGAACAAAAGTAAAATCAATAATATTTTGGAGTCTCCTCCCAATTCCCAATCATCCCCTTTTCCAGTCCCTACTCAGCATTCCTTTCCTGTTTATATGTCCTGGCTTCTGCCTCTGCATTCAAAACTGGAGCTGTTTTTCAGGCACTAAACAAGCAAGGTCAGGGCTATTGTCCTAGCTTGTGTACTGCCCTGTAATCCATTCTGACGGGAAGTGAGACTGTGGCCCTAGACCAAAAGAGAGAGGGAAGGTAAACATTAAAGAAAAAAGACATTCCATATATAATCAGAAGTATATGTGTAATTGACCTAATTAATTCTCTTTTCATTATTAGATAAAATAATAAACTTGTATTGACTGCTAGTTTTGGGCCAGTTAATGTCCACGAGTTATACTATTTAATTCTTCCTGACACCCAGTCTTCCCCATGTTAAGCTGATCTATGCATGGCATTGTGATGCTGGCTATTGGCCCATGGATTGGCACGTGTTCTAAGATGATCCAAATGTATGGGAGGGAAGTGCCTATATTCAACTGCTGGGGAAGAGGTGTTTCTCTCTCCTGCACTAGACATGAGGAAGAAAGCACGTTGCCCTAGCTGCTGTTAATGACTTTCTTGCAAATACAAAGGGAACCAGCCTGACAAAAATGCTGGAAATCAGAAGAGGACACAGCCAAGAGAACTGCAGAGAACTAAAGCTTGAGCCCCAGTTGTATTCTGCCTGGAGTTCGCTTTACCTCTGGACTTCTCCCTATGTGAGCAAATAAATCCCTACATTGTTTAAGTCAATTTGAGTTGACTTTTCTGTTATTTGCTACTGAGAGCATCCTAATTAACTGTACAGCACTCTGGGGAGGAAATTGTAATAACCATTTTGTAGCTGAAAGATCTGCAGCACAGTGGGGTTAAATAATTTGGCCAAGGAACTGGCTGAGTCAGAGTTCAAACCCAGGACTGCCTGGGATCTGTGTTGTCCACACTGTCCCCCTGGGAGCAAGTGAGCCTGAGCAAACCCTCGAAAGTGGAAAAGCTTTGTCCTTTAACAATTACTTTTTTTTTTTTTTTAACAAGTAAGTGACTTGGAGCCAAGTTTGGAATATCAAGTGAGTGGTTAGGCTGAGAAATGGCATCCTTGGCTACAGTTAGGAGACCTCTTCCCATATGGTTGAAGGCAGTCCTGAAGGAAGAGTCCGTAATTATAAATTTTAGTAGTGGCAACATTGTCAGAACAAGGCCAAAGTCTCCCAAGGTAACTGCTTTGAAGGACCCTGTTCTTTAGATGCACATATTATAGTATGTTTAAGAAAACACAAAGTCTTGATTATCACGATCACATCTCACACGCATTCAAGTCCCAGGTGTGGATCTATGGAAACTCTCTGGCTCTTCTCTTTCTCTCTACCTATACTCAAACACAAAGTCCTGAACATTCTTATTCCCTCATTACGTCTTCGGAGTCACCTTTTCCTTTCCATTCATCTTGACTTTCACTACAAACTCTTTTCTCATTTTTCTCCTCACACCACAGTTTCTACTGCACTGTTTGCCCTATTGCAAACTGTTTGCCCTCCAGACTCTCTCTGCTATTATGTGCTCACCCTCGCCAAATAACTTTCATTATGCCTACCTCTATAGAGACTCAGAAGCCTGCAGTGTGCATTGTGGAAAAAAGGCAGGCTTTGTTGGACAGGCATGAAGCCAAATCATGGCTCTGCCATTGATTAGCTATGGGATTTTGCATAAATTACTTAGTCCTCTTGAGCGTCAGTTTTCTCATTTTTAAAAGGAAGTATCAACAAGTACTCTACTGGATTGTTACAGGATTATAGTGGGCAATGAATATGTGCTGACTTAAAGAGTGATTCAATGAGAAAGCACATTAAATACCTACTGTAGGACCGGGTAAATATTAGACCTTTACCAATGGTGCCAATCATTATTACTGTTGTGTTCTTCATATTTAATTACTATGCAATATATGGTAGCTATCACCAGAGATCTAACCTCCCAGTTTGGCATTCAAGCTTTTACTGGACTTCTGGGCTTATGTTTCCACCCTCTCTTACATCAACACTTTAATCATACTCTTCTCTTTGTTGTCTTCTAAATATGACTCATACATTTCTCAGCTCTAAGTACCAGTTCTTTTTGCTACCTCTGCCTGGTGCATTCTTCCCATGCCCTTTCACTTATCTAAATATGATCCCTTATTTAAGGGCTTTAAATTACTCTGTCTTCTCTCTAAATCATCTCTGACTATACCAGACCACAGCACTATCTCCATCCATTAAACTTTTTCTCTATACCAAGCATCTACCAATTAGCCTATCTGGGTCTTCCTAGCTTGAGTATAAACTGCTTGAGGGTGTGGACATCACCCTATACCCTGCCTTTTGTTTTCACCTTGGCTTGAGTGCAGTGGCACAATCATGGCTTAATGCAGCCTCGAACTCCTGGCAAGAGCAATCCTTCCACCTCAGCCTCCTGAGCAGATGGGACTACAGTCATGGACCACCACACTCAACAATTTTTTTTTTTTTTTTGTAGAGATGGAGTCTTGCTAAATTGCCCAGGCTGGTCTCAAACTCCTAGGCTCAAGAGATCCTCTGCCTCAGCCACCCAAAATACTGGGATTACAGGTGTGAAACACCCTCACTGGCTTCCTATACCCCTTTGATTCCCTAGTCCTTACCAAAGTTCCCAGCACATATAAACTCAATGAATCTAAACTATTATTGCTATTGTTATAATTTAGTTAGGCCTCAACAATTTTTTTAAAAACATTATCTTACACCAATAAGTGTCCATTAAGCAAAAACCTTCTAACCCTGATTTTTGAGGTTCCAGGTATAGGTGGACATTTCTGTAGCTAGAAATATGATTAATTAAAGTAGACCTTGAGAGGATGTGTGGCCATAGAAGCTGTTTTGGCCTTTGCTGATTCCAACTTCACATGAAAATAGATAGATAGATTGCTTTTTTATTTTTTAATGTAATTCAGGGTAATTTATAGATGACAGCCTTAGAACCTTTGATTGGATCAGTAGTAGCAGAGCCAGCTTCTCTGTTTATTGATCACCAATCAGCATGGAATAAATCTGTTGAGTTTCCACCCCAGAGAAAGGACTACAGGAAGAATTAGTTAATAAAGTTGAAAAGACTTTGTCAACTGTAAAATAGCAGCTCATGGATGAGTATTACAATGGTCATCACCATTGCTATCACCCCTGATAATAATTAAGTTCCAGGGATTCTCTTAAGGGGAGGTGATGGTCTTATGCTTCTTGGAATATCCCCTACCACCTTCTATGGTTTGAATGTCCCCTCCAAAACTCATGTTGGAACATGACAGTCACTGTGGCAATATTAAGAGATGGGACGATGGAGAGGGATTAGGCCATTAAGGCTCCACTTTCCTGACTGGATTAATGTTGTTATGGTGAGAGTGGGTTGTTATAAAAGCAAATTTGGTCCTCTCTTGGTCTCTTTTCCTTCAGCCTTCTGCAATAAGAGGATGTAGCAAAAAGGCCCTGGCCAAATGTGGGGCCCTTGACCTTGGACTTCTCAGCCTCTAGAACTGTAAGAAATAAATTTATTTCATTACCCAATTTGTGGTATTCTATTATAGCAACATAAAATAAACTAAGACATCATCTAAACTGGGTTTATTCAAAGACAGTTCAGCGTTGGTGGTATAGTGGTGAGCACAGCTGCCTTCCAAAGACAGCTCAGATCCTAGCACTTCTTTCATGGCAACCAACTAAAAAAACTTTGAACAAAGTTTTGCTTATTAATAACATTCCTTTAGAGAAGAAATAGAAGAGCTTAGGTATGAGTGAATAAATGTCTGTGTGTATGATAAATGGCCCAAATTTCTCCAGAAATAGCTGGAAGGGAACCCCACCTTCTGACAGTGTCATTAACAAGCTGTGTGCTTTCACTGTCTCCATACTCAGAGCTCCCCACTGTGAGTCGGAATCTGTGATCTGGGACCAGCTGCTCTGCCAAGCACAGATTTTAATGAGGGACTCTGCAATGGGAAACCATAGCTGCCACTGCTTTTTACATTACTAGGGGCTGCTGATTGGCACCAAGGAGGCTTGCCAAGGTCTTGGGGTGTGTAGAAGGAGCAGTGAGCTGTGTGCAGATAGAATTGTTGACAGTCAGTAAGAGCACACTACACAAACAGCTCCAGGCCACATGAAGCTTGCAAAATTAAACTTATTTGGATAGAAAATACAAAATTAAACTTAATTTCATTCAGCTGCATGTCATTGCATTTCAGGCAGATAAGAGTTTGTTTGTTTGTTTTTTCATGCAAACCTGTCTTCCCCCAAACCAAAATTTCTCCTTGACATACCCACCCACCCACACACTACCCAATATAAACCTGGTATAGAAGTACTTTATAGCTTTTATTGTGGTTTATAATTATACATTTATATAATCATTTCATTAATAACTACTTTTCATACTATTGTGTTCACAATACATAATGCAAAGTAGATATTTTTCTTTTCCATTTTCTTTTTTTTTTTTTTTGCGGGGGGATGAAGTTTCGCTCTTGTCGCCCAGGCTGGAGTGCAATGGCGTGATCTCGGCTCACTACCACCTCTGCCTCCCGGGTTCAAGCAATTCTCCTGCCTCAGCCTCCCATGTAGCTGGGATTACAGGTGCCTGCCACCACAGCCGGCTAATTTTTGTATTATTAGTAGAGACGGGGTTTCACTATGTTGGCCAGGCTGCTCTCGAACTCCTGACCTCAGGTGATCCACCCACCTCAGCCTCCCAAAGTGCTGGGATTACAGGCATGAGCCACCGCGTCTGGCCAAAGTAGATGCTTTTCTAAATATTTATTGACTAAACAACCATCCTCCATGTGGGATGGAAGGTGATACTACAGTAAAAAGTGGTAAATTAACCGGGTCCTGGATTTGGAGTCAGAAGTTCTGGATTTAAATCCCAACTCAGCATGTTACTTATTAGTTGTATGGTCCTGGGGAAATCACTTAAATGCTAGACATCTCAGTTTCTTTATCTGTAAATGAGAACAATGAAGGTAGTTTTTAAAATTCAATTCTCACAGGGTGGCTTTGAGAACTCAATAAGATAATATTGCCTTGGGTCAGGTTCCCCAGAAGCAGGGTCTAAGATGGGGATTCATAGACAAGTGATTTACTAAGAAATGCTCTCAGAAGAAACAGGCAAGGAAGTGGGGAAAGTAGAACAGAGCAGAAAAAAAAAAAAAAGCCAAAGAAAGGCACAATTTCAGGCCAAGCCCCTTGGAGAGTTACCTCCACCTGCATCCACAGGGAAATTCTGGAGTATAAATTATGCCTGAGTTTGTCCCAGCTCCACACCTGTCAGTCATTGGCTAAGGGCTGTCTCGAAGACCATAAATTTCCAGGTATTGACAACTTTGTGTGTTTGAGCAGAGGGGCTCTAGTGACTGGGGGCAGTCTTCCCGAGGAGGCAGGGGCAGGCTGATGGAAGCAAAAGAACTCCAAAGGTGAAGTCCACAGTTTTAGTAAAAAGGAGTCAAGAGTGGGTCTGTGCCTGGCACACAGTAGGTGCTGGATTTGAATCTGCCTGTAGGCCAAAGGTGCACCATGCATTTCGGGCAGCAAGACAGAAGAGCCTATGCAACTAAATATACAGAAGCCTGAAAAGTTTTCTGAATTATTGGCTTTGTCCAAAAGCTGAGTGTTCAATGCCCTGAACAGAGCCTTGAAGCAGCTTCCTGGGAAATGATCAATATTTTCATCCTCATTGCTAGTCAGGCTGTGGGTAAGAAACCAAGGTGAAGCTGACATTAAAATAATGAACAGGAAGTAATTCAGGGAAGATAAACTCAATTCTTCTTGAACCTTGGGAGATTTTTGGCAGAAGATGGAAAGGGTTCAGGAGTGGGTTCCAGCCACATTAATAGACAAATCCCCAAGAGTTGAATCCTGGAATAAGTTTCATAAATCACCAGTAAAGGTATCTCTTACCACACCCTGAGGCCAAACCAGCTTCAACCAACATCTACAAAGGGAGCATCAGGCAGCCCCCAGTGAACATCTCATTAGCTAGATAGTCAGGGGCTTTGTATAGGGCATTTAACCTTTAATGGACTGGAGGGGCTAAAACTCCAAAACTGAGAGAAGCTTAGACGTAACTTATTATTTCATCAGTCTCTAAAATCAGGACGTCCCAATAACTGGGGACCTTTCCACTTTATCTCCCATGGGGCATTAAATTTGGGAATTTAGTGGGTTGATGAAAATTTGACTCCTACTGTGTGAATGATGGCTCTCAAAGCACTTTAGTTGTTTCTTCTGCCAGGTAAAGAGAAAACAACACCCAAAATAGTTGTCATGGGGAAGAAGAAAGAGGAAAAAGCTACAAACAGAACTCTGAAGCTCCACTTACAGCCCCCCACCCCCACCCCATTTTAATTCCAACGAATATTGGTTGAGCTGTCAGCCCAGGCGGGACTCCCTGTTACCTCCAGGGGGCAAATGAAAGTGAGTCAGGTGGCCCCAGCACTCATCCTGCAGTGGAGTGGTCTCAGGAAAGTATGCTGATATTGAAGGCAAAGATGAGGATTATTTCAAGAATCAAGGGTGGCTCTGAGAGACAAGTGCCAGAACTGAGGGAGAGGGTAAGGATGAAGAAAGCCAGATGGGTCTTGGGTAGGGGCAGAAGTCAGGGATGGTGATGATACAGAAGTGGCACAGACGGCTTAGAAGAAGCTATTTTTCTCCCTCTCAACATTCTCATCTTCAACCACCAAAAGAAACATCTGCCCCAAAAGAAACATCCCCTCACTCAGTGCTTCCTGAGGCAGGAGACAAGGTGAGTCTTAACTAAGGGGCAAAACCACAGCCCAAGCCTCTACAGATTAGCAAAATGAGGGCCCGCAGTACATGCGGATGAGGGATTAGGTTTCTATGCAAATGAAATGGAGAGATTGAAAAATCAGTTGAAACAAAGGCTACTTCAAGAATCAAGTTTTAAAAGGAGGGGAAGCAGAAGCAGTGACGAGCATACATCTACGTTTCCTCAGGACAGTCTTGGTTTTGCCAGCTGTCTTGGCTTCATTACTACCAATGCCTCCTTTACTCTCAACAGTGTCCCAGTTTGGACAGTAAATTAGATGGTCACAATAAAGGAAATGGGATCTACTGCATAGAAGGGACAGTAGTTCGTCTTGATAGGATCTCTTCTTTCCTCAGAAGAAAGAAAAAGAAAAAAATGGAGATTTATAAGTGAGAAGTTAACTCAAATAATCAAACAAGCAGATTATCAACAGAAGGTGCTGGGTTAGATTATTTCTAAGGCCTCTTCCAGCTCCTAAAATTCTATGATTCCATGATTTTTTCCCAAAAATAAGGGAAGACAGAAATGTTGGGAGTTTAAGTGGATTGGTTGCTTGGCAAAGAGTTACCATGAGATCATTATCTTCCGATATTCTCTACCTAGTGTCTCATCAGCAGGCTTCCCTAACAGCTGGGAAAACCCTAACTGAAAGAGCTTTAATTTCTAAGAAACAACTTGGCACCTAGTTAAGTGTACAGAAAGTTGTGTGAAAATAGAATGAGAGGAAGTGATCTTCAAGGAGTTTAAAAAATGGAGGCCAAACAAGAACTGGCTGGCATGTTTGCAGCACTGTCCAAAAGATAATGTGTCGTTTATGTGCAGCCAACAAACATATGGAAAAAAAAGCTCAACATCACTGATCATTAGAGAAATGCAAATCAAAACCACATTGTGATATCATCTCATGCCAGTCGAATGGCAATTATTAAAAAGGCAAGAAACAACAGACGCTGGCAAGGTTGCAAAGAAATAGGTACGCTTTTACGCTGTTGGTGGGAATGTAAATTCCTTCAACCATTGTGGAAGACAGTGTGGTGATTCCTCAAAGATTTAGAACTGGAAATACCATTTGACCCAGCAATCCCATTACGGGGTATATACCCAAAGGAATATAAACCATTCTATTGTAAAGATACATGTATGCGAATGTTCATTGCAGCACTATTCACAATAGCAAAGATGTGAAATCAACCCAAATGCCCATTAATGATAGACTGGACAAAGAAAATGTGTTTCATATACACTAGGGAATACTATGTCGCTATGAAAAGGAATGAGATCATGTCCTTTGCAGGGACATGGGTGAAGCTGGGCGCCATTATTCTCAGCAAACTAATGCAGGAACAGAAAACTAAACACTGCATGTTCTCACTTATAAGTGGGAGCTGAACAATGAGAACACATGGACACAGGGAGGGGAACAATGCATACTGGGCATGTCAGGGAAGAGCAGGCAGTGGAGAAAGCATTAGGGAAAAGAGCTAATGCATGCAGGGCTTAATACCTAGGTGATGGGTTGATAGGTGCAGCAAACCACCATGGCACATGTTTACCTATGAAACAAACCTGCACATCCTGCACATGTATCCCAGAACTTAAAAAAATAATAAAAATAAATAATGTGTCCTTTTTATGAGCTTGTACTTAACAAACAACTTTTAAAATTATAATTTGTAAATGTGTCTATGAAGGGAAAAGGTACCAACCAGCCAAATCAATATTTACACACACACAAACATACACTCACCACTGCTCCACTGCAATAATTACATTTTCTTATTATAAACAAGAAACTGGGTTTTTGGGTTTTTTTTTTTTTTAATCTTATACATCAATCTCACATGAGTTTGTTTAGTGTAAGTCAGTCCCCTGAGTCTGGACATCTCAGGCTAATTCATGTGTCTGAAACCACAAAGCTTAAAAGCTGACACCACCTAGGCAAGTCTCCATGGGGCCCTGAGTGAGCTGTTTGCCTCTTCCTCTTTTTGGTAACTTTGGTCTATTCTTTCTTCAACATTATTCCCCAGGAACTCTGAACAGCTCTGGAGCCCCTGGAGCCCTTTTTCTTTTTTCCTTTTTTTTTTGAGATGGAGTCTCACTCTGTTGCCCAGGCTGGAGTGCAGTGGCACGATCTCCACTCACTGCAACCTCCACCTCCTGGTTCAAGTGATTCTCCTGCCTCAGCCTCCGGAGTAGCTGGGATTACAGGTGCGTGCCACCACGCCCAGCTAATTTTTGTATTTTTAGTAGATACAGGGTTCCACCATGTTGGCCAGGCTGGTCTCAAACTCCTGACCTCAAGTGATCTGCCTGCCTTGGCCTCCCGAAGTGTGAAGTGCTGGGATTACAGGCATAAGCTACTGCGCCCTGCCTGGGATCCGTTTTCTGCCGGTAAGGACTTAGCAACTCAAGGGGTAGCTGTGGTAGGACTGGAGTTCCAATTCCTCCTTTCTTCATCCTCCAAGCATTACTGAACCTATCAACCTGGGACTGTCCATCTGCGTAGTCTCAGTCCCCACCTAATTCCCTTCTCTCTGGGACTGACTTTCTGGAGTGTACAGACTGGCCACTTTACCCTCCCAGATGCCTTTTTATTTAAGGAGCCTCCTCACTCAAGTAGAAGGTTTCGTTAAAACAGTATGTTTTTTTTTTTTCTTAATTTCTTATCTTTGCCAAACCCCCCTGACTTAGCAAATGTTATCTTCTGCTAATCTCCAATCCAAGCCAGGCAGACATGGCCAACACTTTGTTCCCACCATTGTTTGGGTCCCTCTCATGCAGTGTTCTTCCTCCTCCTTCCAGGCCCAGGCTGAGCCCCCCTGATTTCACACTGCCTTCTCCATGGACTGGTCCCCATTTATAATCCCTGAGAGTTCTCACATCCAGCACTTGCTCATACTCCACCAGTGAGACAGGCTGGAACAAGGAATGTGGGCATGGCTGGGGAGCCTGCAGCCCAGGTCATAATCTAATAGGAGCTGTGTCATCTGCTCAAGGCCACTCAGCCAACCAATAGCCATCTTAGATTTTTAGGCATGCAGAAAATGATGTTTTAAGAAGGAAAAGAACAGTTTCAATAGTACGCTGGCGTAGGATGCTGTCAGTGCAGAAAGCAGGCAGGAAATGCCTGCTCGTTAGTATGCCTCTGCGTGGCTGCATCTTTCAAGCTTGATTAATACTTAATGTGATTGTCTTTAAAATCTGTCACTATTTGGCAGTGATCAGATGAGTGCCAGTGACAGAAGCACAAATATTTGTATTAGGGCTATGTCATCTGCTAGGGTTATATGATTAATAAGTTTTGCCTGGTCACCCACAGAGATTTTGTTTTCCAATTTACCCAGCAGTAGTATTAACCAAAAATGCTGAATGTAGTGTGGAGAAAAAGGGAGAGGAAGGGCAGGTTGTTCATAGCTTTGGGGTTTTTCCTTTAATTATTGAAAGGGTAGTCCGTTGCTTAAAGGGACTGGCTGACAAATTTTAAAGTCCTCAAAAGCCTGCTGCAATCGGAGCAGATGCTCTTGAAACCTGAATTCCATCAAGTCTGAAGAGAGGAGAGTGTGCCAAACAAATGCTTTAAAATTAAAAAAGGGGAAGGGTGGGCACAGAGAGAGACAGAGATTTTGCTGGAGGGAGAAAATAATAGGCTTTTTTTTTAATTTCAGAGGAAATGCACACAAAGTACCAGATGCTATAACTTTAACAATTCAAATACAGCCACACTAAATATTTCGAAGCAAGAAAAAACATTCTGAAAGGAGACAGAGAGAGGAGTGGCCAGACTACAGCCACACTGTGAACAGGTATGTAATGATTACCAAACCCTAAATGCTCAGACTCGGCCTTTAGCTCCTCAGTGGTCTCTAGGTGGTTACATGGGACACTATGTTCTAGTATTTCTGATTTCATGTGAGAAGAATGGTCTACAAGTATCTCTCCAGGGTCCTATGTGATCAAGCTAACTATTCAGGATTGTCGTGTCCTGGAGGGTGAGGGGGAGGTGGGGAGGGATTGTGGTACCAGAATACGGGTTTTAGTAGCTCAGCCCTGGCTTTGAATCCTAACTCTGTTACTAAGTATGTGATCTTGGACAAGTTATTTAATCTCTCTAGATTTTAGTTTTCTCATCTGCAAAACAAAGGCAATACTCACCTTGGGGGTTGTTTTGAGGGGTAAATAATCTGTAACGTGAAAAACAGTAGCAGTTATTCCTGGAGACCCATACCTTCCAAATCTCTTATTTCCAACCTCCTCCCCTTCCTTTCTCTTCTTCTCCCTGCCTCCCACCTTCTCCTGAAGAATTAATTTCCAGCCACCCTAGCAATATCAGCCCATCAGGTCCTGACTGCATATTCATCTCCACAACACACATTTCATCTTTCAAGAAGTATTAGTACAAAGACATTGATCCAAACAAAGGAAAACAGCAGTCCCTACAGGATACCATACTAACAGAAGGTGTCCAGCTCAATTGTCAGTATGCTATTACCATCATCATCATTAATTAGGTGCCTGCTGTGTGCTAGTTTTGTGAAAGATGACTAGCCAACTGTGTCCTGTAAGATAAGACCCAATAAATTGCTGGCAAGGCCAAATTACTCTGTGCCAGAAGCCAAATACCATACAGGGTAGTGAGTGGAGAAAGGAGAAACTGACAGAGAAGAGAGGTTTGCGGTCAATGGCCAACTCTGAAAGCTGACAATTGCATGAAAGGAAGTAAACCATGGGTAAGGGGGTATGTCTGCAGCATTGAGATAGCCAATGACAGGCCCACAAAGAAATCATACCCACAAGGCCTCATTAATCCTATCCTCTAACAAACCGTGGGGTTGAACATATTCTATGAGTCCTGCTCATAGTGCTGGAGATTCAAAGACGAGCAAGTCAGACCCAGCCAATTCCAGTCTTCAAGGTGCAAATTAGCAGGAGAGAACCAGAGGAAACAGACCTTCTCAGCAGAATGCTGAAAGTTTGCCCATAGGCACTTCCCCAGCCAAGAGAGGAAGAGTGACCAGTGCTTCCAGGAACATATCTGAACTGAGCCTAGAAGTATAAGTAGGAGTTGAAGGACTATGATCAGCTAATTGACTAAAAATTTGTGTTTCCATGTAACTTTCCAAAAAGCACATAGATGAAAAGAAGAGCACTGGCTGATTGAACCAGTGAATAAATTGAGGATCGAAACCCAGAAAATAGGCCAAGTGGGGTGGCTCATGCCTGTAATCTCAAGCACTTTGGGAGGCTGAGGTGAGAAAATCCCTTAAGCCCAAGAGTTCAAGACTAGCCTAGGTAACATATTGAGACTACAATTTTTTTTTTCAATTAGTTGGGTGTGGTGGCTCACACCTGTGGTCCCAGCTACTCAGGAGGCTAAGGTGGGAGGATTGCTTGAGCCCAGGAGTTCAAGGCTGCACTGAGCCATAATTATACCACTGCACTCCAGCCTGGGCGGCAGAGCAAGACCTTGTCTCAAAAAAAAAAAAATTAAAGAATATAAAAAGGCGGCCGGGTGCAGTGGCTCACACCTGTAATCCCAGCACTTTGGGAGGCTGAGGCGGGTGAATCATGAGGTCAGGAGTTCAAGACCAGTCTGATCAATGTAGTGAAACCCCATCTCTACTAAAAATACAAAAATTAGCTGGGTGTGGTGGCACGTGCCTGTAATCCCAGCTACTCAGGAGGCTGAGGCAGGAGAATTGCTTGAATTAGGGAGGCAGAGTTTACAGTGAGCCGAGATTGCACCACTGCACTCCAGCCTGGGAGACAGAACAAGACTCCGTCTCAAAAAAAAAAAATGTATATAAAAAGGCATGTGTAGCATGTCTCAACCTCTAAATAATTAATTTGGAATTACACTAAGTCTAAAAGCCAAAATCTTGGCATCTGATTCATAGCTTGTCAGCCAAATCCCTGAGAAACAGGAAATAAAACATTTAAAACTTCTTGAACCCTCTGACCCTTATCTGTAAAATGGGATGTCAACAGATCACCTACTAATTATAGAAAACACTTTCATCATTAATTAATGCAGAAATCCCTTCTAAATGTGAACACATGCTATTTTGAAACTTCTAAATCTAATTTAAGCCTTTGTCTAAGTATCAATTAACAGAGCTTTATTACCCCAATGAGAGAGAAACTGAGTCACAAGAGTAGTATAGTCTATCCACACTGGTACTGCTGAAGCCCAGAGTAATTATCAAATCATCTACCCATCCATCTATACTCCCAGTGAACCTGCAGCGTCTGCCCTGGACCTTCTTCTCCACTCTATCCTCTTCCTGGTGACCTCACTCCTCCTGTAAAAGTGCTGAGAGCTTCCACATCTCTACCTGTAGCCTTGACCTCTTGTATAAGCTCCCTTCCCACTCATCCAACTGCCTCCTGAACATTTATTCATTGGATGTCCCAGCTGAAATGTCCAAGCTGTAACCATTATTTTCCCTTGGCAACCCTGACCTTTTTCTGGGTTTCTTAGTCTGAGGAATGGGAGCACCATCTCTTTGACTCCTCTAGCCAGAACTGAGTTATCATTCACTCCTCCCATTTCTCACCCATCAATCACCCAGGCCAATAGACATCATCTCCTAACGAGCTGTCAAACCTCCCACACCTCTCTGTCCCATTGATCTTTTCTAAAATAGTCTTCCTCTCTTCTAATACACTGTGTAGCCAGAGTAATCTTCTAAAAATCTAAATCGTAGTCACTCTTGCTTAAAACCCTTCATCGTTTTCCATTGTCTATTGTTTAAAGTTCAAAACCTTAATGTGGCTTACAGGGCCCATCAGGACTTGGCCCTGTCTACATATCCAGTTTCATCTCTCACCTCTTCTCTCCTCTGTGTCCCAGCTATGCTGAATTCTTTCTTTTCTGTTAATGCACTGTACCCTCTCTTACTACTGGGCCCTCATAAATACAGTTCTTTTGCTTGCAATACTCCCACTTCTTCGCTTGACTGGCTTCTGCTTTTTTTTCAAGCCATCTTCTAAAAACTCTTCTCTGATCCACTGAATAAAGCTTGTCCGCCCTGCAATGTGTTCCCAATTCTATTTCTATTAGTCAGGACAGTATGGGCTATGCTCTAGCAACAATAAACCCCAAAATATTAGCAACTTAACACAATTACATTTTATTTTTTAACAATTAAGTTGGAAATAATTTCAAACATACAGAAAGTTGCAAAACTAAAAAATAGTACGAGGAATACCCACATATCCTTTGCCCAGGTTTGCCTATTGTTAACATTTTACCCCTTTGCAGGAGTATTTAAAGGTAAACTATATAATTATGGTCATTTGCCCCTAAATACTTCAGTGTACGTTTCCTAAGACTAGAGAGGTCTTTCACATAGCTATAGTACAATTATTATCTTCACAGGCTAATTTTGATGCAATACTTTAAAAAAATCTAACCTGACATCCATATTCCAATTTTGTCATCTGATCTAATTATGTCATTTGTAACATTTTCTCCCTTCCAGTACAGGATCCAGTCTGGGGACAGCTATTGCAGTTAGTTGTCAAGTCTCTTTAGCTGCCTTTAATCTAGAGCATTGCCACAATCTTTCTTTACCTTTTATGACATTGACATTTAAAGCTTATCCTCACTCTTATTACAGTCTGAGGCAGAGTGGACAGCCTTCCTTGATCGTATATCTATGCTGTCATTAATGAGTCCTGACCACACTCCAGGCAGTATACTAGGTGCTGAGGAGATGGCAGTGACCAAGTCAGGTCTTACCACAACAAAGCTGAAAATCTACCAATGTGACAACTAGTTAGGTACACATTTGCAATAGGATGTGATACATTTCACTATAGAGGAAGTGTAGGAAGCATGGTAGAGACTGTTGCCACTCACTGTTCTATTTGCTTTGCCTCATTTCCCAGCCCCCTTGAATCTAGATACGGTCATGTGATTAATTTTCACCAATGGCATGTGAGTGGAAGTGGTGTGCCACTTTTGTCCAGGGTATACTTTCTCCATGCTCACTCTTAGCTCACCTTGATGACTTTGGAGACCACACATTCCAGAGAGCATGGACACAACATCCAGAAGGGCTCTCCAACTGTACTGTCAATTGTTGAATGAATAAAGTTTGCTCAGTTTACATATTGTGTCAATATCACACACCCTTAAGCATCCTAATAGCATCAGTCTAATCCTAGAATGTTCAGAATGAAGTCTACACATTGTGTATGGTCGGTCAGAGTTTTCCCTAAACTCTCAGGTTCCAATCAATGCTAGAAACAAGATGCAAGCCTTAAATAAAGCCAAGAAGTAGTTCATAACTATCTAGTTGTAGTTTGAAAATTATCTCTAGAATAGCTAGAAATTCTGAGATGCCCACCCACTACTGGGTAAGATATGTAAATCTGGAGCATTTCCATTGAAGGAAAGATTCCATTTAAGTCACATAAATATTGGTCTGATCTCCAAGCAGTCTCTCTGGAGCCTTTAACCGTTTATTAAAGAAGAGTATCTGTCCCTCCTGTAAGACCTTGCATGGGACTACTGTATATGTGGAGGTTATTAAGACTAATATGTAAAACCTTAAAAACCTACAGCTCATAGCTATAGAGATTCACCCAACATCACAAAACTGGCAAATGGCAATGCCAACATTGGAGCTGAGAATTTGGATTTCTTTGCTCATGTTCTCCTTCCCTAGTAACCTGGTCAGGTCCCAGCTGTATTGAGGTGTCCCTGCCTCTGTTGAGCTATCCTGTCTCACCATGCAAATTCACCTTTCAGTCAACATCCTAGGCTTAGGCTTAGAAATCTCTCATTGTATTTGTGATTGGCCATTTCCATGTCTGTTTCTCACATATATCTCTGAGAGAGGGGTGTCTGTTGTCTTCACCTTCATCTTCCCCAAGCTGGCATGTTAATTGGCCAGAGTGGTTACAGATCTGATGGGATAAGTTCCAAGGCTCTTGCATAGTTCTGTACTTTCCTAACAGAAACCTCAGCTTTGAACTGCCCCTGAAATTGGAGCTGAGACATCTAAGTGGATGTGATATGGCAGGCAAAGGCTAAGGAAATATATGCATCATTCCGGCTTCCGTAATAGTGGCTTTCATCATATTTCTTCCCTTTAACACAGCACAGTTAGCTCTTTTGTAAAGGCTTTACCTTGAACATCTCTCACTAATTAAGCCCATTTCTTCCCTGGCAGTCTCTTTGTACTGCAAATGGGATTCAGTTCTGGCTGCTGTGTGATTTGCAGCCACATGAGTTACAAAGGTGCAGGGTGCCCGGAGAGCACTCTAAGAGGGTAGGAGAGGGGGAGAAAGGAGTGATAAATGATTTATTTGTTCTAAGTAAAAATTATATATCCCCTCTTGGACTTTCTTACTAGGTACTGAAGTATTTTATTACCAACCCCTGAAAAGAGACAGAAATGAGTATTAGACGTGTAGAAAAGCTCCTCTACAGAATTAGTATATTTGGCAAATGATGTGAAACAGTGCCTTTTTTTCAGCCTTGTATTTTCTTAATAGCCAAAATGCATATGAATTATTTTATCCCAGGCATTACTTTAAGTACTTAATGTATATTAATTATTTACATTTTTATATCAACCTTATTAAGTAGATGCCATTATTATGCCTACTTTACAGATAGGGAAATTGAGGTACAGGGAAATTGAGTATAGCTGCATCTCATAACACCAAATGCAGAGCTAGGATTTGAACTCAGCAGTTTGACTTCAGAGTCATTGTGCTTACTCACTACATCAAGTCCTCCCACAGAAAAAGGAAAATGTCACTAAATTTTCTTACTTAGTGTTTTACTTTGAACAAAGTGCTTAAACTCAGTCTCCATTTCCTCACCTGGACAATGAAGCTAATAGTATCTACCTTGCAGGTTAGACCGAAGGATACGTGGCAATGTCTGTAATGTGCCTACTAAGGAATCCATAGCATGTACTCCATAACAGTAATTATTATCTTTGTCATTCTTTATATATCAAGAGGGGCTCCACAACAACTTCATATGTATGCAGAACCATCATGCAAAAATTTTCTTATTTAAACCCTAGGCCAGAGACATAAAATAAATATCAATATTTACATTTTTCAGTAATTCTAACCTCAAATAGACAAATGTCATGGATCAAAGTACTTAGGAGACATTTCCTGAAATCTTCATCTCTCTCTCACTGCAGCTCATCGGATTTTAGTTAGTTCCCAGGACAAATTTCATCCTGAGGGACCCTTGCATAGCCAAGTCAACTCCAGGCCTTTTGGGCTCCTTCTGTGTTGGTTCAGCACCTGCCCAGAATATACCTATTTGCAGAGTTCAGCCTAGAACCCCCAGCCTCCTAAGAGCTCTCCCGATTGGGTGTGGCCTTTGTCAAACCTCTTGGAGAAGCACCAGATTGAAAGAGCTCCCCTGGGAAGAAGAGGAAGAACCGAGGGTAAGGAAAGAAAACATAAATTCCCAAGGTCCTCAGAATTTCCCTGACCCAGGTTACAACAAGCAGGGGGCTAGTCAAGCTCAAAAGTGCCTTTCAGCCCCCATTCAAACTTCTTTTATTGAAGAAAGAAGCCATAAATCACACAGCTTCCTGCCAGGGCCTTGTGACCACAACATGCTTCTAGCCCAAGAATGGAAGCCCAAACAAAACGCAGGTGGAGAGAAGGAAGACTAAAAGAAAGTGTACGCCCCTTGGAAGCCCAGCCACATGTAGTCCATCATCACTGGAGAATAGTCGAAGAGGGTCAGACAAGGCTGGCTGTCTTGCCTGGATCCACGGAGGCAAAGAAGGAGCCTCAGAAGTTTCCAAGGGCCACACTCTTTCAACATGCGGTATCAATAAGAGACACCAAAGCTGGAGCTTTGAGAATGAAGTGGAAAGGGGTAATCCTGATGTGTAATTTTATCAGAATAGGATGAAAACTGTCACTAGAAAAAAGAAGATTGCTTATGAAAGGGCATCAGCCTTTCTCGTCTACCCAGAAGGGTAAAAGGAAATGTATGTGCTCAGTTGCTGAACTTTGCTTGAAAAGCAAAGAAAAATCTACTAACCGGGAGAACAAATGGTACCTCTGCTCAGGGTGAGGATTTGTGGTCAAATTAAAACTTCAATTTGAAGAAATTATTGTTAAAATCTCCAGACATGAAATTAATATAATTAGATATAGCCCCTGAACTTAAATCTCTCAGCAAGCTAACCAGCAGAAAAAAAGCAGCTAGACTGGACCTCATTAAAACTAAGTGAATAAATGCCAGCTTCCAAAAGAATGCCAACAAGAAAAAAAAAAAAAACTGGATGTGTAAGGTGAGGAAGGGGCAGAAGCCAAGTGACGGAGCACAAAGCACTCTAAATTGGGTGTCAAGAAGCCTGGGTTTATGTCCTGCCAACAAAGGTAACTGGTTTCCTACCATAAATTTTAAATCATTATAACTAGGCTCAAACATATCTTTATTAATCAAAATAGGAACCATTACAATCAACACGTTTTTGCCAATGAGAAATAAGTTTGTTTATTCTTACGGCATAAAAATCTATGCTTTGGGATTCGATGAACTTTTAGAAAGCATTTTCTGCATCCTGCTGGTTGTGGAAACGTTTTCCCTTCAAAAAGTTGTCGAGATGCTTGGAGAAGTGAGTCAGTTGGCGAGAGGTCAGGTGAATATGGCAGATGAAGCAAAACTTTGTAGCCTAATTCATTCAACTTTTGAAGCGTTGGTTGTGCGACGTGCAGTCAGGTGTTGTGGAGAAGAATTGGGCCCTCTCTGTTGACCAATGCTGGCTGTGGGTGTTGCATCTCATCGATTTGCTGAGCATTTTTCTCAGATGTAATGGTTTCACTGGGATTCAGAAAGCTGTAGTGAATCAGACCGGCAACAGAACCCCAACAACAGAACCCCAAACAGTGACCATGACTTTTTTGGTGCAAGTTTGGCTTGGGAAGTGCCTTTGGAGCTTCGTCTTGGTCCAACCACTGACGTGGTTGTCGCCGGTTGTTATATAAAATCCACTTTTCATCGCACGTCATGATTCGATAGAGATATGGTTCACTGTTGTTGCGTAGAATAAGAGAAGATGGATTTTTTTTCACCTTTCCAATTTGCTTCAAATGCCAAATTACTGTAGAATGGTCGACACTGAGTTCTTCAGCAACTTCTCATGTAGTTGTAAGAGGATCAGTTTTGATGATTGCTCTCAATTGGTCTTTGTCAACTTCCGATGGCCAGCCACTATGCTCCTCATCTTCAAGGCTCTCGTTTCCTTTGCAAAACTTCTTGAACCACCACTGCACTGTATGTTTGTTAGCAGTTCCTGGGCCAAATGCATTACTGATGTTGTGAGTTGTTTCTGCTGCTTTACAACCCATTTTGAAATTGAATAAGAAAATCACTTGAATTTGCTTTTTGTTTAACATCATTTCCATAGTCTAAAATAAATATAAAATAAACAGCAAGTAGTAAGTCATTAGCAAAAAAAACATAAAGCAAGAAATGCAAGTTAAAATTATGTATAACATAACCATATTTATTTATTTATTTACTTATTTATTTATTTTAAGTTCTAGCATACAGGTGCAGAACGTGCAGGTTTGTTACATTGGTATACATGGACCATGGTTGTTTGCTGCACCCGTCAACTTATCATCTAGGTTTTAAGCCCCACATGCATTAGGTATTTGTCCTAATGCTCTTCCTCCCCTTGCCCCCCACCCCCCAACAGGCCCCGTTGTGTGATATTCCCCTCCCTGTGTCCGCGAGTTCTCATTGTTCAACTCCCACTTATGAGTGAGAATATGTGGTGTTTGGTTTTCTGTTCCTGTGTTAGTTTGCTGAGAATGATGGTTTCCAGCTTCATCCATGTCCCTGCAAAGGACATTGAACTCATTCTTTCTTATGGCTGCATAGTATTCCATGGTGTATATGCATAACCACATTTATTTAAGAATGTATTCCAATATCAAATGGCAAATTTCAACAATGCAAAAACTGCAATTACTTTTGCACCAGCCTGATACATAACCTTGGACAAATGCCTCAACCCAGTGTTTTTCAAACTATAGCATGACCCAAGGGTCTCAGTATGACTTGTTAAAATACAGATTTCTGGGCAGCACCCCCAGAGTTGCAGATTCCATAGGGTGGGGTCTGAAAATGTGCATCTCTAACAAGTTCCCAGGGGAAACTGGTGGTGCTGGTCCAAGGACCCCACTTTGGGAACCACTGGGCCTTTCTGGGCCTCAGTTTCCAAATCAATAAAATGAAAAAAGAAACCAGATAATCTCTAAGCTCCAACTTCTCCTAAATCTCTATGAAACAAACAACTGGGGAAAGCAAGGACTGGATCACAAAGAATGTTGTATTCCACAGCATCATGGACAGCTGTGTGCTGCCTATAATTTTAGGAGGTGACTGTGCAAACACACTGCCAGGGAGGACTGTACTCCAGTGATTCCACCAATTCACCGAAGGCCAGAAAGCAAGACAGGGTTGTGAGTGATGCGTCCGGGGAGCCAGCAACGGGTGCTTCCTCCCCACTCATTAAAAAAGGAAAAAAGAGAAAACTGCAGGAAACATCAACAATATCATTGGTCAAAAATGATGCTAATTTGATAAGAATCCCAGTCAATTTGTGAGGAAGTGCAGCCACAAGAGACTGAGGAAAGATACTCTATTTTATGATTCTGGGGACGGGAGGACCATTTGAAAGGATATACATTATCCTGTTTGAACTTTAAACGCAAAGTCAATTGTTAGTTTTTGTCACCCTTGGCCACTTTCATCTGCTATTAAATGAGCATATTGACTATGATTGTCTTCTTGGTAGGAAAATGAAACTGAAAACAACCATAAAAAAGTACATGTAAACTCCAGAGCCCATTGAAGGGTCTGAGAGTCCTGTGCTCACTTTTATACTTGTTAGTTTATGTAAGTAAAGAAAGTAAAAATTTTTGAGTCTTTTAAATTCCTTGACTATCCAGACCATTACCCCTGCATTTGTTAATAAATATACATCTCTTGTAACCATAACGTGAGTGCAACAGAGTGTATTCAAGTGATATAGTTAAGTACCTGTGAGCAAATTTAAAGATGTATTTTATTTATACTTAGTCGTTTATACATGTATAATAAACCTATAAGTTTATATATGTATAATAAACCTATATAATAAGAAAAACTTATTTTTATATAGTATTCATATACTACCTCATCTACAATGTCTCCTTGATCCCTCAAAATCAGTTTCATAGTAAAAAAAAAAAAACTTACTTTTAGATGAAAATCTTTTTTAATATACATGCATATTCAATTACTCCTATGGTTAAAAATATTACTTTGGAGTGAGGCCAACCTAAGTTCAAAGTTCGGTTCCACCATTTGGTAGCTAAGAGAGGTTGGGCAAGTTACTTAACCCTTTTGAACCTCAGTTTCCTCCCAGGGAAAATGGGGATAAAAAAATCTTATCTTGTAGGGTTATTATGAAGATTACCTGAATTAATAATGTAGAATAAAGCACAGCATTTATAAAATGATGGTCATTATTATAAAACAATGTGACTGTTTTTGTTAAAAGTTTAATAAATTATGTATGGAAGCGCTAATAAATATTAATATAATCAGTTTCCAACTTAAAAAATTAGGTCTTTATTTCCAAGGTTAAACTCACAAATAATGTAGAACTTAACAGATTATAGGAGGGAAAATGTTGCTAACTGTGGTAACCTAACAAGCAATGCCCATCTCCTAAGAAAAACAGGAAAATCTTATGTATTTGCTAGTTGGTCTTTCCTCTTAGACCTTCAGCCATAAATTACATCTAATGATTCATGTTTGAAATGGCTTTTTTTGGCTGAATCTCTGACCTTAACTACTAGTTCTTTAGATTCTTTCACCACCATGTACTGCATGAAGTTCTACCACCTATTTGCTATTTCTGTACACGTGCCCTTTTCCAGAAATCACCTGGGCATAAGTGCCTGGCACCATTCAGTCGCATTTAAAGACAGCTCAAAGCACTGAATTCACCTACGGGATAAAAAGGATGCAAAAATACCCAGGGTTTTCAGATTCCACACCTAAGTGAGATCATGCGGTATTTGTCTTTCTCTGCCTGGCTAATAAGCTCACTATTAGCTTATTAGCTAATAAGTCCTCCAGGTTCACCCATGTTGTCATAAATGGCAGAATTTCCTTCTTTTTATAGCTGAATAATATTTCAGTGTACATATATATATACAGATATACACACCACATTTTTAATGTCCATCCATTGGTTGATGGATACCGAGGTTGTTTCCATATCTTGGCTATTGTAAATAATGCTTCAATGAATATTGGGGTGCAGATATCTGTTTGATATGCTGATTTTGTTTATTTTGGACATCTACCCAGAAGTGAGATTGCTAGATCTTATGGCAATTCTGTTTTTAGTTTTTTGAGGAACCTCCACACTGTTTTCCATAATGGCTGTACCAATTACATTCCTACCAACATCATCCCTACAAGGGTTTCCTTTTCTTCACAACTTCTCCCACATTTGTCTGTTGTCTTTTTGATAATAACCATTTTAACAGGTGTGAGATGATATCTCATTGTCATTTTTATTTGTATTTTCCTAATGATTAGTGATGTTGAAAGCCTTTCCATATACCTGATGGTCATTTGTACATCTTTTTTGAGAAGTATCTATTCAGTTCCTTTGTCCATTTAAACAAAATTTTTTTCTTAGATCTGGAAAGCCCACTTTTTAATTGAGTTTTTTTTTTTACTATTGGTTATAGAAGTTCTTTATATATCTTAGATATTAACTCTTTATCAGATATATGAGTTACAAATATCCTCTCCCATTCTGTAGGCTGATTTTCACTCTGTTGATTGTTCCTTTCTTGTGCAGACGGTTTTTAGTTTGAGGTAGTTGCACTTGTCTATTTTTGCTTTTGTTGCCCGTGCTGTTGGTATTGTATCCAAGAAATCATTGCTGAGGCCAATGCCGAGAAGCTTTTCCCCTGTTTTCAAAAGTCTATTAGTTTTATAGTTTTAGGTTTTTGTATCAAGTCTTTAATCCATTTAATTGATTTTTGTGTATGGTATAAGGTGAGGATCCAATTTTATTCTTTTGCATGTAGATATCCAGTTTTCCCAACAACATTTATTGGCGAGGCTATCTTTTTCTTACTGTATATTCTTGGCCTTTGCTGAAGATCATTTGATCATAATATATGTGTGGGTTTATTTATGGCCTTTCTTTTCTATTCCAACCCTCTATACATCTGTTTTTATGCCAGCACCACACTGTTTTGATGATTGTAGCTTCGTAATATATTGTGAAATCAGGAAGCATGATGCTTCCACCTTTATTCTTCTTTCTCAAAACTGCATTGTCTATTTGGGTCTTCTGTGGATACATATGAACTTTAGGATTTTTTTCTATTTTTGTTAAGACTGACATTAGAATTTTGATAGGGCTTACATAGAATTTGTAGATCACTTTTGATAGTATGATATTTTAACAATATTAGTTCTTTCAGTCTATGAACACAGGATATCTTTCCATTTATTTGCATCTACTTTAATTTTTTTCATTAGTGTTTTATAGTTTCCAATGTACTAGCCTTTCACTCACCTCCTTGGTTACGTTTATTCCTAAATATTTTATTCTTTTTGGTGCTATCATAAATGGGATTGTTTGCCTAATTTCCTTTTTGGATAATTTGTTGTTTGTATATAGAAATGCAATTGATTTTTATATGTCAATTTTGTATCCTGAATCTTTATTGAATTTGTGTGTTAGTTTTAATAATCTTTTGGTGGTCCCTTTAGGGTTTTCTATATATAAGATTATGTCATCTGCAAACAGAGATAATTTCACTACCTTCTTTCTAATTTGGATGCCTTTTATTTATTTTCTTGCCTAATTGTCCTGGCAAGAACTTCAAATACTACGTTGAAGAGAAGTGGTGAGAGTGTGCATCTTTGCCTCATTTTAGATCGTAGAGGAACCACTTTCACCCTTTCAGAATTTTATATGATGTTAGCTGTGGACTTTACATATATGGCCTTTATTGTGTTAACTTCCTTTTATCCTAATTTGTTGAGAGTTTTTATCAATAAAGGGTGTTGCATTTTGTCAAATGCTTTTTCCACATCTATTGAGATGATGATGTGATTTTTATCCTATATTTTGTTAATATGGTGTATCAAATTGATTTATTTGCATATGTTGAATAATCTTTGCATCCCAGGGATATTTTACTCCATCATGGTATGTTTTACTCCATCATGGTATATGATCCCTTTAATGTGCTATTCAATTTGGTTTGCTAATATTTTATTGAGTATTTTTGTATCCATTGTCTTCAGGTATATTGGCTTGTAGTTTTCTTTTCGTGTGGTCTTTTTGGCTTTGTTATCAGGGTGATGCTTGCCTCATAAAAAGAATTTGAAAGAAGATCCTGTTCTTTTTTGGAAGAGTTTAAGAAGGAGTATATAAATACCATCAACTCCCCTCTTCTGAGATACTATAAAGACTTTGGCAAGTGGTGATCTCTCTTTTATTGAAGTAAGTCTAATAAACTTAACTGTGCTTGATTAACAGGATTTTTAGTTGTGTTTTGTGGAGTCAACAGTTGACATGCCAGTATTATATCCATATTTTACAAATGAAGAAACTGAGGCACAGAAAGGTGAACTAACTTTCAAAATGTTTCAAAATCACATGGCAGAGCTGGGACTAAAACTCAGATATTTCAGACACTGAAGTCCAATCTCTTAGGCAGTCAGTGGAAGCTATAAATGGAAAGTCAGGAGTTTGGACATTTTTGGTACCCAAAGGGATATTCAAAGCCCCCCTCCTAAAGCCTTCCAGTCCCCTGCCCTGCTTAGGACCTCTCTCTACAATATCACTGGCATGTGGCCATGTACCTTCTGTTTTAATGTTTCCAGCTATAGGTCCCATCTGACTCAGAGGGCAGCCCATTGCCTGACTCAACTGAATGAGGCACTCTTTAGCACTGGGTATTTATAAAGGAAAAGAAGCCCACTTTAGAAGCATGGACCTATCCCATGTCCCCCCAGCCCTGGCACAAGAATAGAAGATGGTCACAATCCAGGATCCTTCTGCTTGGAATGGCATTGGCTTGTGGTGGCATGACTTTAATTACTCTGTCTAAACCATGGTTCAGCCTGGCAGGTCCCCTTGTTTCTCATTCTTTGGTGTGCAGGAGAGTAGAGATGAACCTTTGGGAATCTCCTAATAGCACTAACCATAGCACTCCCTGTTAGTGCCCAGGCCTCAGATTTTTATGCTGAGTGATATAGTTTGGATGTTTGTCTCCTTCAAATATTGTGTTGAAATATGATCCCCAATGTTGGAGGTGGGCCCTTGTGGGAGGTGTTTGGGTCATGGGGATGGATCCCTCATGAATGGCTTGGTAATAAGTTGCCACCAGATATGACTGTTAAAAATAATCTAGGCCCTCCCCACTCTCCTATGCTCCCTTTCTTACCATGTAATATGCCGGCTCCCCTTCACCTTCTGCCATAATTACAAGCTTCCCGAGACCTCACCAGAAGCCAATGCCAGCATCTTGTTTCTTGTACAGTCTGCAGAACTGTGAGCCAAATAAACTTTTTTTCTTTATAAATTACCCATCCTCAGGTATTCCTTTATAGCAATGCAAAATGGACAAACACATTGAGTCTCCAGACTTCTGTTCATCAGATCACAGCCAGCCTCCCACTGATCCTTTCCCCAAGGCTATCACCTCAGAAGCAGGGAGCAGGGGAGGTGGTGGTGAGGCATGGAGGGAGGTACAACTCATTGACGTATTTCCTCTGAAACCCAGGCAAAGAATTCAGGGAATAATTCATCTGACCATTTCTTTTTAAAATTTAATAAGTAAGAACACTCTTCTGGCTAAGTCTTGCTCACTGGTACAAAGTTAACTTTTAATACATGATCACTTTGAGGCCAAAATATAATTAAAAATTCTTTGGTTTCTATCTTCTCCAAAGGGGATAAACATACACAGAAGAATATGATCATACATGGAACAATATTTGATTTGTCTTTTTTCACTCTAACCTCAAGATTAGAAATTCACCCAGATGATTTTAAGAAGAATTCACTACCTAAAAGATACTAGCTTAACTCCCAAATTCACATAAACCATAAATCTGAGGATGAAGTCTTCCACCAAAACTATTAATTTTTAAATAAAGGGTAGAGGTTTGTAGAACAAACCTCTACATACCTCTAAAGGGTAGAGGTATGTAGAACATACCTCTACATACCTCTCTCCAAGTTTCTATTCATTCATCTAACAAATTAAATCCACCAAACTATAAATCAACCCAGGCTACAGTGTTTCATCTCCTCCATAAGAATTTCATTGAAACTGATCAAAATTCTAGCCGAAATTCAGAAAAACTCGATATCTGTTTTTCACTGGTCTTTAATGCTAATGATCCTCTTGGAAGAGAGAACACAAGGTCTATCTGAAATGATTTGTTCATAGTAAGCCCAGGTCTACCCCATGTACTTAATAATAATTTCCATAATTTTTCCATACATAGATCTCACTCAGCTCTCTGAAATAAAATTTATCCAGGTCCAGAGATTTGAACTTAGTTTCAGAAACTAAGTACATTCTCATTGCCTCCTCCCAAATCTAGTGCTTCACTTTGCTCTTTAACCAGTATCGTTATTTTCTGAGTTTGAACTAGGGTGGTGGTGATGGGAATGGGAATACAGTGTCAATATGATAGAAAAATTGGAGAGAGAATAGGCACAGCATGGCAAGTGATTAAATGTGGGGGTGTGAGTGTGACAAAAATGACCAGCTGATGGTCAAAATTCACACTCTTCTAAGAGCATTGTCAAGAAGTGACTGTACAGACAGTATTGTCAACAGGTAACATTTCCCAGCCCTCCTGGTACCTCAGTGGGGCTACATAATGAGCTTTTGCTATTAAAATGTGAAACAAAGTGATGTGTGTTGCTTGTGGATCAAAATGGTTAAAAAGTGGATGAAAAAATCTCTCCATGATGAAAATTGCCCCATCCACCACTGAATAGAAAAGAATTCTAGGGTCCTAGAGAGGATACTTTTGAGGACACTTTCAAGCCTATGTCCTTGAATGGCCATGTGGACATTCCTCCCAACCCAGAACACTGATGTTGTACTTTACATGAGTGAGACTGTAAACCAAAAAGTATCTGAGACAAGTCTCAATCAATTTCAAAGTTTATTTTGCCAAGGTTAAGGACAAGCATGTACACAGCTTTAGGAGGTCCTGAAAACATGTATCAAAGGTAGTTGGGTTACAGCTTGATTTTATACATTTTAGCAGGGACAGGAGTCACAAGCACACATCAATTAATACATGTAAGGTATACATTGGTTTGGTCCATAAAGATAGAACAACTCAAATGGTGGGGGCAGGGTGACCTCCAGGTCATAGGTGGATTCAAAGATTTTCTTATTGGTGATTGGTTGAAAGACTTAAGTTATTATCTAAAGACCAGGAGTCAATGAAAAGGAATGTCTGGGTTAAGATAAGGGGTTGTGGAGACCAAGGTTCTTATTATGCAGGTGAAGCCTCCAGGTAGCAGGCTTCAGAGAGAATAGATTGTAAATGTTTCTTATCAGACTTAAAAAGGTACCAGACTCTTTATCTCTCTAGGATCAGGAAAAGACCTAGAAAGGGGAGGACATTCTCTACAGTATGTAGATTTCCCCCACAAGAGACATCTCTGCAGGGCCATTTTAAAATACATCAAAGAAATATATTTCAGGGTAAAATATTTTTATTTCTGTCAGGGCCTGCTATCTGTCATTTAGTGATGTATTTTATTACTACAGAGAGTCTGTTTGGTCAGTCTTAAGATCTCTGTTTTGATGTTAATGCTGGTCAGTTGTCCCTGAATTCCAAAGAGAGGAGGGTATAATGAGGCATGTCCAAACCTCATTTCCCATCATGGCCTGAACTAGTTTTTCAGATTTACTCTGGAGTGCCCTTGGCAAGACGGGGTCCACTCAATTGGTTAGGAGGCTTAGAGTTTTATTTTTGGTTTACAAGACATAAATCACTATTGTGGTAAGCCACTAAGATTTTTGGGTTTACTAGTTATAGCAACTATTGTTATCATTATTAAAACAGACATGGACATGAAAAGTTATAAACACTTTTTAGTCTATGGGGGCATCCAGCAATTTGGAGAATGGTGGCACTATTTTCAAATAATGAAAAGTATCAGGAGGAGGGCCATCTAGGAGGGAGGTATCTATTCCCAGCTGAAAGCATCATCGTGTGAGGGGAGTGCCGCAAACTGGGAATAAGAAAGCTTACTGCTAGACTCAGCTACTCCCCTTAAAAAATATATCCTCAAAAAAGTCACTTAACTTTTCAGCCTCAATTTCCTCATCTGAGGGATAATATATGAGGACAAGTATTACAAATAATACAAAGATATGCCAACGTAAAATATCATTATTATAATGTTATCATTTACTTTTAAAACCATAGGGGAACTCACAGATCATTTCAGTAAGAAAAATACTAAATCTTTAGCAGTTACTGTAACTGGGCACTGCATTAACTCATAATTTTCATGACATAGATACTATTATTATCATCATTGATTTGCAGATGAAAAAAATTGAAACAAAAATGGGTTTAGTAATTTTCTCAAGGTCACATCACTGATAAGCAGAAAAGTAGGGATCAAACCCAGACAGTCTGGCTCCCAAATCTGTGCTCTCCACCACCATAAAGCGATGTCCTCTCTAGGTACAGCTTCATTTTAGATGGGGGAACTCAGGTCATGTCACACAGGTGGTTATGCACTAAATATAGACTACTGTGACAGAGAAGGCAATTTTCTCCCTGGGAAAATTTTAGTTTCTCATAAAAGGCTGGTTCTGCAGAAAATCACTGAGCTGAAAACGCATAAATTACTAAGAAAACTGAACCAGATATTTGAGCAGAATTTATGTTGATAGGAGAAAACACAAAATGAGCCTTACCCTTGCTATATCTTTCAAATATGAGATAGGGATGTGCAGATGGATTTATTTAAATGTTTTCCAGCTAAACTTTTCCTATGGTTCTAAGATATATCAAGATCCTTAGAGAGGTAGACTCCAGTTCCTTGGACCTCTTCTGATGCAGAGCAGAGAAATGGCTCCAGAGTGACCAAGAGGCCACATCAAGCTTAACTTTCCTTTTGAAAGCCCTTGGACAGGGTAAACCAAGTCTGAAGAGCTGTCAGGAGAGCCACAACGTGCTCCTGCTCCTTGAGCCTCCTGAGGCACCTGCCCCGCTCAAGAAGAGCCCCTCCCATGCCACTGATGTCAACTGAATCTTCATCTGGACAAAGCCACCTGTGAGCAAGACTATCTTTCAGATGCCATCTGAAGTCATCACATGAACTAATGGGTTCTCCTGGCACGAGACCATTCAGACATGTTTACATATCAGAGAAAATCTCATGCATCTGGATGCTCCAGAGGCAACATGGTTCTTCCCTAGAACCAACTGAGGACAGGATCCACGTGTCTTACTCACACCTACTGATTCTGTTTGTGGAATGTCATCATCCTCTTAAGACACAGATGAACATCTTAGATAAATTTCCAGATGGCTAGTCTACCCCTTGCCACTCCCGCATGGAGATAGACTTGGGTATATATGTTGCTACAGACCTGTACAGACACTTCTGAATATGTTTATCATCTCTATATGGGCTCTTTATTTCTGACCATGCATTGACCTTGACTACTTTAAGAAGAGGCAGGAAATGATAAGATGAATCAAGAAGTAAAAAACAAATTAGAAAAACAAAGAGGAGAGGATAAAGTAGAGGATAAATTAGAGGGTTTGGGGGTCTCTGAAAGATGAGAAAGAGGCTGATTACTGCATAGATTTTTTTTTTCTTTTCTGTTCCAAAGCCAGGGTCTCTGTTGTAGAACTGCTGACAAAAAATACAAATAATGCCTGCATCACAGACTATCATAGGGAGAAAAGAGAAGTAATAATTTTTCACCTTTGGACTTCACTGCTTGCAAAGCCTCTCCTATGTCTTACTTAATTGATCCTCACCACACCTCATTTTCCAGGAAACTGAGGCCAAATGGTTTAAGTGATTTGCTTAAGGTCACAGAGCTCTAAACAGAATGTGTCTACCAATGTCAACCCAGGCTCTGCCCTACACCACACTCCCTCTTGCATCACCATGTAAATCCAAGAAAGAACATTGGTCGTGCCATCAACCAGGCACACAATTGAGGATGAATTACAACCTCTTTAGGGCTCGGTATCTTCACCTGGAAAATGAGGTTACACTAGAAACAGATGATCTACAGTTCCAAAAGTCTGTGAATCAGAAGTCTGCACATCTATGAATTTTAACAAACTACTATTTTTAAGTTGCCAGTTATGCTTTATTAGTGGGTCATGAAATTAATTTAGTGAGTAGCCAACATTTCCTTTTTTTAAAAATGAAGCAGAGCAGAAAAGGTTGGAATAGATTAAGGTAATGTAAGGTAGGATAAAATGGAGTAGGGTTGGATAGGATGGAAGAAAATGTCAGAATGTATCCCATGTAGTAAGGGTGAAGGTTGTTTTGTAAAACCGTGTATATGTACTGAGTCACAATATAAAACTTATTTTTTACTATGGCACACAGTGAAAAATGATTGAAACCTAGATTTAAATTATAGACTCACATGACACATTATCATGGAGTTTTACTGTAGTCCCCAAATATATGTACATTTGCTGCTTTTTGTGGATTATTTTGTCTGTGGTTTGACTTTCTCTTTCCTCCTTGGTATCTTTCCCCTTAGACCAGGAGTTCTCATGCCCTCCTTCCCTTTCTCACTTGCGGAGCATCCACCCTCTTTGGGGAGGTTTCTGGCTGCTGCCAGGGAGGGGGGTTCTGAAGGAGGAGAAGGTGTCAAGGTGTTAGATGGAATTGCAGGCTCTGTCAAGCTTATCACATCTGGTTTCCTGAAAGGAGAAACACAAAGGATGAAGAAAGTCTAGTTGATAATACTGAAGGCCCTGGAGTTTCTGGACAATAGTGTCATTGTCTGGGAGGGACAGGGCTACAATTATCTACATTTCTGGCTCATCCACCTACTCCTCACAGGGGGATGACTAATGTAAGTGTGTCCCAAGTCTTCAAATAAGGATCTCTCAGATGGAGCCTATGTTGAAAGGGGTTTGTATTTTACATATTTGTATAAATGGGGGCATGTATGTATAACTGGGGGTTGTTTCTGCTTTCCCAAGGCTGAATACCCAAAAGAAACGATCTAAAAATCACACAAGAAATTAAAGTTTGGGGAGGGAATTGAGGACTAGGACTGCTAGTCTGTTGCTCAAAACCACTCTCCCCAAAGAAGGACTGCCCCCCTCTAGTTCAAGTTTAAGCAGATGAGACAGGATCTCCATGGGGCTGAATAGGATTCCATGACCCTGGAGCCCCCCATGGCAGATTTCCAATTGTTTCTCTTTCCTTGATCCTCTCAGGTACAATAGCTCTCATTTTCTGTGTAATTCAAAGTTTGAAGTCAAGGTCGGTGACTAGAAAATGAAGCTTCCTGTGCTATCAGATTCTCGGTCATTCAATGTCTGAGATGAAGGTCGGTTAAAAACGTTTGACTGAGACCTTTAATTCTAAATCATCGGGGTGGAAACTGGAGATGTAGCATCCTAATTCTTCCTATCAGTCTGGTCTCAGGACAGCTTGGTTTGGAATAATGTTCAGGAAATTATTAATAATGAGAAAACGTTGTTCCTAGTAGCCACAGTCTATTAAAGAGATGTGAAATATAAGTGGAATCTCATGGGTTCTGCATAAATATTCTCTTTTGTTCCCTCAGTGACAAAACTGGTATCTCCTTCAAGGCGCTGCAGGTAAAGATGAGATGAGGGCAGTCCCCCAGGTTCTACTTGGCTCCGTGCACTGAGCTCTGTGCACAGAGGATCACAGTGTCCATTTCAGATCTGCCTGGCAATGGTGTCTTGCCAAGTACTACTGTGTTAGGCAGCCCCTGGTGGCCCTATAAAATGGTTGACCTACTATTGACCTGCTCTGTGTCACTGGTGCTCAAGAGGAGTCTCTCTGGCTAAATGCTCATGGGCCCCATGATAGATTGTAATAAAGATTATAAAGGCACAACCAAGGCCTAATAGCTCCCAACTGTCCTACAGTACAAGGAACATCAGTGAGCCCCTTCAGGGATGCAGGCAGGTTAAGTCAGCAATGACTACATGGCTCTTCCACCAGGCACAACTCCCTTCCCAAGTCCCATATCCTAAAAAGAAGGCCAAATGGTCCACCAAGGTCAGCCCAATATTTTTGCAAAAACAAACCTTTTCTTAATTAATTATCCGATCCAAACGTAACTGCCAAAAATTTCCACAGGTGAAAATTTTGTATAATCTTCATGATAAAAAAATGACTTGCCAGAAATTACCTTTCTGTGCTTATGGCTGGACAAGAGACATTAGACATCATTCCTGTCCTGATCATAGTCAAATAAGTTAAACGCTTGCAGATGGGAGAACAAAGCATTAAGAAGATATTTAGATTAGATAAAATCAACATTAAAATCATGTGTAAGACATGAGAAAGTTACCAAAGATGACAGGAAAGGGCACTGGTGGGACACATTGGGAAAGGGTAGAAAAGGTGTTAATAGTTTTAATTACCTACTATGCGTCACACACTGTGTTAGCTATCATACAGCTTTTATTTCATTTAACTTTTATAACAGCCTTGGAGGGAAGGCATTATTATCTCCTTTTAACAAATGAGGAAGCTGACGTTTAGTGATTAAATAATTTGTCCTAATATCTATCTCCTATGGATATTGTAAAGATTAAATGAAATGATGCAAGTAAGTCCTTGGAACTCTTGTTATAATTCCCAACGTATATTTCATCATTGCTTAGGTTTTCTCCACCTTGAAAAGTCTGCAACTGTTACTGTTAGCTCAGTGGATATTTGTCATTGAAAGAGACCTCATGGCACAGTCAAGATGGCAGCCTAGGGCAGGGAGCTAGACTCCATAGCCCATTACTCCCTCAAGCATGGTTTTATTTGTTTATATCTGTCCTCATTCTTTGCAATATTATGAGATGGGTCACAGGGAACAAATGTACATTTAAAACTCAAGATCAAGAAAATAAAAATATATCAAGAAAAGGCCAAAAACAAATATATGGAGACCATAAGAGTCTGGGAAGCTGCTCTAGCTGAATCCTGATGTACTGGGAACAGAGTTTTCTGAGCATCAACACAGAGGGAGGCTGAATAACTTACCCAGCTTTCCTTGCTCAAGAGGAAGAAAATGTACCAGTTCCTTAAGGGAAGTAAAGTGTGTCCTTAAATTTATGCATCAAATAAATTTTTCACATGAAACTTCATGTTAGACACATTACATAGATAATGACTTCAATAACAGAAAATGCAGTCATAGTTTCAATAGGGCTCCCTCTTGTAATATCTCTCAGTGAAAGCCAGCAGGATAACAAAACACAGTTCAGTGAACACAGCCTGCTGGAGGCCAAGCAAGATGGTCCAAATGCATTTTTCCTACAATCTGGTTTGATCAAAGAGTGAAGAACAGAAAGTCTGAAGAAATGAATAGAGTTTTCAACAATCTTCCATAGAGAGTTCTATCTTAATGGAAAATGCTAGAACTGTCAGTCATTGCCTGTCCCACTCTCCAACTCACCCCCTTCTAAGGAATGTACTCTACCAAGCCACCATGACCCCACTTGCACAAGACACAGGGCAGGCATTTCATCACATGGCCAGAGACCTGTGCTGCCTGGCTTCAAAGATGAGCAGAGCTGGTCATAGTATTCCCCAAGAATTTGAATTTACAGCACTAGTTGGAAACAGGGGCCACAGCTGAATGGACTGAAGGGCAAGGGTGGGAGAGGCTGTAATGGCCATGTGCTGAATTTAAGGGAGAGGGAAACAGAAGATACCACTTCTGAAAAAGGCTGCTGGTAAAGCGGGAGCCCAGAGCACATAGACACACACACAGAGACACTGGGTGAGGGAGAGACCATCCAGTTCTTGACAGAGAGATGGTGATCATGCTGTCTCCCCAGGGGGCTGCCTCAAACCCAAAATACCTCCCATTTGCAGAACTGGTTGTGATGAGAGACTTCTTTTTTAAATTCCCAGGAGAAACCTGGATCCTTAAAATAAACTCCCATTTTCTTGGGTGAAGTTGAGTGAGCATTCCGTGTAACCAAGTGATCCTTACTAAAACATGGGCTTTTAATAAGAGTTGAGCAACAGACAGTACAATGTTCTAGTCTCTAGATTGCAGGCATTTGTGTTGTCAAGTGAGGGCAGATTGAATACATGAGAGATCAAAACAGATGTTATAACACACATCAACTTGGATGAATCTTAAAGGTATTATGCTGAGTGAAAGAAGCCAGTCTCAGAAAGTTACACACTGTATGATTCCATTTCTATGTCATTCTTGAAAAGACAAAATGATAGTGATAGAGGAGAGATCAGCAGCTCCCCAGGGCAGGGGTAGGGGGAGAATGTGACTGTAAAAAGGCAGTAGAAAGGAGTTTTGGGGGCGGTAGTACTGGATATCCTGATTGTAGTCGTGGTTACACAAATCTATATCTGTATTTAAAGTCATAGAACTACAAGTAGAAAAGAAAAAAAGATGGAGAGAGAGAGAGTTGAACTCTTGAGTTAGAAGGGTCACTGATCAGAATTTCAGCCAAACCAGGAGGGTCAATTCTAGGCAAAATTGTCTTGACATAAGGCACTACTTTCTACTCTTAGCCTTACCCTTGTAGTCCTCAATACCTCCTTCTCTTCTCCTGGCTGGCATTGCCAGAGGTGAGGGATGTTTTAATAGCTAGGATCAGAAGGTCTTGCCATCCCTTCTAAAATCCCACTGTAAATACAAACAATCTATTCTTCCTACAGATGGTCTTGGTATGGGAAGAAACAAGATGGCTTAGAAGTAGCACTAAAATTCCTCAGAGATATGGAAAGAAAAATCTCTAAGCAGGAAACATGCTAATACCAGAGTAGAGAGAATTAGGGTAAAAGCAGCTTTTTCTATAATTAGAATGACTATGTCCAGGATTTGGGGTTGGATTTACAGATGGGAAGGAAAGGACTTTGGCAGAATGGGCCTTGGGTCTTCCTGGTGAGGCTAGAAGTGTCCATACACATGGTGCAGCTTCCTGGTCTCAGCCAACAAGGACACCTTGCTTTGCATCACTCCATTCTCCACACAGGCATTTCCTTTAGGAATCTTGCAGAGAAGCATGGCTGGGACAGCCCAGAGAATAGACATTTCTGTGTTCCTAGCCAAATGGCATGATAATACTGCCAAAATTTTACCCCAGTGTTTTATTTCTGACAGTGGTGTCTTTATGTGCTTGTATGCCTTGTGCTGAGCACAGTGGTTTGCCATAATAGCACACAGCAAGTAATAAAAATGTAGTGAGTGAGTGAGCAGAGAGAGGCAAATAGAGAAAGGGAGGGATGGAAGAGGGAGGGAGGACCACATGCAGCATAAGACTCACTCCCTCAGGGAATGTGTGATCTGACCTTGGCAGTCACTCATTCAGCAGTTAGTCATTGAGTGTTGGCTTGACAGCTTCCTTTCACCTTTGCATATCCACTTTCCACCCTCATCCACACTACTCGTGCCTCAGATACCCAACTGTAGAGACTGCATGAAGAGGGTACCCTTGTCCCCTGGCTGGACTCCAGTCAGGTACAGTCACTGGGGAGCACCAGCAGGAGATAAAAGGAGGGAGGAGAGTTACACTGGAGAATTAACCCCCCACCTCCAGCTCCCTCTCTAAGGGGTTGCCATGGGCAGGCTGCAGCCCTTCTATAAAGTGGCCCTGTTCACACAGCTCTCTGTGTCTCTGGGTTACAGAAACTCCTCCCCCATTCAACCATCAGACTTGGGGTGATAATGACTCTCCACTGTCATTAACTTGGGTGCTGCACCATACCTTCTGGTTTGATACATCCTGCCCACACCTTGGTAAGTAATCATTATGGAAAACTATGAATTACCTCTATTTGAGTACACCATTTGCTTTCTGCCAGGACCCTGTTGATGCAAGTGCCACTCATGTGCCAGACACTACACTAATCTCTGGGGCTCCAAATACAGATTAGACAGAGCTCCTCTAGGAGGTTACACTGTAGTAGATGACAGGTGCATAACAGCAAATTCTTATGCAGGCTGGTGTGTGTAGTGAAGGAGCTATGCACAGGCTAGTGCTATTGAAAGTGGGTTTCTGAAAATTAGGCTAGAATCTGCCTCTCAGCAAAGCAGTGGAGAGCTCCCTCTGTGCACTGCAGAAAATCCAGAGATAATGCCCACAGAGCTCATCTTGCTCAGCTTTTTACTGGTCCTTAGAAGAGCAAGGAATGGCTTATTTGATACTTCCAATTTGGAGTTGCAGGAACAAAAGCAAGTTCAACATGAAATCTAGCTATTCAACTAACTATACTCTTTAGATTCTCCCACTAGCTCACTACAGTCTTTTAATTAGGGTTTTTAGCTTCTTTTTATTCTATCCCTGTTTGCTCATTTCTTAGTAATTTCTTAACTTTTTTGACTTAAGAAATATTACAGTACTTTTTTTTACACAAGGAGAGATTTATTTTTCTTACGTGACAAGGTTAGAGATAGGCTATTGCTGCTGTTGTTTTAGCTGCTCATAAGTGTTATGAAGACCCAGTTTCCTTCTATATTTCTGCTCCACCAACTTCAGTGTGTTAGCTTTTTGTCTTTGTGCTTGCCATCTCGTGGTTGCAAGATGACAGCCTCACCCCAAGCATCATGGGCAAGTTCAAGGAAAGAAGGAGGAGTTAGGTAAGTTCTCTCCTGCTTATACCATTTCTCAAGACAGCAAAGATGTTTCAGATGCTCCAAGTAGACTTACTCTTATATCTTATTGGCTAGAAGGACAGAAGCAGTTCATGTGATCACCTCTAGCTGCAAGCAATGCTGGGAAATTGAGTATCTGGTTTTCACTTTTGTGTCTGGTTGCCCTCTCCTCCTGCTGTTGCAGAGTTTCTCTTCTTTTCTTTTTTTTCACCTAGAATAATCTCTTTGTACCTATTCAGCTCACTAAAGCGATACTTTACATTTTTCCTGAACATGGGACATAGAGGGCTTCCTTCAGTTGTCACTCAACTTTCTCTTTATTGGGAGATATTAGTATGCTCTGAATGACAGCAAAAGCTTTAGCTATAATAACCCCATGTAAAATAAAAGGATATCTATGTTAGTGTATGAAACAGTAGCAATACACAGTTTGCAATACACAGTAGCAATACAGTTTGGAGTATCTAAACTGTAACTTGAATGGATCCTCAGATAAGTAACAACAAAAGACTGTTAACATTTTTTAAAAACTTGGTAGAAAGTCAGATAAGACTCAAAAACAACGGGCAAAGGAGAATGAGAAGACCACATACACCAGAACTGGCCACCCACTAGTTATCTGCCATCTTACATGGTCACTGTCTTCTCAGACACTGACATGCATTGGAGGTGGCATGGCATAAGGGTCAAGAGCAGGGGATCTGAAGCTACACCTTGGAGTTACCACTTTCTAGTTCCATGATCTTGGGCAGGTTCCTTAGGCAAGGTTCCTCAGCTTCCTTGCCTGTTTTGGAGATCATAATAGTACCTACTTCGTAGATTGTGAAGATTTAATGAAACATACATACAAAGCACTTTAAACAGTGTCTGGCTCACAATAAGCATTTAATAAATATTTTGAATAGCAGTTGTTATTGCTGTAGTAGTTTTTGTTGTTGTCATTATTATTATTATAATTGGAACTTAAAGTAGCTTCAACATGAGTGGTACTGAGAGGCCACTACAGAAGAGTGAGAGTTCATGGCCAGGTTGCAGTTCCTTTTTGCCCACTGACAAACTGAGTGAATCTAAGTTAAGTCATTTTTCCTTCTCTGGGCTCAGCTCTCTATGTTGGTGCTAAACACCTTGGAGTCCTAAAATTCTAGAATCCTATCCTCAGAGTTTAGCCCCTGATATTCCTTTTGAAGCGTTCACTCAAACAAGCCATCCAGCTGGTACTACTCAGATCCCATTGACTATAGAACAAGGAAAAGTCTACCACAAATGAGGAACCTCAGAGTACAGAATCCACCCCTGGAGGTAAACTAGACACCTGCCTTAGCTTGGTTCCTTTTAACATAAATGTACAACTTCAATTTCCACTTCACCCATTTTACTCCCAGGAAAATTAATCTCTCTTAGTCCCTGACTATTCATAACAGCTACTATTTATGAGTGCCTGTAACGTGCCAAGAACCTTGTATTCATTATTGATAATATTTTCAACATCATTGCAAAACAGCTATCATTGTCTTCATTTTACTGATTGTTACACTATAAATGAAATTTAAGACAAGATTTCTAAGATCATACAGCAAAATTCACGGGGCTGGTTTTTCAAATAAGGTTTCTTTTTAGTCTAAAAACCAAATTCTATCTTACAACCTCTGGGTGTCCACCAGATCTGCTCTCTCCAGAGACCCTGAAATCATGATCTACACATGCCTCGTTCCCATTCCTACCCCGCCAACTGCCTTAAGTGAGCACTCATCTATAGATTCAGCATCACCCCATGCTCCAAAACCAGTGCTGTTCCCAGACTTGGTGAATTCAAGAAGTCTTAAAGAGAAATGCTTAATGCTCAGCATCTAAACAACTTAGTCTCTGGTCTCTTTCTGACTACATATATTAATTTTACTTACATGTCACTTACCTTGTTACCAATACCTTCCTGGTACCTCAGCCTCAGGGACTAGGCCCCCATATCTACTATTCAAGAGTCCAGGTATAATACTGCTCAGAAATCCCATTGTCACCTCTCTCCAGAAATAGCTGCTATCTTCCAGATGTCTGCCCTTGACAAACCCCAAGCTCTCCTGCTTCTTTCTTGATGCATTTACTTATTTATTGAGCCCTGGTATGAGCCAGCCCCATGTTTCCTTCATTCTTCTCCAGAGCCTCAACATATTCTGTTCACACATCCCTGTCTGCCACCTAACCACAGCTAACCCATCTCTGATTATTGACTACTTAATACAAATTAACAAGGCAATTATTTACCATTAAAATATTTTTAACACCACAAATTGGGATACAATTTCCAATTAAAATTTATTTATCCCTTCTAGCTACAGATGAAGTATGGCTTATTGGATCCTAAACACCAGGGTAGACTATTCATCTTAAAGGGTGCCTGATGATTCCTTCAAGGTGTATGTTCTGTGAATGGTGGTGCATCACACTGGTGAAGAACTGAGCCAATAAGTAGAAGGAAGAAATGATCAACACTAAGGAAATTTAGAGCCAAAGGATTGACTATGGATTCAGGCAGGCCTGGGTTTGAATCCTGTCCTCACCTCTCACTAGCCCACTAGTATGGCAATTTACAAACGTCCTCCCACCCCCCAACTTCTGAGTATATATCCAAAAGAACTAAAATCAGGACCCTGAAAACATATCTGCATTCCCATGTTCACTGCAGCATTATTCCCAATAGTCAAGATACAGAAACAACCTAAATGTCCATGGATAAAGAAAATGTGGATATACATGCAATGGAATATTATTCAGTCTTTTATTTTTTAATTTAATTTAATTTTTTAAGACAGGGTCCTGTTATGTTGCCCAGGTTGGTCTCAAACTCCTGGACTCAAGCAATCCTCCCACTTCAGCCTCCCAAAGTGCTGGGATTACAGGCATGAGCATCTATGCTTGGCCTTATTCAGCCATTTAAAAGATGGAAATCATGGGCAAAGACTTCATGACTAAAACACCAAAAGCAATGGCAAAAAAAACCTAAAACAGACAAATGGGATCTAATTAAACTAAACAGCTTCTGCACAGCAAAAGAAACTATCATCAGAGTGAACAGGCAACCTACAGAATGGGAGAAAATTTTTGCAACCTACCCATCTGACAAAGGGCTAATATCCAGAATCTACAAAGAACTTAAACAAATTTACAAGAAAAAAACAAACAACCCCATCAAAAAGTGGGCAAAGGATATTAACAGACACTTCTCAAAAGAAGACGTTTATTCAGCCAACAGACACATGAAAAAATGCTCATCATCACTGGTCATCAGAGAAATGCAAATCAAAACCACGATAAGATACCATCTCATGCCAGTTAGAATGGTGATCATTAAAAAGTCAGGAAACAACAGATGCTGGAGAGAATGTGGAGAAATAAGAATGCTTTTACACTGTTGGTAGGAGTATAAATTAGTG